>NC_000008.11:2175995-2478280 GCF_000001405.40 Homo sapiens | reverse complement strand
CATGTTTCTTTAAACTGATTGTGTAGTGATGTGGCTAAATTAATATGTTCTACAAGGAGGCCTGGCACAGTGGCTCACAACTGTAATCCCAGCACTTTGGGAGGCCGAGGCGGGTGGATCACGAGGTCAAGAGATCGAGACCATCCTGGCCAACATGGTGAAACCCCATCTCTATTAAAAATACAAAAATTAGCTGGGCATGGTGATGGGTGCCTGTAGTCCCAGCTACTCTGGAGGCTGAGGCAGAAGAACCTCTTGAATCCAGGAGGCAGAGGTTGCAGTGAGCCGAGATTGCGTCACTGCACTCCAGCCTGGCAACAGAGCAAGACTCCATCTCAAAAATAAATAAATAAATACATAAAAATAAAAAAACCAAACTCTTCTATAAAGAAACAGAAAACAGAAACCAGCTACAGCAGAAACGTTCAGAGTCTCAAGCAGATCTCTGGTGTTAGGATTCATGACTTGTACAATTGCCACAGAGGAACTGTCTCTCCTCTGAAAGAGTGGAAATGACAATAAATGCATCATAATTCTAACACGCTTAAATGATGATGTGCAAAGAAACGCTATTAGAATACCAATGTTTCTGACATTTGAATCATTGCCATTCTGAGTGGTGTGAGATGGTATCTCATTGTAGTTTGGATTTGCGCTTCTCTAATGATCACTGATCTTGAGCTTTTTTTCATGTTTGTTGGCTGCACAAATGTCTTCTTTTGAGAAGACTCTGTTCATGTCCTTTGCTCACTTTTTGATGGGGTTGTTTGTTTTTTTCTTGTAAATTTGTTTAAGTTCCTTGTAGATTCTGGATATTAGACTTTGTCAGATGGCTAGATTGCAAGATTTTTCTCCCATTCTGTAGGTTGCCTGCTCTCTCATAAGTGGGAGTTGAACAATCAGAACACATGGACACAGGGAGGGGAACACCACACACTAGGGCCTGTTGGAGGTGGGGGACAAGGGGAGGCAGAGCATTAGGACAAATACCTGATGCATGTGGGGCTTAAAACCTAGATGACAGGTTGGTAGGTGCAGCAAACCACCATGGCACATGTATACCTATGGAACAAACCTGCACGTTCTGCACACGTATCCTGGAATTTAAAGTAAAAAAAAAAATTTAAAGAATACCATTGTTCTTATCTAAATTAATTTTTATGCATCTGCCTCTGAGAGGATGCAGAGAGGCCACAAAGTATCCTTACCACTCGCCCCTCCCATCCTGCAACCAAGCCCCTGAACCAGTGGACTTGTCAGATTTAGGACTAAGGAAGGCTTTGGTTGACCTGTTATTTTATAAATAGGAAACAGGTTGAGGGCTCACAGCTAGTTAGTGAGCAGCAAATCAGGACGGAAACTCATGTGTCCTGCAGTCTAGTTTAGTAGATGAGTTTCTTGATTGAAGTGGCTCACATTTGGTCTCTGATACAAATAAATAAATAACATTAAACGCCAAGGACAGTGGGAGAATGTGATAAGCTGTTTACATGCTATTTACTAAAGTATTTTGTCCAAACCATAATAAGTTTACTTATTGATACGATTTGGCTCTGTGTCCCCACCCAGGTCTCATGTTGTACTGTAAACACCAACACTGATGGGGGACCTGGTGGGAGGTGATTGGGTCATGGGGTGGATTTCCCCCTTGCTGTTCTCGTGATAGTGAGTGAGTTCTCCTGAGATCTGGTTGTTTAAAAGTGTGTAGTTGGCCAGGCAAGGTGGCTCATGTCTGTAATCCCACCACTTTGGGAAGCCAAGGCAGGTGGATCAGTTTAGGCTAGGAGTTCAAGACCAGCTCGGCCAACATGGCAAAACTCTGTCTCTACTAAAAATACAAAAAAAAAAAAAATTAGCGAGGCATGGTGGCATGCACCTGTGATCCCAAGCTACTCAGGGGGCTGAGGCACGAGAATCACTTGAACCCGGGGGGCAGAGGTTGCAGTGAGCCAAGGTGGCATCACTGCACTCCAGCCTGGGCGAAAGAGTGAGACTCTGTCTCCAATAATAATAATAATATTAATAAATAAATGCAAGTGTGTACCATGTCCCCCTTCGCTCTCTCTCCTGCTCCACGAAGGGAAGACGTACCTGCTTCCTCTCCACCTTCCGCCATGGCTGAACATTTCCTAAGGCCTCCCCAGCCATGCTGGCTGTGGGTGAACTATGAGTCAATTAAACTTGTTTTTTTTTTTTTTTTCATAAACTCCTCAGTCTCCGGTGGTTCTTTATTGCAGTGTGAGAATGGACTAATACTCTTAACAGGGACATTTATAAACAGGCCATGTGAGGACACAGCACCCCATTCCTGGGCTGTGTCATCTTAGAGCAGGGTGGTCTCTCTGAAGGCCGGGCTGTCTGCAGAGTGCGTGACATCCATCTGCACCCATCTCCTTCCCAGGGACAGCCTTTGGTTCAGTTCTTCATGTGGTCACCAAGGAGCAAAGCTCAGAGACAAAAGGCATTCTGCCCAGACAGCCCCAGGCCTTATCATCCATCTCCTGCAGACCAGAAACCAGTGCTTGTTAGCCTGGCCACCCCAGACAGCAGACAGGGTATCCCACAGGTGCTTCTGCACGTGGCCAGAGACTCTGCCTCCCCTGCTCACCTGTTGGTTCTGAGGAGAAGATGGGAACCAGGCTGGTTTTTCCCACGGCAGGATCGATGGGTGAATCCCCCACCGGGTGGTGAAAGCCACAAGCTCTCTGTCCCGTTTGCTTTCTAAACTGAAGTAAATAACTCAGGTCCTTAATTTTTCATTTTTGTGGTTAATCCTGTTTTCAGACATATCACAGACATGGATGAAAGGTCATGTTTCTCAGACATCAAGTTAAAAACCAATAGTGACCACAGTCATGAAAGAACATTCAGCCTGAGACAAAAGGGGTTAACGCACAGGGAAGATAACGACGGTGAGACCCGCCACCTGCAGTCCGGGTAGGAGAGGGGTGGTGACAGGGGGGGAGGGGGTGGTGATGGGGTGGGAGGGGTGGTGATGGGGGGGAGGGGGTCGTGATAGGGGTGGGAGGGGTGGTGATGGGGGTGGGAGACAGGTGGTGATAGGGGTGGGAGAGGGGTGGGAGATGGTGATAGGGGTGGGAGGGGGTGGGAGAGGGGTGGGAGATGGTGATAGGGGTGGGAGGGGGTGGTGATGGGGGTGGGAGACACTTGGTGATGGGGTGGGAGAGGGGTGATGATACACGCAGGCCCAGTGCTGAGGCTCAGGGAATGTCCGGGGCCTGAGGAACTGAGGGCAAAACCACTGTGCTGTCAACGAGGAGGTTTCCTGTTGGAAGCCTTGGCTTTGAATACGGACTGTTTTGTTAATAGTCTAGTGAACCAGGCAGGTGTATCCAATATCTGTAAAACTCAGCCTCCTCGTTTGTAAAAGGAAGACAGTATTTCTGACAGAGTAGTTGAGAAGATTGAGAACCACGCACACGTGGTACCGGGCGACGTGCTTGCTGCTCCACCTGAGCGTGGCGGTTTGCTCTCATCTGGTCTGGGCACCCGTGTGCTTCCTGGATCAGCCACTCTTGCCCATGTCCCTGTCTGCTCAGTAGCCAAGGAGCACTGTCCTCGGGTGTGGGGCAGAACCTCCCTTAGGGTGGGGTGGTGTGATTTATGGCAAACCCAAGATCCCAGGTAGAGCTGGCCCTGAGCCCCCGCTGCACAGGGAGCCCCCGCTGCACAGGGAGCAGGCGGCCTGTGGGAGAGCTCACTGCTGGGGAGGGCGTCTGTGCAGGATGAATGGGAGCTTCTGAGGCTCAGGCCCCCGGAGCAGAAGTCAGGACCCGAAGACATCGGTAAATACCTCTGACGCTAACCCCAGTCAGCCCCAACTTTTCGGTGGATGCTTCCATGGGGATTCCTTTTATGTTTACAGCACGTTACGTTTTCTGTTGTGGACACTGATAAGGTTCTGACAGCGCAGAGGCACTGGTTGCATTATTTTCGCCAAGCGTGGGCAGTAGATGTTCGTAGACGGTGGCAACAAGGGCTGTTTCAATGGGCATCTTGCTGCTGAGAGACTCATTTTATTTACTGTAAGGGATAAAAATTACACTTCTAATCTCACACACTACTCAGATTTCTGTAGGCCCCAGTAACAAGGTGATGTGGGGCCTTGGGAAAGTCTCCCAAAAAGAACAAAACATCACATTCCATGGGTGTGGTTTCTCGGGTACACAGAGCCCTGATGCCAGGACACTCCCTCTGAGTCCCAGCGTGCAAAGAGAACCCTCCCGTGGGTGGGTACCAGCTCTCCCTCTCTTCCTCTTCTGTACAAAACAGGGGGCCTCAGGCACCTGCCACTGGGTTCTAGGTCATCCCAGAACAGGCCTGTGGGCCCAGACGTGCTGTCCAAATGTTGCTCAGGGCCGTTCTCTGCTGGTTCCGCTCCTAAGCCGAATGTTGGTTGTGGGCTACTGTGCTCTCCTGGTTACATCCTGAACCCAGGACAACCTGCCCCCCAAATCCCCCACCACTGGGTTCTACTTCCTTGTAGGCTGGTTTGCATGTCTCATTAGGAATAAGACCACTCCGTGCTATTAATTTTACTTGCTTTTCCCGGCAGAGCCTTTGACACAGGAGTTGGTCGTGAGTCAGTGGAAATTATGGAATTTGATTGACAAAGCTGAAGTCTACTCAGACTATGCTTTCCTTCCCCAAATTCCCTTGTTGTTTAACCAAGCCTCAACTCTAGTTTTTAGCTGGACCACACTGAGGCTTCTCTTGTTTCCTCAAGTCTTATAAATACATCCCTGAGATCAGGAGTTCTCAAATGAGAATCCTCAGACTCTCTGCAAAATAAAAATTAACAACAAAGATTTTCTTTCAAAATTTTGTGTTTTCATTTCAGTGAGAGTCCAATAAAATTGCTTTCACCAGACATGAAGGCTAATCACTTTGCAAGAGGTAATTTGCAATGCAAATGCACCTATTTTCCCCCTCTGGATGTATTTTTAGTTTCTCAGGTCAGTGTTCCTCAAACTGGAACCTAAAAATATATTCTCAGAATAACATATTTTCCATCAAAGTGGCTTCTGCATTGCTCAGGTTTGAGAGACTGGACTTCTGAGAGGGGCTGGCATTGCCAGTTCATAGGTATTGCCTGACGTGGGGATTTAGAACATGTAGGGAGCCAGGCCCTCCCTGCAGGGTGTCCCCACGTACCTCCCCTCTGCTTTAGTGGCACTGGGAGGCTCTTGAGGGGAAGGTGCCAGGGTTGCTCTGCATCTCCCTTGGAGTGTGGCCTCAGCCCTGAGAGATGGTTCTCCTGGTTCTCTGGATGCGGTCGAAGGTCTGGTTGTTTATTCTCAAAGTCTGGCATGTTTGAATCACATCATTCTTCCCCAGTTCCACTCTCAGACGGTGAAGTGCTTCTTCCAGTGTGTGTGGGCCAAGGTGCAAATGCCAATTGTGTGACTGCAACACAGAGTCCTGTGGACTGGGCTATGATAGACAGAGATGGCAACCTTAGGTTGATGAGTGTCCTTCTGGTAGCCTCTGGTGTTATAAAGTGTCATCAGGAAGGGATGGTGAGTCCTGGTGACTGTCACCTTGGGTGACTACCCATATTTGGCCTTCTCTCCTGGCTCACTCCTGCTCACCTCTTGGGGCACAATAGGGTTATAATTTCCTCCAGGAAGCTAGGCTAGGAGGGATAGATGTACTAGTCAGGGTTTTCCAGAGAAATAGAGCCATTAGGACAAATACTGAGACATAGAAGGAGGTTTATTATGGGAATTGGCTTATGCGATCACCGTGGCTGAGAAGTCCCACAGTCTGTACGGTGGGGACCCTGGAATGTCGCTGGTATAATTCCCCAAACTGCAGACCTGAGCACTAGGGGCCAGTGTCCACGATCAGGGGAAGGTGGATACCCCAACTCCAGGAGGAGGAGCCAGGGGAAGATGGATACCCCAACTCCAGGAGGAGGAACCAGGGGAAGATGGATGTCCCAACTCCAGCAGGAGGAACCAGGGGAAGATGGATGTCCCAACTCCAGGAGGAGGAACCAGGGGAAGGCGGATGTCCCAATTCCAAGAGGAGGAACCAGGGGAAGGTGGATGCCCCAACTCCAGGAGGAGGAGCCAGGGGAAGGCGGATGCCCCAACTCCAGGAGGAGGAGCCAGGGGAAGGCGGATGCCCCAACTCCAGGAGGAGGAACCAGGGGAAGGTGGATGCCCCAACTCCAGGAGGAGGAGCCAGGGGAAGGTAGATGCCCCAACTCCAGGATGACGAACCAGGGGAAGGTGGATGCCCCAACTCCAGGAGGAGGAGCCAGGGGAAGGTGGATGCCCCAACTCCAGGAGGAGGAGCCAGGGGAAGGTGGATGCCCCAACTCCAGGAGGAGGAGCCAGGGGAAGGTGGATGCCCCAGCTCCAGGAGGAGGAGCCAAGGGAAGGTGGATGCCCCAACTCCAGGAAGAGGAACCAGGGGAAGGTGGATGTTGCAACTCCAGGAGGAGGAGCCAGGGGAAGGTGGATGCCCCAACTCCAGGAGGAGGAACAAGTTTACTCTTTCGGTACCTTTTTGTCCCATCTGAGTCCTCAATGAATTGGATGGAGTCGGCCCACTCTGGGGAGGGGGATTGTCCTTACTCCGTCCACTGAATCTAATGCTCACCTCTTCCAGAAACTCCTTCACAGACACTCACAGAAATTCAGGTGTGCCAGCAACCTGGGCCTCTCTTAGCCCAGTCCTGTGGACAGGTTGAAATTAACCATCTCAGCAGGTGTGGCCTCTTCTGCATCATGGGGTGCACCTCCATCACCGTGCGAAAAACAGATGCTTCATGGAAAGCAGTGTCCATTCCTTTGGGTGCGGAGAAAGCTCCTGTTCGCCTCTGAAACTTCATGCCAGGTCAGCGACTTCTGCAGGAGTCAGTCCCGGGCCTGGCATGGTGCTGGGTGCCAGGCTCTGATGATCCATATGCTCACAGTAAATGTAATATCAAGGAGGATAAAATTAGCCAAGTAGGTTACGGCCAGAGGGAAATTACTTGTTTTTTGCTCAATTTTGATGGAGACTGACAATTATCAATGGTCAATTTTTCTGATTTTCTATGAGTTTCTTCCACAGACTCTTATGATGCCCTGCCCGCTTACCCAGTATCACTGCCGTCTCCCCAGTTTGCTGCCCTGAACTCAGGTGAGAGCGCACACTTGCCTTTATACCTGCTGGAGCCATTCTTCTCTTCTTTCTGTTTGGAGCATCCTGAGTGTGTTTCTGGATGTGTGCACGCACACACGCACACATACATGGGTGCCCATGAACAGGCCTCTCGCACCCCCCAGACCCCGGCGTCAGGTGTCAGGGGGAGTGGCTGGTGCTGGGGCTCAGGGAAGGATCAATGAATGCAAATGAGGACGTAGGTGCCTCGATTCGGCTGTGACTGGAGCTATGGGGAACCGTCTGTCGAGTGTTTTCTCAACCTTGAGTGCAGTGGGGCTGCATTAACGATGGAAAGAAAGGGGCTGCCACAGGGTGAGGCGGGTCCATCCCTACCCGAGTGGCTGTGTCTGACCGCTACCTGGGGAACCTGCAGAAGGTTGGCACGCTGCTCTGGCCTCGTGAATCGGGATCTGCCATCGGCTGAATCAGGTGCTTTAGGAAAAGGTCCGGTCTGCGAGGCCTGTGAAAACCGTGATGAACTACACCCGCAGCAAGCCAGTGTGTACTTGGTAAGGCAACTCATGCTTCTGTTTCCAAGTGCAAGCATCTGTAACGGAAGTGTCGTCTTCAAGATCACAGGGCGGAGAGAGCGCTGCCCTGATTTTCTTCGCCTTTGTGATCATCAGGCTCTGAAGTTGAGGATGAGTCTGGAGAGCAGTTCTGGGGTCTCTGCAGCTTTTCCAGGAGGGCTGTCTGCCCGGGTGAAGACACGCTGTCTCAGCTGTTGTTTTAGGACCATGGGCCCTGGGGCCCAGGACAGCAGGAAGGCGGGTCCCAGTCTCCTTCTGATGGCTCCATCTGCACTGGGTAATTATTTTTGACACGAGGACATTTATCAGTGAGGGTGAGCTGTTTGGAGTGCCTGGAGTGCTCCCAAAAAGGAGTATTAGAACAGCTCAATCCAACTAAAAACAAACAAACAAACAAACACCAAAACTGCTAAGTGGGCTTTAGGACTAACAGCCAGATCCCAGCTACTGGAGTGAATTTAAAGAGTAATAATTAATCCTAACAATTAAGGGAATATATTTTGCCACCTTCTCCCTGAGTGGACGCAGTGAGTGGATTTGGTTGTGAAGAAGGCAGACGTTGCCTTTCTTATTGAAAAGATGGGTTCATGCAGCAGAGAAAGTAAGCTGGCAGGGATGGGTTTTTTCTGCTCAGGTAGCAGCGAGAGCGGCAAAGCGATCTGTTTAAACACTGACCTTCCGTGTTTTCCTTGAAACAGAAACAGAATTTTAACACTGGCCTATAGGATGGTGAGAAATGAACTCCTGGTTGCCGACCAGACTTCCCCTTCTCATCCCGACGACGCGGGACATAGGGTAGACGGTCCCAATGCCGACGTAAGTTCCACAGTTCATTCCTTTCCACGAGGATGCAGTGCCAACCCGGGAAGCCTTTATGGAGTGCCTGGGAGGTGCCCGGCCCTGGGCTTGGTGCAGGGGTGGGCAGTGGTGACAGACAGGAAGGTCACTGTAGGGGGCACACAGGGCTTTATATCATGTGGAAAGACACACGCCCATGAGTCTCCCAGAAATAGCACATCAGGTACTGCAATGCATGACAGCTTGAACCCGCAAAGCTGCAGTGAGCCAGAGAAGCCGGGCAGAGGTGGTGTCGGTGAGACCCTCAGGGAAATGCAGAGCAAGCCCGGCCCTCAAGTGTGGGTAGCTGTGGAGAGGCAGAGAAGGAGAGGACCCGCTGTGAGCATTCCAAGGCCAGCACAGTCACGTCCAAAGCAGGAGGCAGAGGTGAAGTCACTCATGTCTCTGAGGGAGAGATACAGAATTTTCTTCACACGTCAAAGTTAGGTTCTAGTATCAGAGCCCTGCTCATCCCCCTCTTACTCTCATCTGGCCACATCTCCGGGGCTTCCGCCTCTTCTATGGTCCCCGTGTTCATCTGGGATGCTGCCCTCGTGGCAGAAGATCACTTGCTGGGCCCTCCCAGCCTGGGCTCTTTAAGATTCGAGGACACCCTTGGGACCCATGGGAAATGGGGCAGAGGCACACAGGGAGGCCCCCATGTATTTTGTCTAAATATTTTAGAAGTTATCGCTAAGTCAGTAACTGCTGCATGTGTTCCAGCCCCTCAGCTTGACAAACATACATGCAGGAATACAGACCACGGGTATTGGTGGGCAGCAGCTCACATCTGGGTCCTGTTTGTGCAGAGCCCATGCTCAGCCACGTACATGCTGGCTGCTTTCATGCCACAAGTCCAAGTTAGGAGCTGAGACAGAGGCTGTGTGGCCCACAAACTGAACCTATCTACTATCGGGTGCTTTATGCAGAGTCTGCCAACCCCTGAACTAGACTGGTCTGCATTTAGAATTCTTATTTTCTTAGAGTTCCATGCCATGGGGCATGAGGAGGGCGGGCCCCCAGCAGGGACCTTCCCCTTTCCCATCCTGCCCATTACCAGGTCCCCAATCAGGGCCCCTCCCCCACCGTGTATGAGTGTAGCCACCCAATCCAAGACCATGCGCCCAAGCTCCATCACACCTTTCTATAGACTGCTGAGGCCAGCCAGCTCTTAGGCCTAAGGCCTGCTGTGATGAAGCCAGGTTCATGGGAGAGGCCCAGGTGAGCTTGGGTCAGACGTGGGCCACCTGGGTGATAAGGGCTAGGGGCTGGTGTGTGTGTGAATAGCACACACAATCACACAGTGTACATGGAAGGGGCTCAGCTTCCAGGTGGGGGCTTGCCTTTGCCCTGTAGGAGCAGTAGGAGGACCAGCACAGGAGCTTGCAAGCAAGAGCCCAGAGCAAGAGCCCCTCTCCCCTGGTGTCCAAGGATGGTTCTGCTGACCCAAGGGAGGAACACAAGAAGGGAAGCTTGAGATGCTACAAACAACAAAATGGCACCCTGTGTGCAAATCCTGGTGAGTGCACTTGTGGGTGCTGCAGCCACAGGCTCTGGAAGACACCCCTGCCTGGGCGAGCCATCCAGTCCTTCTCTTGCTGTTGGGGCCTGGATGCTCCAGCAGGGGCATTGGGCTGGGGTGACTCTTCTTTGCTCTGACTTGATGTGAGCCCAGTGGCTGCTTTGGAAGTGTCACCCTCAGGGGGTTTTGGTTGGCCTAAGAATCAATATTTATAGGGTGTCCTGCATTGTGTGTTTTCTATTTGTAATTCTCAAGCATGGCTCCCATTTCACTTAGTATCCAAAGGAGTAAGAAATCCTCACGTTGGATTCCATGAACCTAGGAACCCCAGTGTCTTCTGAACAGCCTTTTCCTCTTTGTGTTCCCAGCACACAAACTGTTAGAAAGATTTATGTTAGAATCCACCCAGCATCTGCTACCCAGAGCCTAATTTTGCCCTCCCTCTGAACTGAATTTTTAAGTTTTAAGTCAAATACTCGCTGATGTTTGCGCTTCCCCACTTCATGCATATTCTTCACCTGAGCCCCTGCACCTGGGGAGCAAACCCCTGTCCTGGAGGAAGCCTGATGCGCCACCTCCATTGTTAGAAAGCTCCCTCAGGCTGACGTAACCCTGTCCTGGACCTGGAGGAAGCCTGATTCACCGCCTCGATTTTTAGAAAACTCCTTCAGGCTGTCCTAACCCCATCCTGGACCTGGAGGAAGCGTGATTCCCCACCTCCATTGTTAGAAAGCTCTCTCAGGCTGACATCACCCTGTCCTGGTCCTGGAGGAAGCCTGATTCGCAGCCTAGATTGCTGGAAAGCTGTCTCAGGCTGGCGTCACCCTGTCCTGGAGGGAGCGTGATTTGCCGCCTCCACTGTTAGAAAGCTCTCTCAGGCTGAGGTAACACTGTCCTGGTCCTGGAGGAAGCCTGATTCACCGCCTCCATTGTTAGAAAGCTCTCTCAGGCTGAGGTAAGATTGGCTTCCCCGCCGCTTCTCCCTGGAGACCCTAGTTCTGCTCTTTGAAGCCAAGCAAGATTACTCTTTATAGGGCAGCTTTGCCTTTATTTGTAGATAGCTTTTACACATATTTGCTCCCAAATCAACAAGGTTTTCCCCAGGTACCACCTGGACTATTCTTCTGTCAGCATTTCTCACGTGATACTGAGTCAGGAGCCTTTACTGTCCTCACCCTCGTGTGGGTGGGAGCCTGGTTTCTCATCACTCTGGTTAGACTGTGCCTAATGTGGGGTGCTGCTTTTTAAGGACAATCAGCTCTAAGTTGAGGCTCTGATTCTTGCACGTGCTTCCAAGCACGTCTCTTCTTGCCATCTCCATTGCCACCCCAAAGTCACTCCCCTCGGACAGGGACGGCAGCATCTCAGTCATCACTCTGTACCCCATTTGACCAGCTGGAGAGTCCTGTGTCTTCACACAACTGTGAGAATGATCATTGGAAGCTATGCATTCCATAATAGCTTTATGTTAAATTCATTTCTCATCTTTCATTGGCCCTTGGGAAGACGTCCAGATCCCTTAACATAGCTTACGAAACCCTCTCAAACTCAGGGCCCACCTTTCTCTCCAACTTCATTCCCCCAGCCCCGACGTCATCTGAGGTTCAAGTTCAGTAGCCCCTCTTGATAGCTGAGCACAGGAAGCTCAGGGCCCTGCGTTTTGGGCATTTGAAGGGTTCCGCTGGTCGTGGCTTTCCCCACCATCTCCTCCGTTTCCACACGACTTGCTCCTGCATACCTCAGCTTCAGTGCCGCTCCGAGAGGCCTTTCCTAATGTCTGAACCAGGAGAGGCTTCCCACCACAAGCTCCTCTATGGGATTCTGGTTAATTACCAGTGAAACGTCCACCTTTCCAGCCCGCCTGTAAGCTAGGCCATAATAGGGGCCGTAGCCCTCCTTACAGCCGCGTTCTTGTCACCTGCGCGGTGTCCAGCGCACACTCGCCTCCTACGTATTTGCCTTGTGAGGGATCAATCGGTGTCGTAGAGCCGTTCAGAGCTATTCCTCTATTAAGTGATTTGGATACCATGGTGACTAAGAAGCATGCTGTGATCGCTGGGGTTTATGGAAATATTGTGTGCTCCTGAGCGTTCAAACAGGTGGAATATCAACTTTATTAAGCCCAGGTGGTGGTGCAGTTTAAATGCGATTTCATCTTTTCTTATTTTAATTTACGAATTGCTCAGTTGATCATATTAGAAAAGAGTACCCACATTGTGCCTGCTGGAGCCATATCTTTGTAAAAATTCTGAAAGCAAGGGGAAATGTTGGAGTAAAATTATCACATTTCCTAACAATGTCTGTTTTGACTGGAAGCTCTAATGCATAATTTTGTGTCAACCAGAATAAAAGTAATCTTTTTTTTTCCTGGTGGTGCTTTATAGTTAGATTGTAGGGAATCTTCATAAAATATGCCAGCCATGCACCTTTGATTCAATATTCATGTATTCTCCCACATACGGAATTTCAAGGCCATGTTTAAGGGGAATGAAACGAGGCCTCATAAAGAATGGCAGCTTATGCAGCTTACTTTTAAAAAGAGGCTCTGAGAAACCTTTAGCTTTTTCAAACTTCCAAATTTTAACCCCAAATCCACTAGAGCCCAAATACCCACATTTGTCTCTGAATAATCGTTTGCTTTTGGTTAAGGATGGTTACACTAGCACAATTTGTTTTTTTTTTTGAGATGAAGTCTTGCTCTGTTGCCCAGGCTGGAGTGCGGTGGCATGATCTCGGCTCACCACAACCTCCACCTCCTGGGTTCAACAATTCTTGTGCCTCAGCCTCCTGAGTAGCTGGGACTACAGGCGAGCACCATCACGCCCAGCTAATTTTTGTATTTTTGTTACAGATGAGGTTTCACCATATTGGCCAGGATGGTCTTGATCTCTTGACCTCATGATCTGCCCGCCTCGGCCCAGTCACACATGTTTCCCTACGCAAGCTCCCTATTGATTGGAATGATGAATATTTCCAATGGATCGATTTTCAATGGTGGAAGAAATTTGTCACTTGCATAGGTTTGTCATTTGCCTAGGCGAAAGGTTGCTTGATCTTAGAAGCGTCATTGCCTCTTTTTGAGAGGAAATTGAATTTCAGAAAAGGCTGTTACTAGATGAAGTGAGAACTGATTGAAATTATCAGTCACTCCTAATACATTTTGGGTGGACAGAGCCATGTGGAGGAGCTTCTAGGCTGCACATGAGATGGACATATTCCAAAGGCCCATGTGAATATACACATCTGTATTATGGGAGGAGAAACATATGCATGCCTTAGTAAAAACCAGCCAGTAGCATAGAAGAGCCAGCTTTCAATGAGCAGAGAGCAGGGTGGGAAGCAGGAGACAGGCCCACTCTGGTTGGGTGGTTAGGAGTTGGTAAGTCCATAGGGAGGATACATGCGGAACACCATTGAGTGCTATTAGCTTGGTGGCCTTGGGCGGCCAGAGTTGGCGTGGATGGGTAGATGACGTCAACAGAAGGAATGAATAATCCTGCTGGGAGATACTTTCTCCTCTCACGACTTTGCTCAGAGCTTGACACGAGGATTCGTGTTTGATATGAAACACCATTCAAGAGTTTTACTCACAATTTATGCCACATATGCAAAAACAAGCAGAAGAAGAAATGAAAATATGTAACATACGATCTTCAAGAATAATTCAGATATTTAAATAAATGGGAGAGAGAATTTTGCAAGCTTCTTAATTACAAATAATAAAACCGTTTTAAGAGAAGTTTGTTTCCTGTTTTCCCTAAGCATAGTGTATGCAAGCATAAAAATTCCATGTGCCTGTCTTGCTATCTGTCGGTGAGAAAGATATCAAGTTCCTCTCCTTTAACAGGTGGATATCAATATGTTTTTATTTATGAGTGGATTCATTTAATTCCTGGATATGATAGTTCTCATATATTTCTATAAGCTGATTTCTGTGTTATCATAAATTCTAAGTCAGCATTTCTATACCCAAAAGAGCATTTAAAAGGTATCACAACTAATCATTCAGCTAAAACCAGGGCTTTATCTGAGCTCCTGCAGACACAAACACATTGATCCTACAGAGATGCTGATTTCTCTGGTGCTGTAGGAAGCACCAATGGGAAAAAACTGACTTTAAAAGTCAGTTAAGGAAGTTTAAGAGTATTATCTGGTGTGTCTGAAGTTGGAGTTATTTAGGTTTTATTTTTTCAGACACCAAATGACTCACCTACTTAGTGTAAATTTATGTTTAAAAAAATAACAATTTTCATCTCTAATTAAGGCTTCACTTAACCCAAGCTGGACATAAAGGAAGATCATCAAATAATATGTGATTTAGCTCTTGTGATACAAACATGTGAAGGTCTGGGTCATTTTGATTCTGTTAAAATGAGCTAAGCTTTTCATTTCTTTTTCCTATCAAGAAAGGCTCTCGAGCGACTGTGTGGTCAGGGTAGGAGAGGCTGAGGAAGGTTGGGGGCCATAACCTCGGGTTCGGTGTGAGGTCCGGGACGGCCTGGGCCTCAGGGACAGCTGCAGCCAGGTCAGGAACACGTGCGGCTCTCCTGCTTGGCCATTTTGTCATTGTCGTTCTGTGTTTTTTGTTGTCTGTGTGTTTTCTTGTTTGCATTGGGCTCTATGAATATTTTTATTTTGACTTGAGTGAAACCTTGGATTCACCAAAATGTCTGACAAATCGTTCCCCATCCTCCACCCCCCACCCCCCACCATCCCACCTGATTTGGTCAATCATCAAACATTAATTGAACATTTACTGTCTTCCTCGCCTGCTAGTACGTGCAGTCATGCCTCACTTAATGACAGAGCAATGTGTTGTTAGGCATCTTAGAATCTGTGAAATTTCTTAAGTAAAATTGGAATATTGTTACGTTTGGATTAAGTATGACTGTGCTCAAGACAAACTCATCTGCTTTTCTGTCTCCATGTAGATTTTAATCTACATCCTTTGGCATGCATCGGCATATATGTACCATGCTTGAGTTTGTGTGTGTATGGGTCACCGTAGTATATGGGGCTACTGTAGAATATGTGGTTTGTTGTTGACTCAAGCATTGTTATGGGGTGCATGACTGTATTTGTGGGATGTATGGTAAAGGTAGATCAAAAAAATCTACTTTGACTTTAAGACATTTAAAATATGCCTTTCTTGAATTTGTCCACAATGCAAATTTAATTTCTGAAACCTGAAGATAGATAAAACTCATTTTAATTGAGATGAAAACACAATCTGAAACCTCCCTAAATTTCTTCAGGGGTAGTTTAGGCTATGATTGATGAAGATTGTCATAACTGTACCACTTTCTTGATGTGAGAATGAGTTAACCCTGAAGCCATAAGTCTTAGTCCATCCAGAATTTTGTAACAAAAATTCCACCACTGGGGCCTGTGAAACAGTAGACGCGCCTTTCCCACAGTTCTGAGGCTGGAAGCTGGAGATCCGGGTGCTGTAGGCTCTGTGTCTGCTGAGGGTTTCCTGACTCAGATGGAGCCTGTTTGCTGCATCCTCCCATGGCGGAAGGGGTGAATGAGCCCCCTTAGGCCTCATTTACGGGGGTACTAAACCCATCTGAGAGGGCTCCACCCCCGTGGCCTAATCACTTCCCAAAGGCCCCACCCCTTAACACCCCCTCATACCATCCCTTTTCAGGTAGGAATTTCTACATAGGAATTTTAGAAGGACACAGACATCAGACTTCACTCTATTAAATCCAGTATTTTATTCCATTAAATCTAAAAGCCGTTGATGGGGAGATACACCACAGCTGTACGCACGACTGAAAAATGCTGCTGAAACAGTTATGACCATGCTTGATTTGTACATTTTAAAAAACTCTTTAAGACATACACAAATGTAGATTCTAATGTAACTCTGTTGGCATGTATCTGCATACATATGTTCCATATGAGTGTATGTGTGTGTATATATATATATATCTTATAATACATTGATAAAGGAATTCCTAAAACTTCACAGAATCTGCCTTTTCTTACACATTTTTAAATCTCGGACTCACGAATATTCATAATTTTCCGCCTGTCATTATTTCCTGCCATCAAGAGTATTGAAAATGCAGCGTTTGTACAAGCCTGCACGCCGGTAGTCAGTTCCAACCCCGACACTGGCTCTGCACGCTTAGTGCTGATGTTCTCTGGAATTCTTGATTTTACCAGAAGGTGTCAAGAAAAGATCCTCAGACAGCATTCCTTCTTTCTCCCAGGGCCCTTGCATGTTGTGGGGCCAGAAGCGTCCGGGCTGTACAAATAGTACCACCATCTTCCTGGAGTGACTGGGAGAGACACCTGGGATCTTGCTGGGTCAATAGTGACTGTGCAAGGCCATCCATGATAAAATGCGTTCCAACCTCAGACACATGAAAAGTGAAAAAAAGAAAAGGCATCTTAGAATCTGTGAAATGTTGTAATTAAAACTGGAACACGGTGGTTATGTTTGGATTAAGTACGGCTGTGCTCAAGACAAGCTCACCTGCCTTCTGCCTCCCGCTTCTGCCTCCTTCGTGTGGTCTCCAGCCTGGAGCTGGACGTTGGAGTGAACATGAGTGTAAATACAGAAAGCGTCGGCATGTTTTCAACAAGGAAATTCGTTTCTTTGCTCTGTGTGTTTGTGTGCCTGTCTAGGACAGTGTTGTAACTTCAGGAAAGATTAGAATCAGTGAACTCCTTCAGGGCTAGGACCGGGAATTCTATCTGTACTCTTTTTACCTTCTTGCCATCTTTCCTCAATTATTAATACATTACTCTCGCACAAGGAGGCAAAGCTCAGAGGTGTTAGTGCTCTTTTTTTTTTTAAAAAGCAACAAGTATTATAGATCTTTATTTTAGTAAAAGAAAATTGAATCTTCTGACAAGAGTTCCTATAGATTCTCATTTAGTCCAAATTGTTAGCCCAGAAGCCCCAGTGAACACAACCTGAATTTCGGGCTTTATACCACACGATACAAGAACCTGCAAATAAAAGAAAAATTCAAGGACTTTAGGATTCTTCTTGCTTCTCTTTTGCATCTGAGACTTCAAGAATACAATTCAAAAATTTCTCAGCTTAAACATTACATTGATTTAAAGTTTCGGATATTTCAAAGCCCTTTCTCTGGAATTGCCTTATTTGGTCTAAACCCAAGTCAAAACACCCTACAAGGGAAGAGCAGAGAGGGCTTGTTACACCCATTTCTCAGACGAGAAGACTGAGGAACAGAAGAGCCGAGAAGGCACTACTGGTGCTCTGTCCTGAGTCCTGGAACTGTCCCAAGAATACCGGCCTGATGTTAGCAAGCACCTTTCCCACGACCTGGCACTACCTACCTTTCATTGCGGTGTGGACCAGAGTCCGAGGAAGTGTGAGGCCCAGAGAGCGTGCGGGTGAGTGCGCCTGGACCCTCTGTCAGTCAAGATGTCCTTGGCTTTTCTCCTTGCTGCCCTGTTCCTTGTACAGCCACACCTATCTCCAAACCAGCTGCATCGACACCTTTGTTATTATGAGGATTTGATTGTAAGTTTTCTATCAGGCTATAGAGAGCTTAATTTAATGCAATGGAGAAATCTCCAAAAATAAAGCCCTTAAGTTTTTTTTTTTTCTTTGGCTTTGGACTTACAAAACCTCTCTCATCTTGATTGCCCTTTCTTGGCATAATAAATCAGATGTCCTCTTGTCCAAAAGGTGCAGTCATGGAATTGGCTACCCTAGATCTTAGCATGCTCTCATGGAATCAGCTGCCATAGATCTTAGCATTCTCTCCTGAAATTGGCTATGCTAGATCTTAGCATCCTTTAAGTCTCAATTTGATTTTCTTCCTCAGCTCCTCCAGGCAGGTGTGCGGGCTCAGCCACTGCACTTTCAGTCCCCTGCATGCATTTTCAAGGTGAAGTATTTGGTGGGGTTTTAGGAATTCTACTCTGACTGCAGACAGTAGTGTGGCCCATTTTGCTACAGGGCGCTAATAGACCTTTGTGATCTTTCCATGGTTTAGCCACCTAGGATGTGCAGCTTTTACTGTGATCAATGGCCTCTGAGGGTATGGAGTGGAGGTCAGAAGAAAATGCAAAGCAACTGGACGTTCCAGATGAGGAGCTGTTTCAAAATGAGGAGCCATTTCAGACAGAATGAGCTGTTCCAGAATGGGGAGCCATTCCAGAATGAGGAGATGTTCCAGAGTGTGTAGCCATTTCAGAATGAGGAGCTGTTCCAGGATGAGGAGCTGTTTCAGAATGAGGAACCATTCCAGAATGGGGAGCTGTTCCAGAATGGGGAGCCCTTCCAGAATGGGGAGCCATTCCAGAATGAGAAGCTGTTACAGAATGAGGAGCTGTTCCAGAATGAGAAGCCGTTCAAGCATGGGGAACTTTTCCAGAATGAGAAGCTGTTCCAGAATGAGGAGCTGTTCCAGAGTGGGAAGCTGTTCCAGAATGGGGAGCTGTTCCAGAGTGGGAAGCCATTCCAGAATGGGGAATCATTTCAGAATGAGAAGCCATTCCAGGATGAGGAGCTGTTCCAGAATGGGGAGCTGTTCCAGACTGATGAGCTGCACCTTGTACCTGCCTCACACCTGATCACATAGCCTTGATGCCAGAAACCTAGAGTGCTCTATTTAGGAACGTTAGGCTGGCAGCAGGAACCCCTGAAGAAACTCAGGACACTAGGTGCTTGAGCGCGCAGCTAACCCGCAGGAGAAACATCTCCCTTCTGCTGACCTGAGGCTTGACTCCTCTCCCACAGGAGGAGAAAAGAGGCCTCCACCCACAGTCCACTGTTATCCTAGGAGAAATCCTCTGGCCTCCTGCCCAGGAAGTGACAGAGAAGCTGAAGCTGCTTTAACCTTCAAGATGAACCTATTTCTTCCACGAGGTTTTCTCTTGCCTGTACACGTATCTTTAAGTCCACCAGACACATCCACGCTCTGCTCGCACAGCGTTGCGAGGGCCAGTGCCCTTCTCTCCCATCCTGTGTTTGCATTTGCCATTTGGTGGGCCTGTCCTGCTGACCAGCAAGTCTCTGTACTGAATTTGGTGACTTTGATCTTATGATTCATGTTTCCCAGCGAGGTACTCTGTGTCTTTGCTATGAATAATGTGTTATTCAAGGGCTAGTTGGAAGATTGCATATATAAATTGAAAACATTTTGTCTAAAAAGGGGTGTATAGAGAGAAAGAAAATTTCAGCCAGAGAGAATTCTTTTTTCTTCTTGAGACAGGGTCTTGCTCTGGAGTGCAGCGGTGCTATCATAGCTAACTGCAGCCTTGACCTCTCAGGCTCAAGCAATCCTCCCGCCTCAGCCTCCCGAGTAGCTGAGACTACAGGTGTGCACCACCATGCCCATAAATTTTTTGTAAGGACAGGGTCTTTCTTAGTTGCCCAGGCTGATCTCAAACTCCTGGGCTCAACCAGTCCTCCCTCCTCAGCCTCCCAAAGTACTGGAATTACAGGCGAGAGCCACCGTACCTGGCCTTCAGAAAGAAATTGTTTAAAAACCTCCTTAAGGCAAGTACAGAACACAAAGGAATTCAAAGAGCACCAACATGGGATTAGCGAGGGCCGGGAGCTAGGCCTGTGCCATGTATCACTGCATGTTGTGCTGTGTGAGATGACAAATCTGTCTTCCATTACTCTGTTGAGCAGTTACTCCCGAGAAGAATTATTTCCTTTTAAATAAAAAACATACCCTGTACTGGCTGCTGCATTATAGGGCATATCTTGCCTGGAAAATGGAAGTCAGGCAACATGGCTATTCTATGGAAATGTCTGAGCACAAAGAAGAGGCAGAAGGGAATGTAGAGGCCTGAGATGTCTTAGAAATGAGCAGGAGGATGACTGCAATGGCCCTTCAGTTAGGTTCAGGCTTCTGCGGGAAAGCGGCACCCAGGAGCCCAGAGCAGGGAGACAAACCTGCGTGGAAGTCCAGGTGTGCTGTGATGGAGAGGCCTCCATGTGGCCTTCCATATCCTGACAGCCCAGATGGGGCGAAGGCAGACCTCCACAGGAGTAGACACCCAGAGGCTGCAGTGAACCCTGCAGGGGACATGGCCTCTGTCCCCACCTGCAGGGAGGAGCCCAGGCTCTGGAGTGCAAGACAGTGCCAAAGGCAGCAACCTGCAGCGCAGGGCTCCTCTCCCAGGGAGCCTCGTTTGCAAGATGCACGAGTAGTTCACAGGGCTGCTCTGACTGTGTCCACAAGGCTCTGCCCAGGCTTGGGAGGTCTTCCATGAAGGCGAGGACCAGGGCTTCCTTCTGTGCTCACATAACCTTTCCAATCCTCAGAAAACTCAGCTGGGAGAGCGTTAGCCCTGGGGTTCTCTCTGGTCCTAGAAGCTCTTCTACAGGACTCCTCGAAACGCCCAGAGACCCTATAGACCCTGCAGCCTCTGCCCGGCATATCCATTGGATTCAATTAGGCACAACCCAACTCGGCTCCAGTCAGCACCATTTCTTGGGATGTGCAGCATTTCTGCGCCTCTTGTGAAGACAAAGATAAATTAGACACAGACGGCATTCGAGACACTTGCCATGTTGAAGAGGAGAGGAGCACAGAAACAGCTAGCAATGGTGCCAGACAGAAAGTTGTGTGCCTGACAGGGATGAGAAATTGGGGGGATTTGCAGAGGAGACATGATTTATTCTGACCAGAGTAACAGAGAAGGCTTCATGGATGACACAGAACTTCAGAGGGAGGATTAAAGCACAAGTAAAGCAGGATTTTTTATTTTAGCAAAAGAAACAGATGTGAATTGGAGGCAGTGGCTGAGCCATTCCCATCGATGTCTGGAAGTCTGAGAAGCTCCACTGGGGCTGCTAGCTGACGGCTGACCCACCTGTTATCAGGGGTATTTGGACGGCTCATGTGCCATGCCAGGGAGGTATCATGTGGCACCTGCCCCCTCTGTGTTTTCCTCTCACATGGGCCAGGGGCTCTGTCCCATTAAATAACCAGAAGATTAAATGCCAACTTTACAAAGTTCCTCGTTCGGATCACTCTATGCCCACATCCTAGAAACATCTATGGAACTTAATTTTCCCACTGAAGGAAATGGCATGATTAAAAACTTTTTAGATTATATGAATAAAATGATAGGCAAGCAATCATCTTGAAAAGAAGGACACTTTGGGGAAACCTCCCCATTCTATTTTCCTCTGTAAAACAAACTGAACTCCGGTGGTTTTCAGCATTATAACATTCCTGTCCCACTGGAAATGCAGAAGACCGGGTTAAAAAACCCTAAGCGGACCAAGCCCATTATAACATTCCTGTCCCACTGGAAATGCAGAAGACCGGGTTAAAAAACCCTAAGCGGACCAAGCAGAACAAACACTGCAACCCCTTTCTAAAAGCAGCCTTCATTTAGACACCAAAAGACGGGAGATACTATTTCTTTATTTTTATTTATTTATTTATTTTTTTGAGACGGAGTCTTGCTCTATCACCCAGGCTGGAGAACAGGGGCATGATCTCGGCTCACTGCATTGCAGCCTCTGCCTCCCAGGTTCCAGTGATTTTCCTGCCTCAGCCTCACGGGTAGCTGGGATGACAGGCACACTCCACCATGTTCTGCTGACTTATATATTTTTAGTAGAGACAGGGTTTCACTATGTTGGCCAGGCTGGTCTTGAACTCCTGACCTCAGGTAATCTGCCCACCTCAGCTTCCCAAAGTGCTAGGATTACAGGTGTGAGCCATGGCGCCCAGCTGGGAGATACTATTTCTAAAGCTTACACTTTTCTGATTCCTCTCTCTATGTGTAGATCTAGATGTAGAAATAGATTGGTTGAGAGACAGAGAGGTGAACATACATAGATGATAGATGAATAAATAATAGCTATATTGATTAGATAGGAAGATAGATGGATAGAGGATAGATAAGAACAGATGATAGGCTGGGCGTGGTGGCTCATGCCTGTAATCCTAACACTTTGGGAGGCCGAGGCAGGCGGATCACAAGGTCAGGAGTTTGAGACCAGCCTGAGCAACATGGTGAAACCCCGACTCTACTAAAAATACAAAAATTAGCTGGGCATGATGGCATGCCTGTAATCCCAGCTACCCAGGAGGCTGAGTCAGGAGAATCACTTGAACCCGGGAGGTAGAGGTTGCAGTGAGCCGAGATCGCGCCATTACTCTCCAGCCTGGGCAACAGAGTGAGACTCAACTCAAAACATATATATATATATATATATATATATAATCCATAGATAGATAACAGACAGAAGATAGATGATAGGTTGATGATAAATGAATGATAGGCAGAGATAGATGACTGATAGATGATAGATAGGTGATATAAAGATCCACACAGAACACTTTTGCAAATTTATGAATAAGGACTGTTTTCTCGAAAGTTCATAAGGGATCTAAGATATTTTCTCTTCAAAATAATAAGTTTCGCAGCACGAAGCTAACATGAAAACTTAAAAATGAATGTCCTTGTGAGGATGCACACGGACACAGAAGTGACACGCAGACAGCCTCCAGGCAGACGGGCTTTCGGAAAGCCCTCCCCTCCTCAGCTGCTGGCACCCCCAGCCTCAAGTACAGAGTCCCCAAGAATTTGAAACAGGAAGACCCAGTGAGCTGTCCCTCAGCAGCGCAGGGAACACACATGCGATGTGACGGTGGAGCCTGGAGGGCACCGCTGGGCTGTGGAAGTGGTGGGGGGTGAAGCCAGCCCAGAAAGCAGGTCCTGGCTGCGGAGGACCACGGGCGGCTGGAGCAGGCAGGCTTGGGCCTTGCCTGGGGCTGAGGTGGTCCCAGTGGCCCGCTGATGACATTGTCCTCCATCCAGACATAGAGAACGTTCTTGGTGCTATATTCTGTGGAAATCTACAGGCAAGAACCCTAACTTTGGGTTTAGTGAAGGATTAAGGGATGTCGCGTGTCCCCTCCCTTGTACTGAGTCACATGAAAAATCACGCCTGTAGCAAAGGCGGACGTTCCCACACATGCGAGAGGCTTCCAAGGCCTGGCTGTTCGTTTCCGGACTCACTGCTTCTTACAGTTACACTTGGCTGTGACGCGAGGGGAGCGCGAAGGTCTCAGCGTTCCTGGGCCGGAAACGGTGGCACCTCGGGGGTGGAAACCACTGGCTTCAGCTCCAGGAAGCCTCAGACGCGGGGACAGCGCCCTCACCCGGCTCTCGGAGGCTCTGCACGTCCGCCGCCGTCTCCCCTTTGATTTTGCAGATTGTGGGTAGCTCGGGACCTAGCAAAAGGGTGAAAAATATGTAGTCTACAACACTGCTTCTTAAATAGTAATGCCCACGAAAATCCTCTGCGGGCCTTGCCAAATGCGTGCTCGGATTCAGCAAGTTTGGGTGGGGCTTGAGAATCTGTATTTCCAACTCACCTGCTCCTAGGTGATGCTACTGCTGCTGCTGCATGCTCTGCCTTGGGTAGCAAGAGTCTAGGGGTGAGGTGTGGAGGGAGGGAGACAGAGTGAGAAAGAGTGAGGGGGAGACAGGAAGACAGAGGGATCGCCATGGAGAATTAGCACGCTGCAGTTTACGTGTATGAATTGATTAACTCTTGGGAGGCTTAAAGTTCTTTTCTCTCAGAGAGAAATAATTTTTAAAAATCTGATCATGCATTGTGAGTCAATACAATATATCCTATTTAAAAATGTTTAACGTATAATTATTATTGTTCCCAAAGAATGAAACGTTCCCTGTTCTATGCCTCAACATAGAGACAAAAGATTAACTTGAACTCTACTTAATGATTCTACAGCTTAATGGGAATGACTTAATTGTGGAATTTAACATCTTTCCTTAGGAAAAGAGGATTCAAAGAAGAAGTGTACCTAGGGGTGGGGATAAGGAGCAAACGTGGAGATTGTGATTTTCTAAGACTTTGCTATGGCCACTCTCCTGCACGCTCGCCCTTGATCAGAGCCACACATAGGGTGTAATTGTACACATTCTGCATGCTGCTTATAAGTATTTTACAAATCTCATGGTGAATATAAATTTCTGAGAATTAGGCTGAATAAAAAAGTTCAAGTAGATTAATTCTTATCCTAATGGCTTCCTTTTAAATGTGTGGTGAAGTCGTGGTGTACTCCACCCTGAAGCTTCTGAAGGCATTTGTATTGATCAGCTCCTTGAAGAGTTTGCAGTGGTCAGAGATAATTGAGAAAGAATAAAACGGTCTCAGTAGGAGGATACTTGGAGTCTTCCAGGTAGGAAGACATTTGGAATCTTCTGGGTAAGAGGACATTTGGAGTCTTCTGGGTAGGAGGACATTTGGAGTCTTCTGGGTAAGAGGCCATTTGGAGTCTTTTGTGTAGGAGGACATTTGAAGTCTTCTGGGTAAGAGGACATTTGGAATAGCTTCTCTCCCTTTGCCTGTCTCCTGCAGATAACCCTGATATTTAATATTGAGCCCTCAGCCAAGCTCTCTTCTTAATATTTCCATAGTGCTAGCCACTTTAAGAATCAGATGCAATATTCTTAAATATAAAATACACTTAATTTTGCATATCATTACTTGCCTTAAATTGTCATCATAGCCATCACAGAAACATACTTACATGCAATTTTACAAAGAAAAGTGTCTCACATTTTTCAGAAAATAGAGGGGTGGCCACTTCTTGAAACATGAACTCAAGAAATTCCAGTGAAACTCGCCTTTGGTTTTGCCTCACAGTGGATTCTGAGGTAGAGTGGTGGCCTCTGAGCTCGCGTGCATGTGTAGCCTTCGGCATTGAGACCACGTCAGGGTTTTGTTCTGATGGCAGTCGATGCTGAAGATGTAGCTTTACCACAGTTGGTGGTAGCCATCAGGATCAGAGTGTCTATCGGTTGTATTTTCTTAATCGGGATAGGAGGATTCATCAATAAACTCCAGAACTATACAGGACTCCCCCAAGTTAGTTCACACCACACCTTGTCCTTTATTCTTCAGCCTCAGAGCTCCTGCTTCCATCCACTGCTCCTTTATCTTGTCTAAGTTAGTAAGAAAAACAACACGTGTTTCTGCTTCAATTTTGAGGTCGTTTGTTCCAAAACAACTTTTGAAAGAATTTTGCGGGCCAGGCGTGGTGGCTCACGCCTGTAATCCCAGCACTTTGGGAGGCCAAGACTGGTGGATCACTTGAAGTTAGGAGTTTGAGACCAGCCTGGCCAAGACAGTGAAACCCCGTCTCTACTAAAAATACAAAAAATTAGCAGGGTGTGGTGGTGGGTGCCTGTAATCCCAGCTACTCGGGAGGCTGAGGCAGGAAATCGCTGGAACCTGGGAGGCGGAGGTTGCAGTGAGCTGAGCTTGCACCACTGCACTCCAGCCTGAGTGACAGAGCAAGACTCTGCCTTAAAAAAAAAAAAAATTTTTGCTTTTTTATGTAACGTGTTTGAAGAATTCTAATTGCAGGGGAAAGACGAACTCCAACCTCAGCCACCACTTCTTCAAACGAAGAGTGATCTTGCCTGGTACAACCTTCTGCATCCATTGAGTTGCATCATATCTTGACTAAAAGAAGAGACACTTTAAATAGCATTAAACTAGATGGCACCTGCAGGTGTAGACCTGAGTGAATAATTAGCCTCAGATGTTCTCATCATGAATAGCTCCCTCTGCTCTTATTGTTTTCAGGTATCCTCGTCTTAAAAATTTTTTTAAGTGACTTTTTTTTTAAAGAGATATTTTCCCCCCTTTCTCCTCTTGGCAAAACTTCTTCAAAAGTTGATGCCTTGAGACCGTGACCTATCCCCGACCAATCATCTCAGAGGTGTCTGGGTTTATTTCATGGTTCTTGGACCCTTCTCTGATTGCGTGGTTCTTGAAGATGTCTTCTGGGAACTTCAATTTTGATTTAAATCCTAATTTCTTTGCTTTGGGGAAGAGACTTTAAGCCTCAATTTAGCCTGCTGTAGGACTAGGGGAGTCACGTGACCTCACTCACGAGCTCTCGCGAGGATTTACCAGGCAAAGAGCCTCCAAAATGCGACAGAGCACTTGCTGTAAGACTGGGGGAGAAATGTGACCCCATTCACAAGGTGTGACGAGGATCTACCAGGTAAAGCGCCTCCAGAAGGCAGCAGAGGGCTTGCTGTAGGTCTGGGGGAGTAATGCGATTTAACTCATGGGGTATTGGGAGGATTTACCAGCATCTCCGGAATGCAGCTAAGTGCTTCCTCTATGGGTGGAAAAGTAATGTGACCTCATTCATAAGTTATTGCAAAAATTTACCAGGCAAAGCGCCTCCAGAAGGCAGCAGAGGGCTTGCTGTAGGTCTGGGGGAGCAGTGTGACCTCGTGGGGTGTTGGGAGGATCTACCAGGCAAAGCGCCTCCAGAAGGCAGCAGAGGGCTTGCTGTAGGTCTGGGGGAGTAATGCGACCTCGTGGGGTGTTGGGAGGATCTACCAGGTAAAGCGCCTCCAGAAGGCAGCAGAGGGCTTTCTGTAGGTCTGGGGGAGTAATGTGACCTCGTGGGGTGTTGGGAGGATCTACCAGGCAAAGCGCCTCCAGAAGGCAGCAGAGGGCTTGCTGTAGGTCTGGGGGAGTAATGCGACCTCGTGGGGTGTTGGGAGGATCTACCAGGCAAAGCGCCTCCAGAATGCAGCAGAGGGCTTGCTGTAGGTCTGGGGGAGTAATGCGATCTAACTCATGGGGTACTGGGAGGATTTACCAGCATCTCTGGAATACAGCTAAGTGCTTCCTCTATGGGTGGAAAAGTAATGTGACCTCATTCATAAGTTATTGCAAAAATTTATCAGGCAAAGCGCCTCCAGAAGGCAGCAGAGGGCTTTCTGTAGGACTGGGGGAGTAAAGTGACCTCTCTCATGAGGTATGTTGAGGATTTACCAGGTAAAGCGCCTCCAGCACGCAGCAGAGAGCTTGGTGGAGGCACTGAAGGCGTGCTGGCTGTTTTTCATTATGAATCAACGCCGTCAGATGCAGAATTCAATAATTAAAAAACCTGTGGGTCTTCATCCCTGAACAACACAACCGAACAGACGGGTTAAAGCATCAGCAGCAGGTGTTCTGGGCCAGGCCTCCCCCAGCCTTTGAGTCAGGGATGCTCTCGGCAGGGTCGCTTCGCCATGTGGATGGTAACAGCCTAGCAGTTTCCACAAATGGTTAACAGGGTTGGGATGCCTCGGTGGTGTCGCCTTGCTGCCCTGAGACAGCCTGTGTTTCACTGAATTTCATGTTGATGGGGAGCGTCGCAACTGCCAGTTTCTTCGTATTAAAGGACATATCCTAAATTCTAGAAGGGGTGTTGCCAATTTGCAGAGATACGCCTTCAATTTTCTTTCTCTATTCTAAGCTGCAAATGAGCTTGAACTTTTGTAGGGCACATGGCTTCACAATGGCATTCTGAATCTTGTGTGCCTAGTTTTGCTTATTAATTGAGCAGACAACTTCAAAGGGATCCATCAAGACCTAGATTTTGAGGTGACACAAATACAAACTTTGGTAAATTTATCACCCTTGTTAATTAAGTCATCATTCTTTTGCAGAGAAAGATCTGTGTGTCCAATGTAAAGTGCAAATGCTATGTAGCTGGGACATTTCCAGTGGTAACAACTCTACTATGTACAAAGCTACAGTAAAATCTAGGAATATATATGTTTTGTTGTAATTTCTTTTCTTCAGCCTTTTTCAGTGTAAGAGAGTTCCTCAATGCAAATAAAGCAGATGCCCATTCCAGCAACGTACATGAGTGTGTGTGAGTGTGGTGTGTGTTTTCACATATCTGTGTGTATGAGTGTGCATATGAGCATGTGTCTGTGTGTGTCCATGGCAATCTCAGATTCCCAGACATCACACTGATAATTGCATTAAACCAATTTTCTTAAAAACCATGTTTGGGCCGGGCACTGTGGCTCACGCCTGTAATCCCAGCACTTTGGGAGGCCGAGGTAGGCAGATCACGAGGTCAGGAGATCGAGACCATCCTGGCTAACACTGTGAAACCCTGTCTCTACTAAAAATACAAGAAATTAGCTGGGCGTGGGGGCGGGCGCCTGTAGTCCCAGCTACTTGGGAGGCTGAGGCAGGAGAATGGGGTGAACCTGGGAGGTGGAGCTTGCAGTGAGCCGAGATTGCGTCACTGCACTCCAGCCTGGGCGACAGAGTGAGACACTGTCTCAAAAAAAAAACAAAAAAAAAAAAACAAAAGCAAACATATTTGAAGATAAGGAAATATTTTTTGGAAACCTCAGATGCTTTTCTCTCCTTGGTACGAACCATTTGGAGTCCCATCCACACACTTCTGCAAGCTGCTGACACAAGCTGGGCATTGTATTGGGTCTGGGATGTGACAGAGCTGCCGGCTGTCATTTGATGCGTGAGGCTCGTCTTCCAGGCAGCTTTCCTAAACTTGGAGATGTTTTATATATTCTGTTATGGGCGGGGCAGGGTGCTCTCTATTTGGTCCGACCTTTCCCGTACACTAGGTATCAAGGGCTGAAGCATTCAGGACACAGCAGCCCCTGGACCCATCGGAAGATCTGAGATTCTCTCCGTAAGCAACCACTCAGTAAGGTGGCAGGACCTTTCCTGGCTTCAGTTTCTTCACCCCTAAAACAAACATGGCACTTCACGGATGACAGTGGGAGGACAGGTGTCTTAGTATTTCCATGGGAAGTGGAGGAGGATCCTTTAAGGAGCCCATTGGGTGATAGCATCTCCTTGTTGTCTGTTGGTCTTGGTCCCCATGTTTAAAGTATTTTGGAGCTTTGACTAGCGTGCGCAAGGGATGCTGCCCATGTCTCTAACGAGGGCATGGGGTTTGTCCGTTTCTCTAATGAGGGCATGGGGTTTGTGGCATGGAGGGGCTTCTCTGCTTCTGAGGTCCTGCATTGCTCAGGCAGGCCCTGGCTTGAATGGGGAGGCTGGCGTGAAGTGAGAAGGCCCCAGGGAAACCCTTCTTAGAAACATCATCCATCCTGGGTCCTTCCAGTGAGGAGGCTTACCTCTCTAAAAATTCAGATTTGCCGAAAAAGTCATGATTCTTCTTCCTTAACTAACTTTAAAATGGAAAACTCTCTCCCTACCATCGCGCTGGGCCTCACTTGCAGTGAATGCCACGGGGTGACGTAGGTTTTCTGATTCTCCTAATCTGTAAGGGCGGCTTTCGCACAGGCTCCCTCTCCATCCTTTCTCGTTAAAGGCGCTCCATAAAGCAGCTTGCACACATGTTTAAACAGTTCATTGTCAATAACTTTAACCTCCCGCAAAAGCCAAATACAATGGTAATGTGGCTGTGCCTGCCTATTACAAAAGAAACCCAAGACTTAATTTCTAATCTGCAGAGGAAAATCTTTCCAGCCGTCCTCATTTGGCGGGCTTGTGGGTCTCTGTACGCGTGAAAACAGCGAGAAAATGGCAGTGGAGACATTTGTCATCTGCAGAGTAAAAATATATTGCTTTTTGTCAGGAATGTACTGGTGATGTCTGCGGGGGTGGAGAGAGAATGCATCAGTTGTGGCAGCAGGCCTTTGGGGTGGTGCAGAGGGAGAATGCCATGACCTCAGACATCTGCTCTTCCATGCCACTGGGCACGTGGTTGTGGAATGCGTCCTCAACTGGCCTTTTGCTGTTTTCTCCCAAATTTCATACCATGAGTCTTCATCTCAGGCTCCTCTTCGTTGATTTGAAGCCCCTAGTCCGTCTCCAGTTTTATTTCATTACAAGACAACATCAGCCTCTGGATCTGCTGTGATGTCCTCCCTCTGCTCCCTACATCTGTCTATCCTGCTCCCTGTAGGGGACGTCCCTCACATTTCCCAAAGTCTTACTCCACACCACCAGCTCAGGCTGAACTAGCTTAGAGAGTTTATTCCATTTGCCCCAAATACTGCCCTTTGGAACCCGCCAACGATCCATGTGTGCTTCAGATAGCCTCGTCCAGGCAGGAGTAGCTTTCTGAAATTTAAATTTTTATCTATTTACAAACATTTTTATGTGTAACAAAAAGTAAAAATGTGCCTAACAAGTATAATTAACCCTGAAATGGAAAAAAAAAAAAAAGAATATAAAGTATATCAAGGGTATCCACAGAGGAGGTAGTACTTTGTGTGGAAAGAGCATGGTTTTGAGGTTTGGATACATTTTGTCTGAGAATTTTGTTATATTGTTGAAATATGACATTTAACATTTGGTGTGGGTAATACTGACTTTAGAGGGTGCGTTGAAGCTTGATTAATGTGATCAGTGTCACTGGACCCTAGCATGTCCTTGTGTGTGTATCTATGTACAGGAATACACCATGCTTAATATAATCAGTGTAACTAGATTCTAGCATGTCCTTGTGTTTGTATCTATGTACAGGAATACACCATGGTTAATATAATCATTGTAACTAGATTCTAGTTTGTCCTTGTGTGTGTATATATATGTAGAGGCATACACCATGGTTAATATAATCAGTGTAATTAGACTCTAGCATGTCCTTGTGTATGTATATATGTACACGCGTACACCCATGGTCAATGTAATCAGTGTAACTGGACTCTAGCATGTCATAGTGTGTGTATATATACATATATATATATATGTATATATACACACACACGCATACACCCGTGATTAATGTATTAATGTAATCAGTGTAGCTGGACTCTAGCATGTCTGTGCATGTGTGTGTGTGTGTGTGTGTGTCTATGTACTCACATATACCCATTGATATGGTTTAGCTCTGTGGCCCACTCAAATTTCATCTTGAATTGCAATCCCCACATGCCGAGGGAGGGAGGTGATTGGATCGTGGAGGTGGTTTCCGCCATGCTGTTCTTGTGATGATGAGTGAGTCTCATGAGATCTGGTGATTTCATGAGCGTCTAGCATTTCCCCTGCTTGCATTTCTCTCTCCTGCCACCCTGTGAGTAAGGTGCCTTGCTTCCCTTTCACCTTCTGCCATGATTGTAAGTTTCCTGAGGCCTCCCCAGCCATGTGGAACTATGAGTCAAATAAACCATCTTCCTTTATAAATTACCGAGTCTCGGGCATTTTTTATAACAGTGTGGAAACGGACTAATACACCCATGATTAATGTAATCAGCATAAGTGGATTCTAGCATGTACTTATGTGTGCATGTATGTACATGCATGTACCCATGATTAATGTAGTTCAACTAGACTTTATCATGTATACGTCCTTGTGTGTATACCTGCACAGGTGTGTTTATGTATATGTGTATATGTGCATTTGTGTATATAAATCTGTGTATAAGTGATTTGAAGATTAAATGTAAGCAGACATGGAGAAAAAGCACAGCTATCCAGCAACATGCCCCTGGCGTGTGTAGTCAGGCAGTCAGTGCTATCTGCTGTGAGGTACTTGTGTAGCAGGCGGGATAATATGATACAGAATATGGATGGATGCTCGGCTGTGTGTTGCCAAGCTAATCTCCTCTGCCTTGACTTTTTCCTTTCCTCCTCCCTCCTTCCCCTTGGAGTCATCTTGTTGACTATGGACTACAGAGTTATGTGTAAGTGGCTTCAGTGGGGAGCAAACAGGACAGCTCTGTTTGCCTTCGCCTCCCGAGGAGAACCTTTTCTGCACATCTGGTTTCCCCTTCACTATGTGATGCAGGGAAATTCCGGAAAATGCAGATGGAGAAAGTGCATCCACGAAGCTTCCACAGCTACGTGTATGTGTGTGCCCTACACATGTGCTTGCGTTTGAACCATGGGGTCTCTCGGGCTTACGATCAACTTGCTAAAAACTTTAGATCTCATTGAAAGCATGTGCCCTTTCACCCGTGAGCTAAACCTTGGGGAATCACACAGACTTTAACTAACCTAAGTGATTGAATACCTCTCGTTCATTTGGTTAGTGGACATGCTCATAGGGTACAGGCCACTTCCCTGGAGACACTTTCCGAATGGGAAACAGAAAACAGATGTGAGTCACACGCACACAAAAGTTACCTCTGGAAAAATAGGATGGATTCTGTTTCCTCTCCTTCTAAAAGACTGTATTTAAACTGGTTCTGGTTAGTAAAGACAACGTAAATATCTTTTCCTAAAATCTGTACCAAATTACTTCACTGAGAAGTCTCTGAGGATGTGCAGCCAGGACCGCAGGTCATATATTTTAGCCGCGTTGGGTCACTCACCTGGAGAGCCTGTCCTCAGCCCCCGGCCTCGCCCCACAGAGGCTGATTCGCTGGGCGGGTGGATCCGCTCGTTCTGTTTCTGATTAACTCGCGGGTCATGAGGCTGCTGTTGCAGGGAGATCCAGAGCTGGAAAACACCGCTATAGACCAGCACAACTTCACATTTTGGTCTACATGGATCATTTTGAGAGTATGATTAAACATCTAATCTCCAATTAAAAAGAAATCCATGTGTATACCTCTTTCCAAAATATCCCATATATATTCAGAAATAAGGGCTTTTTAATACAAAATCACTTAATTCTTCCAAACGTCGTTATCTGTGCCACCTACAGTTGCAACCACGTTCAAGGTAGAGACTGACTAGCTTGATACAATGGATGTTTAGGATTATCTCTTGCAGGGAAAATGGAGAAAATAAGCTTTTTTAATATTGCTCTTTAAACCTAGATATGTTGGCCATTTTAGGGTTTACTTACATGATGTAAAAAGTACCTACCAGGGCAATAGTTTTAAAACCCTTATTTCCAAAGCTTATAAATGCTTCTGTGGGTTCTACCTTAATTGTTATAAACAGCCTTTTCTCCATCTCTCATTCACTCTGCTCCAGGCCTGCCCATGTCTCAGCTCTGTCCAGCTTGAATTAAACTGTTGTTTAGGTTGGGAAGTGTTAATGAGTCCCTAACACTTCTCAGCTGTCCAGTCTCAGCTCAAAATAGCTTCCTCACCAGACATCTCTTTAGGGGCTGACCGTCTGCAGGCCTCATCTGGCCCAAATATGTATTGTCAGCCCACAGAGGCGTGTGGTTTAGGTGCTGGCTGGTTTGAGAAGTAACCTGAACATGATGTTGGCTAGGCATACACTTGGTTTTGCCACAGTCTTCGCTATCCCCTACTGGCCAGCCTGGCCGATTCATCCCTTTATGTTAGTGCTGGGCCTTTCCTGAGTAGCTCCGGTTGACTTCTAAAAGTAATGTTAATTCAATCTCCCTTTCTGTCTTTACCTACCTATCTGGTGACTATTTATACACACTACATTTAGTAAATATACTAAATAACTATGTATAGTGCACCAAATGTTTTGGATTAATATTAGCTCCTTTTCCCTTGGAACGTGATTCTTCCTTCTTAATACCCGGATTTATTTCTAGGGTGTTTACATCATTCGAATAATTTTGTTTAAATCATTTAATTTAAATAATTAATTGTAAAACATTTAAATTACGTATACTGGCTGGGAGCAGTGGCTCACGCCTGTAATCCTAGGACATTGGGAGACTGAGGCTGGCAGTTTGCTCGAACCCAGGGGTTCAAGGCCAGCCTGGGCATCATGGAAATGGCCTGTCTGGCCGGGCGTGTTGGCTCATGGGTGTAACCCCAGCACTGTGGGAGGCCGAGGCGGATGGATCACCTGAGATCAGGAGTTTTGACCAGCCTGACCAACATGGTTAAACCCCATCTCTACTAAAAGTACAAAAACCAGCTGCGTGTGGTGGCACACACCTGTAATCCCAGCTACTCGGGAGGCTGAGGCATGATAATCGTTTGAACCCAGGAGGCGAAGGTTGTGGTGAGCCAAGATTGCACCCCTGCACTCCAGCCTTGGTGACAAGCAACACTCTGTCAAAAAAAAAAAAAAAAAAAAAAACACACTTCACCTTTACAAAAAATACAAAAATTAGCTGGGTGTGGTGGCACTCGTCCGTAGTCTCAGCTACTCAGGAGGCTGAGGAGGAAGGATAGCTTGAGCCCAGGAGGTTGAGGCTTCATTGAGGTGTGATGGTGCCACTACACTCCAGCCTGGGCAACAGAGCGAGACCCTGTCTCAAAAAACAAAAATAAGAAAATAAATGATATGTACTGAATACCACTCCATCCTAACAATGAAGCACATCTTACTCACCGCTGTATAACATAACGTGAGGGTGTCATCCCCACTCTAAGAAATAAGGGAAAAGAGGCAGTAAACTTTTGGAGAATTCTCAGGTGAAATCCCAGGTAAAATTTCATTATTGTCATTGTACTTGTAAAAAATACTTAAGGCCGGGCATGGTGGCTCACGCCTATAATCTCAGCACTTTGGGAGGCCCAGGCAGGTGGATTACTTGAGGCCAGGAGTTCAGGATCCACCTGGGCAACATAGTAAGACCCTGTCTCTACTAAAAAAAAAATACAAAAATTAACCAGTCATGGTGGCCGGTGCCTGTAGTCCCAGCTACTTGGGAGACTGAGGCAGGAGAATTGCTTGAACCCAGGAGGTGGAGGTTGCAGTGAGCCGAGATCAGGCATCTGCACTCCAGCCTGGGCAACAGAGCAAGACTCCACCTCAAAAAAGACAAAAAAAAAAAAAAAACTATAAGAAATCATGAGCTCTAAACAATTTTAGAGTAAGTAACATAAATCTGTATCCATATGAAAAGCACTTGTTCAGTTTGGCCTAGGGTCTATAGTGGGGGTCTTGTCCTCGAAGAGGGCATGCGCTCTGGGGACAGCTGGATGACCTGAGCAGTAAAGGAGACGAGGACAGAGGGCGCTGTGAGTGCCGGGCCCAGGGACTGACTCCCCATTCTTGAGTCCAATGTGCTTTTGTTCTGCCCAGCTCTTGGAAGACTCGGCCCCCCAGAGTCTTGGCAGTGTGGATGTGACAGGGTCCCCAGCGGGACATGGGCACAGGAAGAGCTGGGGGAGGGTCCCCAAGCATGGGCTTTCCCATCAGGGAGCCAACAGAGCAAAATGTTTGGAGCGTGACAAAATGTTAACATTTAAAATACATTAATAAGATGGCGACAACTTGCTATGGTCTGAGGGTTTGTGTCACCCCCAGATTCCATGTTGAATCTTAATCACCAAAGTGATGGTACTAGGAGAGGGACTTGGGGGTGATTAGGTCGTGGGATTAGTGCCCTTATAGAAGGGACCCCAGAGGGCTGCTGTGATACTGTGATACAATAAGAAATCTATACTTGATCTCTGCCCCCCAGTTCCTGGCACAGAGCTCTACAACCCTCGGAATTTTCTGAGTGAGAGGAACGTCTTTTGTTCTCATGAAGCAACTCTTGGTGGCTCCTAGATGGGCCTGGTCACCAGAAAGACCAAGCCGTGATTAGAAGTTTGGAGTTTTCAAGCCTGGGCAATATGGAGAGACCCCATCTCTACAAACAAACAAACAAACAAAAATTAGCTGGATGTGGTGGCTCATGCCTTTAATACCAGCACTTTGGGAGGTTGAGGCAAGAGGATCGCTTGAGTCTAGGAGTTCAAGACCAGCCGGGGCAACATAGTGAGACCCCAGTTCTACAAAAACTTTAAAAAAAAAAAGCCACCTATTGCACACCTATAGTTCCAGAAGCTAAAGTGGGAGGGTCACTCGAGCCCAAGAGGTTGGCACTGCAGTGAGTTATGATCGTGTCACTACACTACATCCTGGGTGACACAGAAAGTCCCTGTCTCAAAAAATAAAGAAACAGAGAAAACCAAATAAAAACACTTAAGAAGCTGCTGAGCACAGCTGCATGGCAGGAGGGTGGAGCACCCCAACTCCATGGGGCCAGATGCTCCTGTGCTTGGGACCTTCAAGACCCCGCTCTCTCCATCGCTTCATCTGCCTGTTCTTCTGTGTCCTTTATTATAACCTTATTAACAAACCATCAAATGTAAGTATGGTGTTTTGCTGAGTTCTGTGAGCTGCTCTAGCAAATGAATTGACCTCAAGAAGGGGGTGCTGGGAGCCCGATTTGCGGCCATTCAGTCAGAAGCGTGGTGGCTGGTATCTGACGTGGGGACCGTCTTATGGGACAGGGTCCTTTAACCCGTGGGATCTGATCCTCTCTCTAGGTAGACAGGGTCAGAGTGAAGTTGAATTACAGGACACCCAGCTGGTGTCCTCTGGAGAATTGTTTGGTATGTTGGATTTAGTGAGACAAGATATAGGAAAGTGTTTTTTATTTTTTGGAGACAGGGTCTCATTCTGTCACTCAGGCTGGAATGTAGTGGCACAATCATTGCTCACTGCAGCCTCGAAGTCCTAGGCTCAAGGAATCCTCTCACCTCAGCCTCCCAACAAACAGGGACCACAGGTGCACACCTCCAAGTCCTGCTAATTTTCATATGTTTTGTAGAGATGGGGTCTTACTATGTTGCCTAAGTGGATCCTCAACTCCTGGCCTTAAGTGATCCACCCGCCTGGGCCTCCCAAAGTGCTGAGATTACAGGTGTGAGTCACTGCGCCTGGCCCAGGAAAGTGTTTGACACGACGTCTGATACCTACTCAATGAGCAATTGGTTCAAACATAGTTTTGACTAAAATAACTCCTGTGGAAATAAATATTGCTTTCTCAAGGGTATTCCAACTATTCTGTCTTCAGTCAATTCTTCTTCCCCATTTCCCTCTCCTCCTCCACTTCCTTCTCCTCCATTTCTTTATTTAACAGTGGCTCCAATTGTGAAACTTCCATTTGTGCCCCCTTGAGAAATGAGGCAGAGAAAATCCCAAGGAGGTGCTCTTCTCCCACCTGGACACCCCTGATCCCAAGGAGATGCTCCACTCCCACCCAGCTTCTGGATTAAGGATTTAGGGCAGCATACTTTCATCAATGACTTCTGAAGGTCACGTTTGTTCAGGACGTTCTGAAGACATTTCTGATAGTGTACCATCTTTATAGACGTTGCTCCCTACTACGACAAATCTGTTGAGAAATTAAATGAAGGAGCCCCTTCTGTGCTCTTTAATTTCCCAATGCAATAGTAAATGTGAGAGTGCCTTACAACCATGAAGCAATTCAGCCTGACTTTTGGTGATTACAAGGAAAAGGTTGGAAAGAGCTCTTAGTGTTTAATATTTAAAAACAAATTTGTGTTGTATATTGACGAATTATAGTTGTATGTACTTATGGGTAAAAAGTGGTGTTATGCGCTTTATAGACAATTTAGAATGTATTCAGCATGCTGTGCTATGGATCTAAAAAATATCAGACTTTTCCTCCGATCTCACTGAAGCTTTGTGCCTTTGACTGTCATGTCTGTGTTTTCCCAGGCGTCAGCCTCTGCAGCCACCATTCCCCTCTCTGCTGCTCCGAGTTCAATTGTTTTAATTCCACAAGTAAGTGAGGATATGCTGTGCTTGTCTTTCTGCGTTTGGCTTATTTCACTCAGCATAATGTTCTACAATTCCATCCATGTTGTCACAAATAACAGAATTTCTTTTCTTTTTAGGGGCTGGATAATACTCCATTGTGTGTATAAACTACAGTTTCCTTATCCATTTGTCCCTTAATGGACACTTAGACTGATTTCATAACTTGGCTATTGTGAATCATGCTGCAATGAACTTAGGAGTGCAGATATCTCTTGGACCCATTGATTTCAAATCTTTAACACCCAGAAGTGGGGTTGATGGATCTCTTACTTAATGTTTTTGTTCCATTTAACATGGATGTCCCTCTAACTCTTCTAAAGAATGTCACAGATGATCTCAGTTGGGCTAGAGTTTTTCTTGACTTCATACTTTGCATTCTTCTGGCCTTAATGCATTTTGGAAAGGAGCCAGTTGTTTAGAAATGTGCTCCTGCTTTTCTAACCTATGTTCAAAAAAGAGTAAGCTTCCCCTGCACCCATGGCTGTGAATCTGTGGGACTGTCGACAGTCAGGCACTGAGGATGAAGAACTGGAAGATTCTGCACATCCCAGGCCATTCTTGATGTTAGCTTTTCCCATATGTGATGCTGTAGCGTGGGAAGGAACGGGAAATTTCTCCTACTTGCTTCCAGTTACAGGAGAATTCCTTTTCAGCAGCTCAACAAAGGCCTGCTACTGATGGCCTCCTGGATGTGACGTCACGCTCTGGGGCTGCAAGTCCAGTTTAATTCATCAGCTTTTTCCAGCTGTATAATAGGACATAAAACAGACGTAGGAGGAATGTGGAAGAAAGAGGTACAGTCCCTGCTCTTTTCTGATTTATACCCATTGTACCTTGCCCCAATGTGGTCTTCGGTTGGTAATTCAACATCTCTTGTATATATTATCTTTGTATATACCTTAATATATTAATAATTTAAAGCCCCAGTATAATTCCCTGCATAAAGTAAGACTGAACTAAGTCCCCTTTTTATAATGGTGAACCTGATTATGCACTGTTAACAGACAGTGCAGTAATTTTCAGAGATCATAGCACAACCACACTCTTCTGAGCTGGTTTCTCTGTCTACAGCAGCCATCTGTATTTAAACAAACCTCAAAGGTGGGGTGTGTGTGTAGAATTCTAGGTATTTAGAAAAGCCAGAAATTCAGTTTATAAACAACTGTTCAAAGCCAAAGATTATGACATCAATTAGCATTTCTAAAATCGCTAGGTGAGTGGTATTTTGCTTCATCATTTCTGTGACACATTCCAAGCAAGCATCATTGTATATGGTATTTATCACGATCGAAGGTTCGCATTCATTTGAAGTTCCGGTCATTCTCTTTTTTACGACACCACCCAGCATATCAGTTGGTTGTGCAAATGGACCTCCAGCACTCTCCTAGATGTAGAAGACCTCTGTTGGCAAATGTCCACCTCCCCAACTCTCTTTGTATGAAAGCCCTCTTGTGACTGCTGGTGTTTTCAGATGGACAGAGTGGTGGGGGGAGGGGGGGAAGTGCATGGTAATCAATGACCTCTAACACAACGGGGGGAGGATTTAAATGAGTAAACATGCACACATGTACATGCACCTACACATGCACACACAGTCACACACACTCACCAGCCGACCTTCATAAAAAAGCACTTCGTAGTTAATGGAGTAACTGTCATTTTATATTCACTCTATTGCTACAAAAATTACAATGGCTGTAATAGTGTTTAATGCAATATTAATATCCACTCTAAAGACGAATTTGTTGCATAGAACATATTCCAAGTAAGAGGCTGTGCCTTGTGCTGGCCACTTCATTTTCAATATGGACAAGAACTGTCTCATGAGGCCAGTTGCAAGGAATTCCATGTGGGCATGATTCTCTCCTCAGCAAATATCTCTGGCAGAAGTGTTTTGTAGCAGAATTCTCAGGAGTTGCATGGGATTCTAAACATGAGTTCAGTGATGAAATCCAGATTTACGATCTCCTTTTCACCATGTTCTGCAAAAATGAATGCAACACAACAGGCACAGCCTTTGAGCTGTGTTATTGTCATTTGTATCCAAAATGCCTCAGCTCAATTCTAAGTTTCTTGAAAAACAGGAAGAGAGTAGGCATCCATCAGAAAATCTAATGATAGCAGTGGCCCAAGATTGTTTCCTTTGCCTTATGAAGTGTTACCCTTATCAGCATCAGCATGAAATATTATTTATTAAGCCTCCTCTTGGGCCTGGTGCCATGCAGGGTAGTATTTCTCTCTGCAGTTACCTCATTGTGCTAGTTTTTCAAATATACCTGACCAATTTTGTTGTAAAATCAGTTTCTTTCTTGTTAACAAAATAGGTTATTTTTGTACTAATTAAAATCACAAGATAATTGAGTTTGTTTGCAATTTCAATGAAAGTGGTTCAAAAGCTCTAAAGGGCCGGGGTGTTAAGTGTCACTGCAGCAACGATGAATGTACCACAGGGTTCCTTAGTCATCAACCGTGGACTCGTTTGGAAAACGAGGATGAATTTGGGCATTCACAGCAGATGACACTTCCATTATCAGGACATAAATAAGCACTATGAATATGCATGGTACTTAGAAACAGGCACTTAATTTCCACAAAGACAGTCATTCTCCTTGATATGAGTTAGCTGTCTTTTGTAATTGTTCATTTTGCATTCTTTTTCTCCTAAAGTTTCCCCAAACAGTGGGAGCAGGGGGTGGGGGAAGAAAAATAAAACTACTAAACAGATAAAATGTTAATTGTAATTTATGGAAATAGAACAAAGCATTGAGAACTTTGCACAGCCTTGTGCAAGCAATAGTTATTTTGTACAACTAGGAAGACTCTATGCAGTGTGGATTTAAGTTGGAGGTAAAGCCCAGAATGTGGAGGAGGTGGAGTGGCCTCCTAGCACAAGAAAACCACATGGTTAATTGATTTTTGAAGCCCTTGGGCTCACACGCATTGCGTGCCCAACCTGGACGTCTCCAGGTGAATGGGTGCAGGGCTGCATTTCACGTTCATCTGGTGTCTCTCCTGTGGGCAGCTCTGATGTTGGTCTTCTCCTGCTGAACTTATTTTCTTTGTTATGACGGAATTAGCAAGAATTAAAGGGAGGGGGTGTTGAAGATCATTAGCACCTACTTGTAACTTTCTTCCTGACATAATTCTAAGATTGAAAAGTATCAGCCAGACCACTACGGAGAAAAAAAGTGTTATTTGCTACAACATTGCGTGTGAAGACAAATACCTCATGATTTCATCTGTTGCAGAAATCTCAAAAGTTTATCACAGCAAATGAGAAAGCCATTCTGGTCTTTATTTATAAACTCCAACGGGTTTATCTCTCCTTCCTGAACATTAAAATCTGAAAGGCAGTTTGCCTCTTAACCAAGCATCTGTCTCTGGGAGTCATCAGCAGAAGTCTGCACAGGGGAAAAAGGCGGTCTCGCCTTCGTCAGTGCATGGGCCCCGTCCAGCCACTGTCAGTGATGGCGTCCTCTGTGTCAAATAGCTATGCCCAATTTAAAAGAAAACAACAGCAACAGGCTTCTGTTGTCTTCAAGTAGCTGCAAAAATCCCTTAGGGAAAACGAAAAACATCTTATCCAGTTCGGCAATCAAGAGGATCAGCGTGTTGTAACCTCCGTGTTTTCAGCAGCACCCACAGTGGAGGCAGAAGTGGTTTTGATTTCTCCCTGTGGTTGGGGTCTCACTTCTCATGTCCACCGCTCTATTGCTCAGTATTATGCTAATGAGCGCTCCTGTAACTGCACTTACATCACAACTGAGTAGATCCCAACGGGATTTGCTTTGCTGGTTCAGCGGCTGCTCCTGTGGCGCCTCCTTGTGGACTGTTTTCCCCCGTGACTGCCCCAGCCTTGTCCGCCATGACACTCTTCCAGGCCTGGTGACGAGCGAGCTTCTGCCCGCTTCTCACACTGCCTTATATGTAATGATGTATTAAAAATCTTGGCCTTTTATCAAATGCTTGATCTATGTGTCAGATTTCTCCGCTTGCTTTATGCAGGTGTTGGGAGCATCGCCATTCTTCTTTGATACCATTTTTTAGAATTTTAATGCAAAGACTTGGGATCTTTTCAAAAGTTTCATGCAAAGTTTGGGTATTTGGTGTAAGCCAGAAATAAAATTCTAAAGCCCCAGTTGGCTGAATGGAGCCCTGCTCTTGGCCAAGGGGATCTGAAAGAAACCTGAAAAATGATTTCAGGCCGTGCCGGGAAAGGGGGGTCAGACACACCTCCTTATACCCTCTCCCATTGCAATTCAGGTGCAAATGACCAGCATTTACATGAAACAACAGAGAACCCAAGACTGACAAAACAGATTCTTGGTAGCAATAAGATACTCAGTTCCAGCCTGACTCTGGTATAGCATCACATAATAGATAGCAAGCCCTGAAGAAATCGGAGTATTTTATCCCCAAAATATATTTATTTGGCATATTTTGAAACAGCCCCACAAAGCTATTTCTTGTGGAGGAAACTTGGCTTCTATAGAGAATCTCCATCCCTTTCTAGGTCATTTTCTGATCCAGGAGAGACTTGACTGAGTCTGACACCCTTTAGGGTCCTATAAGAGACATTTACCATTTATTCTCTCTGAAGCTGCTACCTGGAGGCTTCATCTACACACCAAGAACCTTGGCTTCCACAACACCCTTAATCTTAAAGCATTTCATTCTACCCATTGCAACTTTTTAGGCAAAGCTTAACTCTTTCAGTCTTTGAATCCACATGTGACCTGTAACCAACCCCTCCCACCCCTGTCAGCTTCAAGACATTTTTCCTTTCTGGACCAAACCAATGTATACCTTCCATTTATTGATTTATTCGTTTGTCTGTAACTTCTGTCTCCCTCAAATGTATAAAATCAAGTGGTAACTCAGCCACCTTGGACAGCAGTTCTCAGGACCTCCTGAGGCTGTGTCACAGGCTGTGGTCACTTAGATTAGGCTCAGAATAAACTTCTTCAAATATTTTACAGAATTTGGCTTTTTTTTAATCAAGATTGGAAGTGCAGTTTCTGGAGTTCTTTGTGTCTTTAAAGGGTTGTTTGATTTCAGGTATGACCTGCTGTCTTATCAATGACCCACCTCAGAGCCTGCATGCTCTTTTCGGGGTTCACAAAGAAGAAACACGTTTGTTGTTTTTGTTTCTCTTCTTATTCAAAATGACACAATCAGCAGAAGGTGTTGAGTGCTGACACTGCCTCAGAAGTGAGGTGAGGGGTGCGGCTACCCTGAGGTCAGAAAGGGCATTTGGTGTAGAAAGTTAACAGCAGGTGTTCAGAACCCTGCCTCAGAAGTGAGGTGAGGGGTGCGGCCGCCCTGAGGGACACTCCCAGCATTAGAAAGGGCATTTGGTGTAGAACGTTAACAGCAGGGGCTCAGAGATAACCCACCACATGTTTTCTTATAGGAGGGTGTCACTTTTCCTGGGTACATTTTGTCTGCCCATCTGCAATTCAGAGAATCAGGAACATTGTATTAATAAGGTAGAGGGAATCAAAAATTATTTGGGCAAACGGGAGTAGCTCTGCTTGAGTGCACTTGAGGAGGCGGTTGGGGAGGAGGGGAAGTGACAGTTCATCTCCTTGTGGCCACAGACTGCAGTCACTGGCGTAGAAGCCAAGAGGGGGGTGTCAAAGTTTCTGATCAGGCTTAATTAAAAAAAGAAAAAAAGGCCGGGCATGGTGGCCACTTTGGGAGGCCGAGGTGGGTGGATCACCTGAGGTCAGGAGTTTGAGACCAGCCTGGCCAACATAGTGAAACCCTGTCTCTAGTAAAAATACAAAAATTATTCGGGCGTGTTGGTGGGTGCCTGTAATCCCAGCTACTAGGGAGGCTGAGGCAGGAGAATTGCTTGAATCCAGAAGGTGGAGGTTGCAGTGAGCCAAAATTTCACCATTGCACTCCAGCCTGAGCAACAAGAGCACAAGTCCATCTCAAAAATCAAAAAAGAAAAAAAACAAAAGATACAATGTCCAAACAGTTTCGTGAATTTAGATAAGTGAAAAAGCATAAAGCTTTCCTATATCATTGTCATTTTAATTATTTATTCATTGGTTTTCAATTTCTCAGTAAATTATTGGCTCTGTATTCAATTTTAACGAAAAGAAATATCACTTGCTAGAGCAGTGATCCTCAACTCTCAATACAATAAGAACCCCTAGGAGGTTCAGAAACATGTGGACAGATGCTGAGACCCTCACAGAGAAATCTCAGTGCAATTGGTTTGATGGGCAGCCTCTGCATAGGTAGTTCTTTTTATTTTTATTTTCATTTTATAGAGATGAGGGTTCTCCATGTTGCCCAGGCTGGTCTTGAACTCCTGGGCTCAAGCAATCCTCCCACCTCGGCCTCCCACAGTGCTGGGATTACAGGCATGAGCCACTGTGCCCAGCCAGACACAGGTAGTTCCTAAAATCTTCTCGAGTTTGAGGGTGTCTGCTACAGAGGTGACCCAAATCTTATGATTGGCGTTTCCAAAATTTAGTGGAAGCTTTAATTGGATCAAGGAGACATTTCCATTTTCAAGCTAAGAGAGTTAGTAAGCGCTCACCTTAATAACACACAATTTGTTGTATAGTTTGGTTTTAAAACCGGGCAAAAATCATCCATAGGAACATGAATTGGTGTAGGTATTTGCAATAAGTAATGACCATTTTTATGGTTTTTGTATCAAAAAAATGATGATTTGAAGACTGAGCTCTCAGCTCTACTAGCAGAAGGGTAAGTGTCAGTATCGAGGCTGGTTTTGAATTATAGCTGAGCCAAAAGCATCTGAAAGCAATGCGTTCTTTTTCTTCTCTTCTCTAACTTAAAACTGGACTGAATTTTTTCATAGTTGGTAAAATGAATGCTTGGAGTCTTCAACCCAGAGCTCCAAGCAGGAGTCCAGCCAGAGTGCGTTTTTAGAACTGATTTATTAGCCCCATAAGGCCACCTGAGATCTTTGTGGTTTGCAACGTCCTATTTTTTTTTCCTGAATTACTTTGTATCTGACTTAGACAGTTACGGGTTTTAGCATGGGATTTTGCATACAGATTGGCCACTGCTTTGAAAGCTCTTCTATGATGCATATTTCATGATGAGTATCCTCAAACCTCAAACCTCTCTGGAAAAAAAAAAAAAGTCCTGTACCTTTTCGGTTTGATTATTAAACTGGAGATAGACAAATTACAGGAGCTGTCCCTCAATTTAATGAGAAGCCCTTAAAAAACAAAACTTGGAATAATTGAAAATGGCATTGAACAATAAATAACTTAATAAAGTAGAAAATGTCTAATATTTAACTACAGCTATTTGATGAGAACATTTCAGAAAGAATGACTTTAAAAATTGAAATGAGAAATCACCTCATGTCGGGAGACACCATAGACGCACATTATTTTTCTTGATGTGGGAGACTGTGAGAACTCCTACAGGAGTTAAATCTGATGAGAACAATGTCTTTAGCTTAGCCCCGATCGTGGAAATAAGCTCTGCCCAGGAGCGAAGCGCTAAGGACCAAGCCACGTGGGTCAGGAAGGGGAGAATCTGGGGTCCAGACCTGAACCATTACTCTTAAACGCTGGCCCCTGTTTTATTGGTGGACAACTAATCCGTGTCCCATAAATCTGAGGACATTTAATCCCAATAATCCCTCTCCCAGTTCTATTTTTGCCTACGATCCCCAAAGCGGATATTCCTGTCCTTTCAGGGTACACCATGGAAAGGCTGATAGCTGCAGACTTTATCACCTTTCTGATCTTGTGTTCGTCTCTGCCTGGTACTCTCTGTCTAAGAGACGACATCACCAAGGGCCTAGTTTCTCTATTCACAAGCCAAAGGACCCCTGAAGCCCCCCTCCCCTTCATTTTCCCACATGAACTCATCAGCGAGGACTTGGATTCTCAAGAATGCTCCAAATGTGCATTTTTCTCTGTACAGCCAGCCTGGCCTCCATTATCCCTGACCTTGATTCCATCCCTGGTCTCCTAAGCTCTGCCCTCCTTACCGGCCTGCAAGCTTTTGGGATTCTCTACAGTGCAGACAGAAGGACATTTTTAAATTTAAATCTCATTCAGTCCTTGCCAGTGGTCCCACTGCCACCAGCGTGGAGGCCCATCTCCTCTATATGGCTCCCTACCCCTGCGGACCTCCTGTGTTTTCCTGCTGTCTCCTTCAACATCATCACCGTCCGCACCTTGCTCTCTCTCCTTAGCCATATTTAACTTGCAGGTTCTCTAATCTACTTCACTCTGTTTTATGGTTAGAGCTCTGGACTTTCCATTTCCATGTGAAATATTTGCTTTACTCTTTCTCTGGGTAACTCTTTCTCATCCTTTGGAACCCAGCTCAAAAACATCACCTCCTCCAGGAAGTCCTTCTTCTCTGAGTCAGATGTCCTCCCAAGACTGCACATCCCACCATCATATCTGGCACGATTTACACCTCATCCAGAAATATTTGCACCATTCCTGTCTCATCCAGATTGCAAACTTCTTGAGACGAGAGATGCATGTCCTTTTTGGACCCTCGCTGCCGCAGGATTCATCCGATCAGCCTGTGAAAAACCCACCCTCCTGTCTTGGTACACAAAGCTTGGTGCTACTGCAGTGAGATTGTGGAGAAGGTGTACCATAAGCAGTTAATTCTCCCCATAGCTTTTAGTGTGTTCACTGCGACTCATGAAACCACCTTTGCAAAGATGATGGCAGTGAAGAGAAGCCTAGTGTGTCCCACTCCACCTGGCTTCCGCCTCACAGGCTGGCTGGCCTTGCTCATTTGCGGACATAGGCCAAGCTAATTATGGGAGGAATGTAGTTTACCATTTCACTTGCAAACAAGGATGGCCATAGTCCCTCCCTAAAACAGATCCCTCCTTGGTCAGGGACGGAAACTAATGGAAGGCCACAAGATCAGGATTATGGGAGGGGCCTGGGCTCTGCTAAACGTGGGCATAGTTTCTAGAATCCCTTACTGCTCAGGAGTCATGTGGCCAGAGCTCACAAGATTTGTGACTTCTCCGGTTGCTCCTATAGATAACATCACTGTTGCAGGACCTAAGATTTGTCTTTGGAGATGTTTTTCAGACTTTTTCATTCTGGCAACCAATGGACCCCATCCACATCCATGACTCACGACTCAACCAGTCCTGTGGCCCCCACCCAGAGGCCGACTCAGCCCACGAGACCCTCTCTCCACCCCCTCACGACTGCATCCCTAAACAGTCAGCAGCACCCAGTTCCTAGCCCCTTGCCACCAAATTATCCATAAACACCCTAGCCTCTGAGCCCTCAAGGAGGCTGATGTCAGTAATAAATCCCGTCTCTTGAGTGGCTTGCCTAGCATTAATTACTCTTTCTTGACTGTAATACCAGGGTCTCAGTGAATTTGTCTGTGTGGTGGGCAGGAAGAACCTGTCGGACAATCACACCCAGCTTTCAATGTACATTAGATATTTTCTTCTTTTACCTGTTCCCTCTCAGAATCCCAAGGATTCAAGGGTTTGATTGGAAGCATTTCTGGGATAAATGTGTGTGTATGTGATTTCATGCTTCCAGATTCTTACAATAATCACGTGGTATACAGATGCAGACCAAGTATCAAATATCTTAAAAACTTAGGCTTGTTCATAGTAGCATTATTCACAATAACTAAAACATGGAAGCAATCCAGTGTCCACTGTTGGGTAAATGCATGAGTGAAATACAGTCTACGCATACAATGAATTTTTTTTAAACACAGGGTCTCACCCTGTTGCCCAGTTGCTGGAGTGAAGGGTGTCATCATGGCTCACTGAAGCCTTGACTTCCTGGGCTCAACCAACCCTCCCAGCTCAACCTGAATATCTGGGACATGAGGTGTGTACCACCATGCCCAGCTAATTTTTTTGCTTTTTGTAGAGTTGGCATCTTACTATGTTGCCCAGGATGGTCTTAAACTCCTGAGTTCAAGGGACTCTCTCACTTCAGCTTCCCAAAGTACTGAAATTACAGGCATGAGTCACCACCCCTAGCATAAGGGAATGTTATTCAGCTTCATAAAAAAAAAAAAGGAAATTCTGACCCATGTTACAACATGGCAGAACCTTGAAGACATTGTGTTAAGTCAAATAAGCCAGTCACAAATGGACAACTACTGTATGATCCCACTTATATTAGGTCCCTAAAGTCATCAGATTTATAGAGACAGGAAGCAGAATGGGAGTGACGTGTGGCAGGAGGTGGGGAGAACGGGGAGTTACTGTTTAATGGTAAGAGTTTGGTTTTGCAAAATGAAAAGGTTCTGTAGATGGATGTTGGTGATGGTTGCACAGCAATGTCTTTAGTGCCACTGAATTGTGCACTTACAGTGATTAAAACGGTATATTCTGTGTTCGTGTATTTTGTCACAATAAACAAATAAACCCTGGTTTGGACTCTCCCAGGTCTGCCTGGACATTCTTTGTAGCCAAGTCCTGAGGCTGATGCCAAGGAGGTGGTGACAACCATGAGTTTGCTGAGAAAAGTGTGGAATCCCTGGTTTCCACAGGCTTTTGCCAACACACCTGACTCTTTGTTTGAGAGCTACCATCATTCTGGAGGCAATTTCTTCTTTAATTTACTGTCTTTGGATAATTTTGAAAGGGTCACAGAGCTGCAGCATCTTTCAATCTAGCATTCTGTTTTCTCAGTGATTACTCGTGATAGCAGATTGGAGAGCTCGGCATTTCTCTGAACTCCTCATTGCGTCTCTAGCTCTGATTATGTCACCACTTGATGTAACTGCATTGCCTGAATTGAGTCAGAATTTAGATATATTGTTAGATTTCCTACGTCTGTTGTATTTTTGCATGAAAGTCTCTCTTTTCTGACCTATCACTGGACTCTGTTTTAAAACCAAACACTAATTCTGGGGAATCTAAAAAATTTGAACACATAAAACTAAGCAACCATTAGAATTCACTTTGAAGTATATATGGCACTGATTTTTTTTTCAACACAATTGTTAGCAACACTTGTTAAAAACACAAGAAAATATCTCATGAAAATGTAACTGAGTATTCAGTTGAAAAGAATACATTTTACTCAAAGAGTAATGGGATTAAATGTTGGGGTTTGGGAGATTAGAAGTGGAATCGAGTCATATTTTGGGAGAAATCTGGCAGCAGAGATAAATTAGTGCTGACAAGAAAGATAAAAGTGGAAAGGAAGACATTCCCTGTGGTGTTGAACACATGGAGAAGTCGGCCTGCTGTGCCCGCAAGTACAGCACAAATTTCACCCCATGTGTTTCCATGTGTTTTATTTTAGAGGAAACACAGAATTGAACTGTCTGTTGTTTAAAGCAATGAATGACATGCTAAATTATAGAATTGGGGCATTTTTATTAAAACTATTTCTGAGAAACCAAAACATTTGTTTCTGGAGATTTTCCACAAGCCTGTTATCTGTGTTACCGTAATATTTAGTGACACCGGGCCCCTCGATGGATGGCCAGTCTTCATGGTTGACAGCCTCCCTTCTATAGGTACTTTCTGTGGGACCGCATGGCTGCCAGTTACCACCTTCTCCTCCGAGGTCTCACTTGGAAAATCAGACCTGTTTTGTGAAAAAGGTCAAGTGGCTCCTTTGAACAGCTTTGTCTACGGTAGATGTTTCAGCTGAACGTGAGTTGAGATACGGCCTCTGTGACTCTTTAAAAACAACTGCACCAGCCTAGCAAGGTTGAAACTGACCGATTGTTCTTGGCAAGGTCTGCAGCCCAGGGTCTAAAGGAGTCAACGGGAAATGTCCTTCTCTTGCCATCCCCCAAAGTTTAACATCTCTCTTAAGACTTGATTTTGAATTTTGTGGTGTTACATTTTATTTCTCTAAAATGAACATTAGAGGCTAGGCACGGTGGCTCACACCTGTAATCCCAGCACTTTCAGAGGCCAAGGTGGACAGATGGCTTGAGGCCAGGAGTTTGAGACCAGACTGGCCAACGTGGCAAAACCCTGTCCCTACAAAAAATACAAAAATTAGCTGGGTGTGGTGGCACGTGCCTATAATCCCAGCTACTTGGGAGGCTGAGGCAGGAGAATTGCTTGAGCCTAGGATGCAAAGGTTGCAGTGAGCCAAGATTGCACCACTGCACTCCAGCCTGGGTGACAGAGGGAGACTCCATCTCAAAAATAAACAAACAAATAAATACATAAACAAATGGAATGAACATTAGAATCTCTTTCTTATCAGTTTATTCAATATAGTGCTCCTCCTGCATTTAGATCTTGAGCTTACAGCATATTTTAAATTTTTGCTATATTAATAAAAAACATCTTGGGACTACCTTTTACATTTTTCCTAGATGTGAAACTTTTCCTATGATTAATGTGTATTTTTTATTTAATTTTTCAACTTCATGGGATTCTGCAAAATTCTTATGAGGATCCCTATTTCCTAGAAGACCATACTAAACTGAGATTAAAGGCAGAATTTTCAGAACATAAACCGTGTGTTTTACAGAAACATTCTAGTATTATAGGAACTTCTTATTCCTGTTCTCATCACACAAATTAATGGTGTATATTGTCCTCATGATCTTTCTGCACATTTTATCTGCGTCATGTAACAGCCACGGGATGCCATTGTTCATGAAATAGGAAGTTCTTAACCTCAAAGCATCTTAATGAAAGGTTGGCAGAGGCTGCAAGGCCGCTACAACTGACCGACAATGTGCATCTCATTTTTATGTTTTGACTTTATGTGGGGAGCTTTCAGTTAACTGTGATGAGCTCCAACCTGCCTCAGAAGAAGTAACTACAAGGTAATTCAGCTCGGTACCATCTGCTTAGTTTCCGGCAGATTATCTTGGCCTAGGAAACTTTTACGTTTGCTGTTACAGAAGTTTTTTTCACAACGATACAATTGAAGTAATCATTCCTTTTTTCTGTTGCAATTTCAGTGTTTCTATTGTTCAATGTTTTGGGGTTCGTCCCATCTGCACAGGGTGGCCCATGGTGATGCTATGTGGATGTGCGTTGAGTAAGTTGATTAAGAGGTTTAGATACCAAAGTAGAATTTCATGTTTTTATATTTTTTCTTTAACTATAGTAATAGAAAGGCTAAATAGAAAGACACTTTAAACAGAACATGTGCCATGAACGTGCTATTTAAATAGAGCATTTAAATAGAACATTTCTTTAAATAGAATATTTAATATTCTAATTTACATATTTAATATTTAAGTAGAAAAATATTCTTTGAATGGAACATTTGTCATGAAAGGCTAAATAGAGACACTTTAGGTAGAACGTTTGTCATGAATGTGCCTTGTTTATGAAGCTGAGCTGAGAGGGGCTGTGCACTTGGCCAGAGACTCTTCTTCCAGTGATTAATAGAATCTTTCATACCTGGGAAAACCTGAGGTGTATTAAAGGAGTTCTTGTTCTTAAAGAGTGATCATATCGTACAGAGATATTTTAACACATAATTATGTTCACACAGGTACTTAAACATCAAAAGCAATCAGGAAATCTCTGCTGAAATGCAAAGGAAATGACATAAAGTTGCAAATAACACCATATGCAATAAAATGTTGTATATTTTATTCTGAGTCACCTAGACCATGCGAAGATTTAAAATGGATTAAAGACAGACATTGTGTCAAACCTGGTAAAGATTTCGTGACAGATGACCTTGAGCTTTACAACATTCACCTAGAATCGTCATTTATATAACGTGGGCAAAGACAGATCTCCTTAAATTCATTCTAAATCTTTTGCAACATCTTTGAAAATCTACTTCTAATAAAAACTCAGTTTAAAACTATGCCATTTTATGCTAAATTAATTGTGATTTTTTTTTTTTTTTTTTTTTTTTTTTTGAGACAGTGTCTTGCTTTGTCGCCCAGGCTGGAGTGCAGTGGCGCGATCTCGGTTCACTGCAAGCTGTGCTCCCCGGGTTCACGCCATTCTCCTGCCTCAGCTTCCCGAGTAGCTGGGACTACAGGTGCCTGCCACCACACCTGGCGAATTTTTTGTATTTTTGGTAGAGATGGGGTGTCACTGTGTTAGCCAGGATGGTCTCAGTCTCCTGACCTTGTGATCCACCCTCCTTGGCCTCCCAAAGTGCTGGGATTACAGGCCTGAGCCACCGTGCCCAGCCTAATTTTGATATTTCTTAAAACAAAGTTTTTAAGATACTAGAGTGCCCCATTGATAGTATTTATTTTTATTTTTTATTTTTTTTGAGAAACAGTTTTGGTCTGTCGCCCAGGCTGGAGTGCAGTGACATGATCTCGGTTCACTGCGACCCCTGCCTCCTGGGTTCAAGCGATTCTCTGGCATCAGCCTCCTGAGTAGTTGGGATTGCAGGTACCCACCACCATGCCGGGCTAATTTTTGTATTTTTAGTAGAGACAGGGTTTCACCATGTTGGCCAGGCTGGTCTCGAACTCCTGACCTCAGGTGATCTACCCACCCTGGCCTCTGAAAGTGCTGGGATTATAGGTGTGAGCCACCGCTTCCAGCCCAGTATTTTTAAAATATGAAGAAAAATGTCAAGTTCTATCTTTATGTGTTTTACAAAAGAGCAAAACAAAAATAAAAATTCTGAGTGTCTTTTCATGGTGACTTAGAAGAATTCTGTGAATGTCTGGCCTGTGCATATTTTTGTCCAACTAAAATTATAATCATTTAAAACATACAGATCATTATTTTCTTGAAAAAGGGTACACACGTGGAGGAAAAGTGCCTTCTGTATAACTTGATAGGGTGTTTTGTAATCTTCTAAATTTTCAAGGCTGTACATTTATGTCACGTTTCCATTAGGTGGCACTGTGCTAATAGTGATAGAGCAAGTTCTCTCAGAGCTCATATAAGCTTTTTTTTTTTTTTTCTCAAGTCTCACTTTATTTCATTAGTTTCTAAAATGCTGTTACTTAAGATATTTGGGTGGTTTTATGGCTCGGGGTGCCAGAGAAGCAGATGCTGTTTTCGCCGTTAGTCTTAGGATCCGGAATCAGCAGCCCCGGACACCTGAGACAGGGGGTGCGGGCCGTGTCCCCTCCACAGGTGGAGACAGTCAGGTTCGGCTTGAAAGAGGAATTCCCCGAGGGAGTGAGCCAAGAAGGACGATTGGCTGTCTTGTCACAGAGGCAGCAGGGCTTCAGGAAGGTCCTGAGGGAGAATGAAGGGTTCTGTGGTCTCTAACACAGCCCCTGGCTGAGATCGCCGTCCTCTCATTCCACCCTGGTCTGCTGGTTGGGACCACGGGCAGCGAGTCCACGGCAGGACTCCCGAGCAGTGGCTGTCGCCGGTCACCCCGGACGGCTCAGGGCAACACGGACCGTGGCGCCCCAGGAAAGGCGCCCACAGCCACAGCCAGCCTGGATGGGGCCCCTGGAGCGTGGGGTCTCGAACACCACCCGTCAGGGCTGAAGCCCACTTCCCTCAAAGGTGACAAGTGTGGCCGAGAGTCACAGAGCCTCAGGCCGAAGAGATGGTGCTGTCACTGGGGACGCACCGTACAAACACACATGGTAATCCACTGCGTTGAGCGCCTGTCTCAAAGGCGTGATAGAGTTTCCGCTTCGGCCTGCGGTGCTGTGGGATTAACCTGATTAATATCGTCCATTGCATGTGATTTTCGATGCAGGAGAAAATGTTATTTTGCCTAAAGATGTAAATATATAAAAATAGCCAAATCAGAGACAGGGACTTGAATTCTGGGTCATTTTAAATACTAGTTAAAAGCTTTAAATGGCTAAACGTATTTTTAATACTGGGTCTCATTTATGTATTTATTTATTGCATATGGAATGATCTTGCTTAGATATCTATTTGGCACTTATTTAAATAATCTATTTGTTCGTTAAATATATGTTCCATAATAGGAAGCTTATTAAAAGAGTTTACTATAGTCATTAGGTCTGCAAAAGACATAAAAATAATAGTTTGTCTATAGTAGATAAAATACTAAGAATAATTTCACCTTTCTCCTACAAAATAATCCATCTAAAACCCAAGTATAGGCCGGGCTCAGTGGCTCATGCCTGTAATCCCAGCACTTTGGGAGGCCGAGGTGGGCGGATCACCTGAGGTCAGGAGTTCGAGACCAGCTTGAGCAATATGGTGAAACCCCGTCTCTACTAAAATTACAAAAAGTAGCTGGGCGTGGTGGTGGGCATCTGTAGTACCAGCTACTTGGGAGGCTGGGGCAGGAGAATCGCTTGAAGCCAGGAGGCGGAGGTTGCAGTGAGCCGAGATCGCGCCCTTACACTCCAGCCCGGGCGACAGTGCGAGACTCCGTCTCAAAACAAAAAACAAAAAACAAACAAAAAAACCCCCAAAAAATCAAAACCCCAGAATGGTAGCTATTTCATGTGAGTGAGCATGGGGAACCCCCGATGTCTCTGGGTCATGAAACCACAAGAATGAAAGGGCTGGGAAGGCCCCCGGCAGCCCCCATGTGCGTGAGTTAGGGCACCCAGCTCTTCCGGAAGGTAACTCAGGCTGTGAGAACCCAGGGAACAAGTCAGCATCGGGGTGAACCAGAAGCCCCCTTGGATCCAGAGTCATTTTGGAACGTGAGCCCTGCCCTTTGCCAGGGATGTAGAAGGAGTTCTGGGGTGTTTCGCGAGTGTGGTGTCGTCACACCCTGGGTGCTGGATGGGCATCCTCATTGTCAGCTCGGCAGTGACCAGGCAGATAGAGCCACACGTTCTCATCAGGAACCTCTTCATTGTCTTGGGCTGGGCTACAGGATTCCTCACAGAGAAGTCAAGTCGCCAGTGGCTCTCTTTCCAGTGACTGCCCATTTCTCCGTTCCATACATATTTTCCAGACATGGTGTGTGCACGGATGGGCTGGAAGCTGCAGGACTTTCAGTCTGGTTTGTCCTGCAGCTAAAAGACCACAGACATGTGGCAACTGGCCCCGTCCCCAACTCACTGCCTCGGAACCTGCATTTCTGTCGGTTCTCCTGGCCGCTCACATGCACGGTACAGCCTGAGGAGCCCTGTCTGGAGTGTGTTATTGCAACCTGCCAATCCTTAGTGCCAAGGAAGGGGCAAATGTCACTTGCAAAGCTGCAATTTTCTCTGCTTATCTCTTTTTGAGGATAAAATAGGTGAAGGCCATGGCAGCAGGGAGAAGGCTTATGGTTTATAGCTAATTCACCCGGGGAAAGTAAAAGTGCATTCTGTAATTAATCACATCTCCAGTTTGCCCATTATCCTGATCCTTCTCCTCAGATTCCTCTATAGCCCCTGGCCTGTCCATTTTGTGGCTCCTTAACTACCAGGTCAGAGGTAGATGAGATGAAGAAGGGAGATGAGAGGCATTCAGATCGACCCGTTTTATTATTTCCTTGGAGGCTCTTGGAGACTGCTTGATGAGTGAATGCTGAGAATAATGGGTGGAATGCATTAGCGGGTGGCTCGTGCCATGATTAATCTGATTCCTGTCCCATTAATGCTACTAATTGGCTACCCCAAGAAGAAAATGTCCCTCAGCTTCAGGGTGTGGGAAAGCGACGCTACCATGTTGTTAGTAGCCGAGATCATTAACTGTTGCCTTTTTTATTTGCCTTTTCTCGAACCAACCAGACCAACGACATTGCTGTGAACACCTCTGTAGAATTAGCTTCGGCTTGGGCTCTCGGAATCAGCCGTTACTCCCCCAACAATAATCTTTTGGAAATCCCCAAAGCCTCTGTAATTATGGAATTTGACGAAGGCTCTGTTGTGGATTTTGTTTCTTCTCTCTTCTCTCTCCCATTCCTATCCCTGTCAGTGCCCGGAAAAGCCGAAAGGATCCAGGAAAACACTGCAGGAGAACACTGGTAAAGTGGTCCTCAGTGAGGGCAGCTCAGGAGCTTGGAGCAGGAGGGAGAGCTCCCCTGACTCATCACAGCACAGGGCACTGGAACCCCAGGAACAGTGCTCAGTTCCTTCCACGGGAGCTCACGTGGAAAATAATCTCACCATGCCAGCTGCAGTTCTCAGACCCTCTGATCCATAACCCAGCACGGCGGGGCGTGGTAGCCTCACAGTGTTTGTTTTAAATTGTGCCATCCTTGGATTCCCCATTTTGGTCTCCGTCCTCCTACTCTCTCCCTGCTTCAGACAGAGGTGTCAGACAAAAGGGCTCAACTTGGTATCACTGGAAACCCGGCCAGTAGCTCATCAGCTCGTCTTCCAGGCAGGTTGCTGCGATCCTGGCAGGCCTGACGGTGAGGCCTGTGAGCTGGAATGAGCTGCGCTGAGAAACTGACCTCTCCAGTGGGCAGGATGGAGCCACCCATTGAGGCTGAAGACTCGTGTGTGTTCTCATGATCCGATGACCCAGGGAAAAAATAAAACCAAATCAAACCAACCAACCCTGTCTGCCAGGAGGACAGAAAGAATGCCCCAAATTTACTATTTTACTTTTATTTTTTGAGACATGGTCTCGCTCTGTCACCCAGGCTGGAGGGCAGTGGCACCGTCATGGCTCACTGCAGCCTCAACCTCCTGGGCTCAAGTGACCCTTTGCCTCAGTCCCCTGAGTAGCTGGGACTACAGGTGTGTGCCACCACACGCGGCTAATTTTTTGTATTTTTTGTACAGATGGGATTTTGTCTTGTTACCTAAGCTGGTCTTGATCTCCTGGCTTCGATCTGCCTGCCTCAGACTGCCAGAGTGCTGAGATTACAGGTATGAGCCACCGTGCCTGGTCAGAATGTCCCAAATTTATTTAAGGAAAGAATCAGTTTGGCATTTTTTTAAAAAATTGGTGCAGGAAAATACACACGTTGGGTATGACACCTTTAAAGCTGGATATTTTTCTCTGTCTTGTCTCAGGTGTCTTTCAGATGTCCCTTTATTGTCTAAACTTCTGACGACTTGTGCTCAGTGTCTGGCAATCTTGAGAACTCTTCTCTGCGTGCAAAGTCGCATATTTTTAACACAAAGGAAATGAGCAATCTTTTGGGATGCTTTTATGGGTATCTAAAAAGTCCATTATTTTGCCTGTTTTGATGTCCTTATCAGGAACACAAAGCAGAAACAACTTCCTAAACAAATCTCAGCTACTTGAGACGTCGTATGTTCTATCTTTTCACACTTCTTTTTTGTTAGCTACATTATATCTTATAGCAAATTCATTTCTTGGCCCTTTGTTCACAGAGCAATGCAGAACATCTTAGTCCCTGTGATAATAATAGTAATTATCAGTTATGCAGAGCCTTGCCTCGCCAAAGCCCTTGGCAATCATCAATTAGCTAATTCAAACAGCATCCCTGTGAGAGGACTGCTCTTGAGAATATTATAATGCACAACCATTATGTGCTGACCTTTGACTTTGCTGTGAGAAGGACCAGGTTGACGGCTGAATTTAAAGGCTGGTATAATTTCCATTCATCCTAGTGGATGCTTCAGTGAGTGCATCTTTTCAAGTTAAATATAGTTAATAAATACACATTTTGAAGTGGTTTATATACATTTCTGTGCCTTCGTAACCAAACAGGTCTTATTTCTCCTGCATCAATGCACACTTTGTCTTACCCATTTTACGTTGCAAATGTATATTCCAGGAACATTTCCTAAGTGCCTATTTTGAGCCAGCACAATGCTGGCCTAGGACCTCTGAATACAAATATAGGAGAAACACAATTCTGTTTTCAAGAAATTCACGCGCTAGTTTTGAGACGCATAGACCAATGGTCATAATACAACCTATGCGATCCACACAAAAGTTAAGTAAAAAGCGCAGTGGGGACTCTGGGGTGTGATCAGTAGGACATCACATGTTCACGTCAAGAGGGTGGGTCGTGTTCACTGTGCCCTCTGATGCCACCAGAAGGCAACAGAAGTAAATAACACATCAAAACTCAGAGGCCCAATAGAGCAGGGCTTATATGAGAATTTTACGCATTAGAAACAAATATGAGAACAGAAAAAAGTTGAAAGTTAATGAGTGAAGTGCACACCTTCAGATGTAAGAAAAAGAGCAAGACCCAACCTCATAAAAGTTGGAAGAAGGCAACAGTAATGACAAAGGCCTTAAAGCTTCATCAATAGCAGAGGTAAAGCAAAGCCTTAACAGAGCCAGAAGTTTTTAAAACGACCGACGAAAGGAGCATGATTTTGGCAACTTTGATCGAGATGAGAAAGGGAAAGGAAAATTGGTGATATTAGAGAATAACATGTTGGCATAATCGCAATTGTATGAGATATCAAAATTAGAAAATATGAAAAATTTTGTTAGTTTTTAGTAATCCAAGATAAAATGGAATACTCTATAAATCTCAGATAAAATGCAAATCTTATAAAAGTAGAAAAATTATTAAATAGTATATTTTGCCAAAAGTGAATTAAGAATGTAGAGGTCTGAATAATTTTCTCAAGGAAATTGAGTTAGTAGTTTAAAAGATTGCCACAGGGATTTTCCAGCCCCAGATAAGTTTACAGGTGAGTGCTAGCACTCAGATAATTACATGGATGACTTCTGCCAAGATTCTAAAGACAGTTTGTGTGAGTCTGTTCTCACATTGCTATAAAGAAATACCCGAAACTGGGTAATTCACAAAGAAAGGAGGTTTAACTGACTCACAGTTCCACCTGCCTGAGGAAGCCTCAGGAAACTTACAATCATGGTGAAAGGCACATCTTCACAGGGTGGCAGGAGAGAGAAGGAGTGCCAGCAGGGGAAATGCCAGATGCTTATAAAACCATCAGATCTCTTGAGAACTCACTCACTATCACGAGAACAGCATGGGGGAAACGGCCCCCAGGATTCAATTACCTCCCACCACGTCCTCCTATGACATGTGGGGTTTATGGGGAATACAATTCAAGATGAGATTTGGGTGGGGACACAGCCAAAGGATATCACAGTTCCAATTTTACACAAGTGGAAAAACAAAACAGAATAGAAGGAGGGGGCATTTTATTCACCTAATTTAATGAGCAGTGCAATCTCGATGCCAAAGTCACAGGACAGTAGTAGAAAAGAAAATGGCAGGACAATCTCAATGATATGTGCAATTCCAAAACCAAAAGCATAGTGTTAGCAAAGGGAAGTCAACATCATTTTACAGATATGCACATTTCCAAGTCAGTTTGGTTCTCTACTGCAAAGATGGAGGAGTAGTAGAAAACATTTAAATGTTATTCAGCTCAATAACAGATTAAAGAGAAAATGTGATTATCTCAATTGATTCAGCAGCTTTCACTTATTATATATAATTCTATAATTTCACTTATTAATTATTAATATAATTAATAAAAGAGAGCTCTTAGTACAAGAAGACTTTCTTTTTTTTAAATTTATTATTATTATACTTTAAGTTTTAGGGTACATGTGCACATTGTGCAGGTTAGTTACATATGTATACGTGTGCCATGCCGGTGCGCTGCACCAACTAACTCGTCATCTAGCATTAGGTATATCTCCCAATGCTATCTCTCCTCTCTCCCCCGACCCCACAACAGTCCCCAGAGTGTGATGTTCCCCTTCCTGTGTCCATGTGTTCTCATTGTTCAATTCCCACCTATGAGTGAGAATATGCGGTGTTTGGTTTTTTGTTCTTGCAATAGTTTACTGAGAATGATGATTTCCAATTTCATCCATGTCCCTACAAAGCACATGAACTCATCATTTTTTATGGCTGCATAGTATTCCATAGTGTATATGTGCCACATTTTCTTAATCCAGTCTATCATTGTTGGACATTTGGATTGGTTCCAAGTCTTGGCTATTGTGAATAATGCCGCAATAAACATACATGTGCATGTGTCTTTATAGCAGCATGATTTATAGTCCTTTGGGTATATACCCAGTAATGGGGTGGCTGGGTCAAATGGTATTTCTAGTTCTAGATCCCTGAGGAATCGCCACACTGACTTCCACAATGGTTGAACTAGTTTACAGTCCCACCAACAGTGTAAAAGTGTTCCTCTTTCTCCACATCCTCTCCAGCACCTGTTGTTTCCTGACTTTTTAATGATGGCCATTCTAACTGGTGTGAGATGGTATCTCATTGTGGTTTTGATTTGCATTTCTCTGATGGCCAGTGATGGTGAGCATTTCTTCATGTGATTTTTGGCTGCATAAATGTCTTCTTTTGAGAAGTGTCTGTTCATGTCCTTCGCCCTCTTTTTGATGGAGTTGTTTGTTTTTTTCTTGTAAATTTGTTTGAGTTCATTGTAGATTCTGAATATTAGTCCTTTGTCAGATGAGTAGATTACAAAAATTTTCTCCCATTTTGTAGGTTGCCTGTTCACTCTGATGGTAGTTTCTTTTGCTGTGCAGAAGCTCCTTAGTTTAATTAGATCCCATTTGTCAATTGTGGCTTTTGTTGCCATTGCTTTTTGTGTTTTAGACATGAAGTCCTTGCCCATGCCTATGTCCTGAATGGTAATGCCTAGGTTTTCTTCTAGGGTTTTTATGGTTTTAGGTCTAACGTTTAAGTCTTTAATCCATCTTGAATTGATTTTTGTATAAGGTGTAAGGAAGGGATCCAGTTTCAGCTTTCTACATATGGCTAGCCAGTTTTCCCAGCACCATTTATTAAATAGGGAATCCTTTCCCCATTGCTTGTTTTTCTCAGGTTTGTCAAAGATCAGATAGTTGTAGATATGCGGCGTTATTTCTGAAGGCTCTGTTCTGTTCCATTGATCTATATCTCTGTTTTGGTACCAGTACCATGCTGTTTTGGTTACTGTAGCCTTGTAGTATAGTTTGAAGTCAGGTAGTGTGATGCCTCCAGCTTTGTTCTTTTGGCTTAGGATTGACTTGGCTATGCGGGCTCTTTTTTGGTTCCATATGAACTTTAAAGTAGTTTTTTCCAATTCTGGGAAGAAAGGCATTGGTAGCTTGATGGGGATGGCATTGAATCTGTAAATTACCTTGGGCAGTATGGCCATTTTCACAAAACTGATTCTTCCTACCGATGAGCATGGAATGTTCTTCCATTTGTTTGTATCCTCTTTTATTTCCTTGAGCAGTGGTTTGTAGTTCTCCTTGAAGAGGTCCTTCACATCCCTTGTAAGTTGGATTCCTAGGTATTTTCTTCTCTTTGAAGCAATTGTGAATGGGAGTTCACTCATGATTTGGCTCTGTGTTTGTCTTTTGTTGGTGTATAAGAATGCTTGTGATTTTTGTACATTGATTTTGTATCCTGAGACTTTGCTGAAGTTGCTTATCAGCTTTAGGAGATTTTGGGCTGAGACAATGGGGTTTTCTAGATATACAATCATGTCATCTGCAAACAGGGACAATTTGACTTCCTCTTTTCCTAATTGAATACCCTTTATTTCCTTCTCCTGCCTAATTGCCCTGGCCAGAACTTCCAACACTATGTTGAATAGGAGTGGTGAGAGAGGGCATCCCTGTCTTGTGTCAGTTTTCAAAGGGAATGCTTCCAGTTTTTGCCCATTCAGTTTGATATTGTCTGTGGGTTTGTCATAGGTAGCTCTTATTATTTTGAGATATGTCCCATGAATACCTAATTTATTGAGAGTTTTTAGAATGAAGGGTTGTTGAATTTTGTCAAAGGCCTTTTCTGCATCTATTGAGATAATCATGTGGTTTTTGTCTTTGGTTCTGTTTATATGCTGGATTACATTTATTGATTTGCATATATTGAACCAGCATTGCATCCCAGGGATGAAGCCCACTTGATCATGGTGGATAAGCTTTTTGATGTGCTGCTGGACTCGGTGTGCCAGTATTTTATTGAGGATTTTTGCATCAATGTTCATCAAGGATATTGGTCTAAAATTCTCTTTTTTGGTTGTGTCTCTGCCCGCCTTTGGTATCAGGGTGATGCTGGCCTCATAAAATGAGTTAGGGAGGATTCCCTCTTTTTCTATTGATTGGAATAGTTTCAGAAGGAATGGTACCAGTTCCTCCTTGTACCTCTGGTAGAATTCGGCTGTGAATCCATTTGGTCCTGGACTCTTTTTGGTTGGTAAGCTATTGATTATTGCCACAATTTCAGATCCTGTTATTGGTCTATTCGGAGATTCAACTTCTTCCTGGTTTAGTCTTGGGAGAGTGCATGTGTCGAGGAATGTATCCATTTCTTCTAGATTTTCTAGTTTATTTGCGTAGAGGTGTTTGTAGTATTCTCTGATGGTAGTTTGTATTTCTGTGGGATCGGTGGTGATATCCCCTTTATCATTTTTTATTGCGTCTATTTGATTCTTCTCTCTTTTTTTCTTTATTAGTCTAGCTAGTGGTCTATCAATTTTGTTGATCCTTTCAAAAAACCAGCTCCTGGATTCATTAATTTTTTGAAAGGTTTTTTGTGTCTGTATTTCCTTCAGTTCTGCTCTGATTTTAGTTATTTCTTGACTTCTGCTAGCTTTTGAATGTGTTTGCTCTTGCTTTTCTAGTTCTTTTAATTGTGATGTTAGGGTGTCAATTTTGGATCTTTCCTGCTTTCTCTTGTGGGCATTTAGTGCTATAAATTTCCCTCTACACACTGCTTTGAATGCGTCCCAGAGATTCTGGTATGTTGTGTCTTTGTTCTCGTTGGTTTCAAAGAACATCTTTATTTCTGCCTTCATTTTGTTTTGTACCCCGTAGTCATTCAGGAGCAGGTTGTTTAGTTTCCATGTAGTTGAGCAGTTTTGAGTGAGATTCTTAATCCTGAGTTCTAGTTTCATTGCACTGTGGTCTGAGAGATAGTTTGTTATAATTTCTGTTCTTTTACATTTGCTGAGGAGAGCTTTACTTCCAAGTATGTGGTCAATTTTGGAATAGGTGTGGTGTGGTGCTGAAAAAAATGTATATTCTGTTGATTTGGGGTAGAGAGTTCTGTAGATGTCTATTAGGTCTGCTTGGTGCAGAGCTGAGTTCAATTCCTGGGTATTGTTGTTGACTTTCTGTCTCGTCGATCTGTCTAATGTTGACAGTGGGGTGTTAAAGTCTCCCATTATTAATGTGTGGGAGTCTAAGTCTCTTTGTAGGTCACTCAGGACTTGCTTTATGAATCTGGGTGCTCCTGTATTGGGTGCATATATATTTAGGATAGTTAGCTCTTCTTGTTGAATTGATCCCTTTACCATCATGTAATGGCCTTCTTTGTCTCTTTTGATCTTTGTTGGCTTAAAGTCTGTTTTATCAGAGACTAGGATTGCAACCCCTGCCTTTTTTTGTTTTCCATTTCCTTGGTAGATCTTCCTCCATCCTTTTACTTTGAGCCTATGTGTGTCTCTGCACGTGAGATGGGTTTCATGAATACAGCACACTGATGGGTCTTGACTCTTTATCCAATATGCCAGTCCGTGTCTTTTAATTGGAGCATTTAGTCCATTTACATTTAAAGTTAATATTGTTATGTGTGAATTTGATCCTGTCATTATGATGTTAGCTGGTTATTTTGCTCATTAGTTGATGCAGTTTCTTCCTAGTCTCGATGGTCTTTACATTTTGGCATGATTTTGCAGCGGCTGGTACCGGTTGTTCCTTTCCATGTTTAGCGCTTCCTTGAGGAGCTCTTTTAGGGCAGGCCTGGTGGTGACAAAATCTCTCAGCATATGCCTGTCTGTAAAGTATGTTATTTCTCCTTCACTTATGAAGCTTAGTTTGGCTGGATATGTAATTCTGGGTTGAAAACTTTTTTCTTTAAGAATGTTGAATATTGGCCCCCACTCTCTTCTGGCTGGTAGGGTTTCTGCCGAGAGATCCACTGTTAGTCTGATGGGCTTCCCTTTGTGGGTAACCCGACCTTTCTCTCTGGCTGCCCTTAACATTTTTTCCTTCCTTTCAACTTTGGTGAATCTGACAATTATGTGTCTTGGAGTTGCTCTTCTCGAGGAGTATGTTTGTGGCGTTCTCTGTATTTCCTGAATCTGAATGTTGGCCTGCCTTGCTAGATTGGGGAAGTTCTGCTGGATAATATCCTGCAGAATGTTTTCCAACTTGGTTCTATTCTCCCCATCACTTTCAGGTACACCAATCAGACGTAGATTTGGTCTTTTCACGTAGTCCCATATTTCTTGGAGGCTTTGCTCATTTCTTTTTATTCTTTTTTCTCTAAACTTCCCTTCTCACTTCATTTCATTCACTTCATCTTCCATCGCTGATACCCTTTCTACCAGTTGATAGCATCGGCTCCTGAGGCTTCTGCATTCTTTACGTAGTTCTCGAGCCTTTGTTTTCGGCTCCATCAGCTCCTTTAAGCAGTTCTCTGTATTGGTTATTCTAGTTATACATTCTTCTAAACTTTTTTCATAGTTTTCCACTTCTTTGCCTTTGGTTTGAATTTCCTCCCGTAGCTCGGAGTAATTTGATCGTCTGAAGCCTTCTTCTCTCAGCTCATCAAAGTCATTCTCCGTCCAGCTTTGTTCCGTTGCTGGTGAGGAACTGCGTTTCTTTGGAGGAGGAGAGGCGCTCTGCTTTTTAGAGTTTCCAGTTTTTCTGCTCTGTTTTTTCCCCATCTTTGTGGTTTTATCTACTTTTGGTCTTTGATGATGGTGATGTACAGATGGGTTTTGGTGTGGATGTCCTTTCTGTTTGTTAGTTTTCCTTCTAACAGACAGGACCCTCAGCTGCAGGTCTGTTGGAGTACCCTGCCGTGTGAGGTGTCAGTGTGCCCCTGCTGGGGGGTGACTCCCAGTTAGGCTGCTTGGGGGTCAGGGGTCAGAGACCCACTTGAGGAGGCAGTCTGCCGGTTCCCATATCTCCAGCTGCGTGCTGGGAGAACCACTGCTCTCTTCAAAGCTGTCAGACAGGGACATTTAAGTCTGCAGAGGTTACTGCTGTCTTTTTGTTTGTCTGTGCCCTGCCCCCAGAGGTGGAGCCTACAGAGGCAGGCAGGCCTCCTTGAGCTGTGGTGGGCTCCACCCAGTACGAGCTTCCCGGTTGCTTTGTTTACCTAAGCAAGCCTGGGCAATGGCACGCCCCCCCCACCCCCAGCCTCGCTGCCTCCTTGCAGTTTGATCTCAGACTGCTGTGCTAGCAATCAGCGACACTCCATGGGTCTAGGACCCTCCCAGCCAGGTGTGGGATATAATCTCCTGGTGCGCTGTTTTTTAAGCCCATCGGAAAAGCGCAGTATTCGGGTGGGAGTGACCTGATTTTCCAGGGGCTGTCTGTCACCCCTTTCTTTGACTAGGAAAGGGAACTCCCTGACCCCTTGCACTTCCCGAGTAAGGCAATGACTCGCCCTGCTTCGGCTCGCGCACGGTGCATGCACCCACTGACTTGCGCCCACTCTCTGACACTCCCTAGTGAGATGATCCCGGTACCTCAGATGGAAATGCAGAAATCACCCGTCTTCTGCGTCGCTCACACTGGGAGGTGTAGACCGGAGCTGTTCCTATTCCGCCATCTTGGCTCCTCCCCACAAGAAGACTTTCTTAACCTCATAAGAGATAACTACAGAAGTCCCACAACAAAAAGAGTCTCAATAGAAAATATAGATGCATTTATTTAAGTAAGGAAGACAAACAAGAATGTCTCCTTTCATGGTACCCCTGTAACATTTTATTGGAGGGCCTAGCAAGTGTTTCTGCAAACAAACAGCAATCATAAGATATAATTTAAAAATCATATGAGCAACAATGTTATCAAGTATCTTGGCATAAAACTAATGATATATGTGCAAAACTGTACACAAATGTGCCAAACATTTATTAAAAAGCATTAACGATTATCTTAAGATATTCCACATCCACGGGTAGTACTCAATATTAAAGTGCTTTCAAGTGTACCCCCAATAATCTATAGATTAATTTTAATTCCAAAATCCAAGCAGTGTTTTTCATATAGATGTTGCACAGATTTTAGTATTTACAAGGAGTAAAAGGTTAAAAATAATCAAGATAATATTGATAAGGAGAATAAAGCAGAGAGAGTCGCAACACCCGTCATGAAGTTAAAATAGTCAAGTCAGTGAGGACTGATGCCGGGGACAGAGAGCCCCGCCATGTATGCAGGTGTTTGCAGCCCCCATGTGGTTAAATAAATGACTTACTCCTAGGTGTGTAGTCCAGAGACAGGAAACACAGGTTCATACAAAAACTTGTACAAACATGTTCATAAGCAGCAATATTTATAATAGCCAAATAGTGGAAATAACCCAAATTCTCAGCAGATAATGAATGGATAGATAAAGGAAATGTGGTATAACCTTAGGATGGAAGATGATTTGGCAATGAAAATAAAATACTGATCTGTGCTATGTTGGATAACCCTGAAAAGATCATGTTAGTGAAAAAGCCAGTGACAAAAGGCCTTGTATTGTGTGATTCCATTTATATGAAATGTCCAGTATCAGCAAATCTATAGGGACAGAAAGTAGATTAGTGGTTTCCTAGGACTAGAGTGGGGGATCCAGAGATTGAGCGGCCATGGCTGAGTACCATGTTTCTTTTCCAGGTAGTGAAAATGTTTTATAACTGGTAGTGGTGATGGATGCATAATTCTGTGAATATACTAGAAACCATTCAATTGTACACCTTACATGGGTGAATTCTACGGAATGTAAATTTCCTTCTTAATAAGACTGTGAAAACAGAACAAAACAAACCAACTCAACAAAACCAATGAACCAACCAACCAATAAACAAGGAGCTCATGAGGGGAAATCTAAGTAAAATCAAGGCCTTATGCACAAGATGGGTGGGGAAGGAAGAGTGCCTGTGTGAACTGTATTGTTGCAGGGGAGAAAGGGATGCTGATGGCCTCAAGTTTTCAGCTAAGGCTTTGTCAAAACAGCACCCATAGCTGATGTGAAAACAAACCCCAAAGTCATTATTTTGAGGGATTCAAATAGGAAATTTCTTCAAAGCACCTTGATAATTAAGAAACAAGCCTGATGGGATTATCTGAAATCTACAAACTCTGATGGGATTGTTGATTCCCATTGTTAGTATAATTTGTAAGAATAGTCCAACTTTCAAGGGTTTTGTTCGTTACGGTTTTCCTCATTTCTAGTTAGAATAAATTACATTGCTATATTATTCTCCTTAAATCTTGGCTTTTTAACAGAATAGCAGCTGCAAGGAAAGTTAATTTTGGCTTGTTTCAGAGCTCCTAGACAGCAATCCTTCTTACTCCTTTGCCTCTTATCTGCACCAATTTCCGGGTAAAATACAGGCCAGCAAATCCTAGAATTTGCATTCATCTGAAGAAGTAGAATGGGTTTAATGTAAATTAACACATGGATAAATTTGAACATAATGCAATTTTGCACTGATAAAATCTCCTCATAGTGCCATATCTCACTGTAATGATAAGAGAACATAATATGATATCACATTTTGTAGTAATATGTGTATGATAATTGTGCTTTCCAGAAATATTCTACCTAATTGGATATATTATGGCAATTTAGAAATAAGCATGCTTGATATGCCAACAAGTGATACGGATCAAATTTTAAACATGAATGTTTGGAGAACAAATTTCTGTACACAAAACCCCATCTTCTCCTTCTCTCACAATGTAGAAATACAGCAACAAGATGGTTGTAGTGCTATTAAAAAGAAAGTTTTGGCTTTTTCTGGAACAAATTTTTGTGTAACGTGTAGTTGTCTTCTGTAAGAGAGGTTTATTAGAAATTTGTGCTTGTATCTGTAGATCAAATGAGAAACATCCTTAAGCAAAATTATCATTGTTATTATTTCTGATAGCCAAGAGAAATCAAATATCCAAGCAGGGTAATTGTCCAAAATTACTCTACGCACATGTTTTCTTAGCACTGGACTGAAAGCCCGCCCCAGTTGCAGGCCAGGATAAAAGAGCACTCCCATTCCACATCCAGGGCTGTCGATTGGTGTCTTCTCAGTGTTTGAAATCATCCACTGTGCATCCATTAATAAACTGTAAACTCTTTCAGGGCCGACGTTTTAGATTTTTAAAATCAATGCTGTCCTCCACACTAGAGTCTTTCCTGGCACAGGACTGAGAACCCCACAGAGCTCAAGATTGTGGACTCTGGAGCCCTGCTGCCTGAGATGCAGGTGTCGCTGGCTGGCTTTTGCTCAAGGGGTCATTTGTAGGATTAAATGGGAAAATGTATGAAAACACTTAGAACAGCACCTGGCCTGAGGTAAGAAATATACAAGGCTTGGGTATTTACAAATGCTAGTAACTTTTGTGTGTGTTGCTCCTATATCCTGCAAGCTTTATAAGCTCTCCCATCAACCTCTTTTGCTTCCATCTCACTCGCTGACTCATCTGCTTAGGTCCTGCCATTCCACCATGTGGGCCATCATCCTGACTCTCAAAGTATCCTCATGTGCATCTCTGGAATTCCCTTTAAGCTACTTCCTGTTAAATTTTTTTTTATTTTAAAATATTGAATTGTCAAATTAACATTGAATATTTTTAAGGTGTACAGTGTGATGATTTGATATGCATATACATTGTGTAGTGATTACCACAAACAAGTTAATTAAAACACCCATCACAAATTCCAATGCCATTCTTTACAAAAATAGAAAACATATTCTAAAATTTGCATGGAACCACAGAAGACCCTATATAGCCAAAGCAATTTTGAGAAAGAAGAATAAAGCTGGAGCCATCACATTTCCTGATTTCAAAGCATATCATGAAGCTACAGTATTCAAAACAGTGTGGCACTGGCATAAAAACAGATGCACAGACCAACGGAATAGAATAGAGTCTAGAAACAAACTCAGGTGTATGCTGTCCATTAATCTTTGACAAGGGCACCAAGAACACACAGTGTAGAAAAGAAAGTCTCTTCAACAAACAGTGTGACAGGAACTGGATGTCCACATGCAGAAGAAAAAAACTGGACTCTTATCTTGCATCATACACAAAAATCCACTGGAAATGGATAAAGGCTTAAGTATGAGATCTGAGACCACAAACCTTCTTGAAGAAAACTTAAGGGAAAGCTTCTTGGCATTAGTCTTGGCAATGGTTTTTTAGAGAAGACGCCAAAAGCACAGGTAATAAAAATGAAAACAAACAAGTGGAACTACATCAAACTAAAAAGCTCCTGCACAGCAGAACACTTTAACGTACTTGCTTTAACAGGAACCGGGCTCTCCCAGGCATTCAAGTCTTTCCCTGAAATCCTCTCAAGTCCTGGATTTTTTTTTTATTTCTTTAGCCCAGAAGTCCCCAACCTTTTTGGCATTAGGGACCGGTTTAGTGGGAGACAATTTTCCACGAACCCGGTGTGCAGGGGAATGGTTTAGGGGTGATTCAAGCACATTACATTTATTGTGCACATTATTTCTATTCTTATTACTTTGCAATATATAACAAAATAATTACACAACTCACCATTTTGCATAGAATCAGTGGGAGCCCTGAGTTTGTTTTCCTGCAACTAGATGGTCTCATCTGGGGGTGATGGGAGACAGCGACAGATCATCAGGCATTAGATCCTTGTAAGGAGCACATAACCTAGATCCCTCACATATGCCGTTTACCATAGGGTTCGCACTCCCATGAGAATCTAAGGCTGCCGCTGATCGGACAGGAGGAGGAGCTCAGGAGGTCATGTGAGCGATGGGGAGGGGCTGTAAATACAGAGGATGCCCCCACTCACCTCCTGCTCTGCAGCCCAGTTCCTCACAACAATAAAGGCTGAGGAAATGTAAGTGTCAATCAAGCAATGAAAAAAAAAAGGAATTGTACATCTCAAGAATAAAGACGTTTTAGATAAATAGAATGACCACAAATGCTCACTTGAAGACATAATCTTCTAAATGATGTACTTACGTGGAAAAAGTGATCTACAAAAGAAGTTTTAAAGGCAACAAAAATAGAGGATTTTGGGTATACTAAACACTGCATAGAGATATTACTGCCAACCTTGTGGGGTTAAAACTAATAATTCCATTTATTATATGGATGTGTGTATGTGTATAGACATACACATCTGAATAATCTTTATTGTGTGTACACACACATCCGTATAGTAAACACTGCATAGAAATATTAGTGCCAACCTTGTGGGGTTAAAAATAATTTAGAGCAACACTTAACGGACAACTGTGCCTTAGTCCAAGACTTCAGGTTTGCACAGGTCCTCTCATTTGGGATGAGATAGGAGAAGGGCAGTGGAAAGAGAGAGACAGGGGGCATGGAAATGCCAGTCAACAAGCATGCAAACATCAGTGTCTTTCATCACCTCTTGGACATCCTGAGCTCTTAGAAAGAGGAAATTTGAATATCACCTTTCTCTTACTTCCTCTGTTGTCTCTATTGAGGCAGCTGGAGATAAAGGCAGCTTCCCTGCAGGGAGTGGCGCCCATGGCGGGTCTTGCCCTGGTTGCTGTGTTGATGTGATGATTGGTTGTGGTCAGTTCATTCTTTCTTCCTTCCTCTACACCTGCTACTTGGCATTGTTTTACAAGGAAGTGCTACCCCTTCTACTCACTTATGTACATTTATTCCATTAACTATTTTAGGTATGGACTTGTGGGTATTTATCTTATTCTGCGGGTTATGATGCAATACTATCATTATTGATTTCCAATTGATCCAGCTTTGGTGACCGGGGGCCCCTCTGGCTTTGGAGTGACTCCAGTGTTCCTCCAAACATTCTCCCAGCCTTCTTTTTTTCCCCCTTTTTCAGGGGTGTGGGTATAGCCTTACTTTGCAGCACCACACGTTATTTCCAGACTCAGGTCGTGGAGTCAGCCACTTCTCCAAGCAGACCTGATCCCTTTTATAAGAGAATGGCTTTTATAAATCATGAATTTTACATAGGTGTGCTCATTGCTACTGAGGTATCATCATTTCTAGGCTGCTCAGTGGACAGTTGTGGAAATAAAGGCATGTATATTATTAACCTGTACACATACACACACTTCCGTATTTATTTCTATGTGTATCTATGTCTGTATCTATATCCATGTATCAGAGAGTGAGTCAATACCGACACTTCCAATTTTAATCCGACACTAGAGGAATCATTCCAGCAAGCCCCCTTCCTTATTTGTAACTTCCTTTTCTGACAGTGAGAACTGGACTCTCATTATCCACAATATATTTACTTATTTGTTCTATTCCTGGCATAGACACAAAGCGGGTTCAGAATTGCTGATGTATCCTTCTCGGAGAAGCAAATCTACTGAGCAGAGCTCAGCCTTTGTGCAGAGTCCTCTCTTCATCAGCCTCTTCTTAGTCTGTTCAGGCGGCTCTGACAAAGTATTACACACGGGGTGACTTGTCGACAGCAGACATTTATTTTGTGGAGGTTGAGGTTGGAGCTCAGGGTGCCAGCATGGTTGGCTTTGGGTTGGTTCAGGCTCAGGGCTTAAAGACTCTTGTGCTTTTTGGGATTGTTGTAAGTTTTTCTGCTATCGGTTTACGTGTTTTTTGTGAAGTTTACTTCTTTGTATTTGATCTTTGTGCTATTTTTTTCTACCTTTGTGTTCTCTGGCTCATTATAGTTTGGTATACAAAGGCTTTTGACTTTTATATGTTAATTTTATGTGTATTCTCATGATTTGTGGGAAATATATTCTACAGACTCACTACAAACCCTGGATTAGCAAACACCAAACCATTGCTCCTGAGGGAAATACTAGGTTAGATTCCTCTGAGCTTTTATCTCAACGTATTCTTCTACTGATCAATACACAAGCTTGTTTAATGTGTTTCTGTTTTACTTCCTGTTTATTGGCAACCAGCACTCTATTTATTATAATTATTATTTTATTATTTTTACTGTAGTCAGAACAGATAACAGAAGATGTATCTTTTTAACAAATTTTTAAGTGTGCAGTACGGTATCATTAAGTGAAAGCCAAATATTGTGCAGAAGATGTCTAGAACTTTTTCATCTTGCGTAAGTGAGACTTTGAAGAGAACCTGGAGGACATGATGGTAAGTGAAACGGCCAGTCATAGAAGAAAAATACTGTGTGAGTTTTCCTAATTGAGATATCTGAACTACTCAGATTTGTGGATGCAGAGAATAGAATGGTGGCTTCCAAAGGCTGGAGGAGGAAATGGAAGTTACTGTTGAATGTGTATTTCTGTTTAAAGACAACTGATTTAATATCTATTGTTGACTCCTTCTCTTTGAACTCATGGCCACCATCACTATAACTCCTGCCTGCTCGAGCAAAAGTCTTTTCCATAAAGCACGTAACAGCCTTCATGTACTTAGAAGCAGCCGTCAGCACTTCAGTATTGATTGGGGGCCACTTAAACAGTGAAATCACCAACATACACACTCACACATGCAAAAGCAGGGCACTACATCCACTGTGAAAAGGACACGCGTCTCACCGTGTGGAGCCTTGTTCAACCTCAGCTGGGCGGCTTGAGGCTTTCTGCCCTGTTCACCTGTGTGAGTGACCACCAGAGAGCCGTGGTGTACAATGTTATTATTTTATATGTATATAGATTGTATAGTGATTACCACAAACAAGTTAATGGGGCAGCGGTTGCAGAAAACAGTCTGGTGGTTCCTCAAAAAAACTGAAGATAGAACTACCATATAACCTGCCAGTCTCACTTCTGAGTATGTACCTAAAAGAATTCAATCAGTGTCTTAAAGAGATATTTTATATCCACGTTCATAGCAACACCATTCGTAACAGCCAGAGGGTGGAAGCAACCCAGGTGTCCATCAATGGATGAATAGATCCACATACTGTGGCATCTATGTGCAACAGAACAGGATTCAGCCTTAAAAAGGCATCTATGTGGCTGGGCGTGGTGGCTCATGCCTGTAATCCCAGGACTTTGGGAGGCTGAGGCGGATGGATCACCTGAGGTCAGGGGCTTGAGACAAGCCTGGCCAACATGGTAATACCCCGTCTCTACTAAAAATACAAAAATTAGCTGGACATGGTGGTAGGTGTCTGTAATCCCAGCTACTTGGGAGGCTGAGGCGGGAGAATTGCTTGAACCTGGGAGGTGGAGGTTGCAGTGAGCCGAGGTAGCACCACTGCACTCCAGCCTGGGCTACAGAGTGAGACTCCGTCTCAAAATAAATAAACAAATAAATGCAAGTTGCAATGGGAAGACCACCTACAGAGAAAAGAAGACATCACTATTTATTAAAGAAGACATAAAAATTATTAAAATTATATTTAGACTTTAGTTCAGAAAAATATAGATATTAATAAGCTATTTTGGCAGGCTTTCTATTAAAATCACTTTATATTAAAGTGATACTGCTCAGTTATGAAACAATGATTATTTTAAATAATATTTTGTTTATGTTTATATATTTCTTAAGGTATTTTTGAAATATTAAAATGACTTAAGGCAGATCATAAAAGTTACTTGGCGGAGGGATCTCAAGTGATTTGAACAAAATGACTTTAAGCAGTTCCTGTTGCAATATTTTATTTGATAATATTACTTAAATAATAATGATATAATACTTACACAAAAACATCCAGTCCTTTTTTTTACAAAAGTAATAAAATTGTTATACTTATGTCCTTTTACATCCAAATAATCTTCTACTATGTTTTTCTAGATGTATTCTGCTACACCAAAGTATAGAAGCTTTGCAAGACAAAATCTAGATGTATTCTGCTACACCAAAGTATAGAAGTTTTGAAAGACAAAAATTGCCATATGTAGTATGGAAGAATAGCAATACCGTTTTTAAAAAACGAGGTGCATTAAAGTAAATGTCATATTTGAATGCATTGATCCATAAATGTGGACAATTGAACAGCACACACATTTACTAACCGTGCCGTGTGCTGATGCTAATCTTCTTCGGGTGGCTCCTAGAGAATGAGGTTGGAGTGTGGGGGACTGGGGAGGTGTGGGGGACTGGGGAGGTGTGGAAGGCCTTCACTTTCTTGGTGTTTGCTTGGAGTGGTAGCAAAATGCTTGTCCTTTATTTATTAAAACATGGATAAAATCGCAAGAAAAAGAAAAGAGCTCTTTTGCTTGGTAGCATAATCTTCTAATTTTTTTCGTAATTTCTTCAATGCAAAAATTTGGAATATTTGGGGCAAAATCTTCTCTCTTCTAAGAATACACTTGGTTCTGCAAAACTGCTTCTTCTGTGTCCCAAGCTCTTGCAGACACCCGGGAACCTGGGGGATACCTTTCCTTAGGGGATAACTCTTCCTTAGGAGAGGAACCCAAGACGACTGTGCCTGTTGCCTTTTAACATCTTATATTTGATGCTGAACCCAGAATGAAACTTAGAGTGAGCTCTTTACCATAAAGTGATGGAGTAAGCTCTAAACGAGGTGTGGGCTTTTCTATTTATTGTGCTTGAAGTAAATATGGTCTTGGTAGGGCACAGCTGGGTCTTTGCTGGACTCACATCACAGTACTGGGAGTGATTACTGAGTGTTCATGGGTCCCACGCACTGTTTCCGTGCTTAACATCTGTTAACTCAGCTCTTAGCAGAATCCCAGAGACAGATATTGTTCTATACGTAGCTTTACAGGCAAGGACCGTGAGGTCTGGAGCGCTTCAACAACTTGCCCCGGTATTATAGGGAAGTAACTGCAGGCATCCACCTTGCAACCCTCACCATCTGCCTGCAGGGTGCGTGCTGTTCACCCCTGCGCTGCGCTGCTGTGCTCTGCCCTGCTACGAGGTTGGGCTGGGGTCGGCGAGACTGAGATTCACCACACCCAGTTGTCCTCTGTCTCCATAGACCATCATCATTCCTACTTCCTTGACTTTAGGTGTGGCCTTGTGACTCGTTATAACCGGCGAACTGTGAGTGGAAACCATGGAGAGCGTGATGGGGCTGAGGTATCTGATTGGCTCTCCTGGTCCTACGCTTGCCCTGGAACCCGGAGGAACAGGGCGTGAGGCTGCCGTCATGAGGGGGCGGAGCCTCTGTGAGCCTCTGACGCTGGTGTGGTGGAGGATTCTCAGCTGATTTTAACAAAATGACTTTAAGCAGTTCCTGTTGCAATATTTAACACTACAACCTTAAGGAACTTTGATTTTAAATAATAATAGATCCTATCACATAGTAATAAACATTCTTTCTTCTCTCACATGCGAGAAAAACATGAAGATGCTTGGTATTAAAAAATCACATGTTCAAAATGACTCACGTTTTTCTTTTTATTTTATTTTTATTAATTTATTTTTTAATTTATTTTTTTAAATTATACTTTAAGTTTTAGGGTACATGTGCACATTGTGCAAGTTAGTTACATATGTATACATGTGCCATGCTGGTGTGCTGCACCCAGTAACTCGTCATCTGGCATTAGGTATATCTCCCAATGCTATCCCTCCCCCCTCCCCCACCCCACAACAGTCCCCAGAGTGTGATGTTCCCCTTCCTGTGTCCATGTGATCTCATTGTTCAATTCCCACCTATGAGTGAGAATATGCGGTGTTTGGTTTTTTGTTCTTGCAATAGTTTACTGAGAATGATGATTTCCAATTTCATCCATGTCCCTACAAAGGACATGAACTCATCATTTTTTATGGCTGCATAGTATTCCATGGTGTATATGTGCCACATTTTCTTAATGCAGTCTATCATTGTTGGACATTTGGGTTGGTTCCAAGTCTTTGCTATTGTGAATAATGCCGCAATAAACATACGTGTGCACGTGTCTTTATAGCACCATGATTTATAGTCCTTTGGGTATATACCCAGTAATGGGGTGGCTGGGTCAAATGGTATTTCTAGTTCTAGATCCTTGAGGAATCGCCACACTGACTTCCACAATGGTCGAACTAGTTTACAGTCCCACCAAGAGTGTAAAAGTGTTCCTATTTCTCCACATCCTCTCCAGCACATGTTTTTTCCTGACTTTGGAATGATCGCCATTCTAACTGGTGTGAGATGGTATCTCATGGTGGTTTTGATTTGCATTTCTCTGATGGCCAGTGATGGTGAGCATTTTTTCATGTGGTTTTTGGCTGCATAAATGTCTTCTTTTGAGAAGTGTCTGCTCATGTCCTTCGCCCTCTTTTTGATGGGGTTGTTTGTTTTTTTCTTGTAAATTTGTTTGAGTTCATTGTAGATTCTGGATATTAGCCCTTTGTCAGATGAGTAGGTTGCGAAAATTTTCTCCCATTTTGTAGGTTGCCTGTTCACTCTGATGGTAGTTTCTTTTGCTGTGCAGAAGCTCTTTAGTTTAATTAGATCCCATTTGTCAATTGTGGCTTTTGTTGCCATTGCTTTTGGTGTTTTAGACATGAAGTCCTTGCCCATGCCTATGTCCTGAATGGTAATGCCTAGGTTTTCTTCTAGGGTTTTTATGGTTTTAGGTCTAACGTTTAAGTCTTTAATCCATCTTGAATTGACTTTTGTATAAGGTGTAAGGAAGGGATCCAGTTTCAGCTTTCTACATATGGCTAGCCAGTTTTCCCAGCACCATTTATTAAATAGGGAATCCTTTCCCCATTGCTTGTTTTTCTCAGGTTTGTCAAAGATCAGATCGTTGTAGATATGTGGTGTTATTTCTGAGGGCTCTGTTCTGTTCCATTGATCTATATCTCTGTTTTGGTACGAGTACCATGCTGTTTTGGTTACTGTAGTTTTGTAGTATAGTCTGAAGTCAGATAGTGTGATGCCTCCAGCTTTGTTCTTTTGGCTTAGGATTGACTTGGTGATGTGGGCTCTTTTTTGGTTCCATATGAACTTTAAAGTAGTTTTTTCCAATTCTGGGAAGAAAGGCATTGGTAGCTTGATGGGGATGACATTGAATCTGTAAATTACCTTGGGCAGTATGGCCATTTTCACGATATTGATTCTTCCTACCCATGAGCATGGAATGTTCTTCCATTTGTTTGTATCCTCTTTTATTTCCTTGAGCAGTGGTTTGTAGTTCTCCTTGAAGAGGTCCTTCATCTCCCTTGTAAGTTGGATTCCTAGGTATTTTCTTCTCTTTGAAGCAATTGTGAATGGGAGTTCACTCATGATTTGGCTCTGTGTTTGTCTGTTGTTGGTGTATAGGAATGCTTGTGATTTTTGCACATTGATTTTGTATCCTGAGACTTTGCTGAAGTTGCTTATCAGCTTAAGGAGATTTTGGGCTGAGACAATGGGGTTTTCGAGATATACAGTCATGTCATCTGCAAACAGGGACAATTTGACTTCCTCTTTTCCTAACTGAATACCCTTTATTTCCTTCTCCTGCCTAATTGCCCTGGCCAGAACTTCCAACACTATGTTGAATAGGAGTGGTGAGAGAGGGCATCCCTGTCTTGTGTCAGTTTTCAAAGGGAATGCTTCCAGTTTTTGCCCATTCAGTATGATATTGGCTGTGGGTTTGTCATAGATAGCTCTTATTATTTTGAGATATGTCCCATCAATACCTAATTTATTGAGAGTTTTTAGCATGAAGCGTTGTTGAATTTTGTCAAAGGCCTTTTCTGCATCTGTTGAGGTAATCATGTGGTTTTTGTCTTTGGCTCTGTTTATATGCTGGATTACATTTATTGATTTGTGTATATTGAACCAGCCTTGCATCCCAGGGATGAAGCCCACTTGATCATGGTGGATAAGCTTTTTGATGTGCTGCTGGATTCGGTTTGCCAGTATTTTATTGAGGATTTTTGCATCAATATTCATCAAGGATATTGGTCTAAAATTCTCTTTTTTGGTTGTGTCTCTGCCCGGCTTTCGTATCAGAATGATGCTGGCCTCATGAAATGAGTTAGGGAGGATTCCCTCTTTTTCTATTGATTGGAATAGTTTCAGAAGGAATGGTACCAGTTCCTCCTTGTACCTCTGGTAGAATTCGGCTGTGAATCCATCTGGTACTGGACTCTTTTTGGTTGGTAAGGTAGTGATTATTGCCACAATTTCAGATCCTGTTATTGGTCTATTCAGAGATTCAACTTCTTCCTGGTTTAGTCTTGGGAGAGTGTATGTGTCAAGGAATTTATCCATTTCTTCTAGATTTTCTAGTTTATTTGCATAGAGATGTTTGTAGTATTCTCTGATGGTGGTTTGTATTTCTGTGGGATCGGTGGTGATATCCCCTTTACCATTTTATAAATGGGTGATATCCCATTTATCATTGCATCTATTTGATTCTTCTCTCTTTTTTTCTTTATTAGTCTTGCTAGCAGTCTATGAATTTTGTTGATCCTTTCAAAAAACCAGCTCCTGGATTCATTAATTTTTTGAAGGGTTTTCTGTGTCTCTGTTTCCTTCAGTTCTGCTCTGATTTTAGTTATTTCTTGACTTCTGCTAGCTTTTGAATGTGTTTGCTCTTGCTTTTCTAGTTCTTTTAATTGTGATGTTAGGGTGTCAATTTTGGATCTTTCCTGCTTTCTCTTGTGGGCATTTAGTGCTATAAATTTCCCTCTACACACTGCTTTGAATGCGTCCCCGAGATTCTGGTATGTTGTGTCTTTGTTCTCGTTGGTTTCAAAGAACATCTTTATTTCTGCCTTCATTTCGTTATGTACCCAGTAGTCATTCAGGAGCAGGTTGTTCAGTTTCCACGTAGCTGAGCGGTTTTGAGTGAGATTCTTAATCCTGAGTTCTAGTTTGATTGCACTGTGGTCTGAGAGATAGTTTGTTATAATGTCTGTTCTTCTACATTTGCTGAGGAGAGCTTTACTTCCAAGTATGTGGTCAACTTCGGAATAGGTGTGGTGTGGTGCTGAAAAACATGTGTATTCTGTTGATTTGGGGTGGAGAGTTCTGTAGATGTCTATTAGGTCTGCTTGGTGCAGAGCTGAGTTCAATTCCTGGGTATCCTTGTTGACTTTCTCTCTCGTTGATCTGTCTAATGTTGACAGTGGGGTGTTAAAGTCTCCCATTATTAATGTGTGGGAGTCTAAGTCTCTTTGTAGGTCACTCAGGACTTGCTTTATGAATCTGGGTGCTCCTGTATTGGGTGCATATATATTTAGGATAGTTAGCTCTTCTTGTTGAATTGATCCCTTTACCATCATGTAATGGCCTTCTTTGTCTCTTTTGATCTTTGTTGGCTTAAAGTCTGTTTTATCAGAGACTAGGATTGCCACCCTTGCCTTTTTTTGTTCTCCATTTGCTTGGTAGATCTTCCTCCATCCTTTTACTTTGAGCCTATGTGTGTCTCTGCACGTGAGATGGGTTTCCTGAATACAGCACACTGATGGGTCTTGACTCTTTATCCAATTTGCCAGTCCGTGTCTTTTAATTGGAGCATTTAGTCCATTTACATTTAAAGTTAATATTGTTATGTGTGAATTTGATCCTGTCATTATGATGTTAGCTGGTTATTTTGCTCGTTAGTTGATGCAGTTTCTTCCTAATCTCGATAGTCTTTACATTTTGGCATGATTTTGCAGCAGCCGGTACCGGTGGTTCCTTTCCATGTTCAGCGCTTCCTTCAGGAGCTCTTTTAGGGCAGGCCTGGTGGTGACAAAATCTCTCAGCATTTGCTTGTCCGTAAAGTATTTTATTTCTCCTTCACTTACGAAGCTTAGTTTGGCTGGATATGAAATTCTGGGTTGAAAATTCTTTTCTTTAAGAATGTTGAATATTGGTCCCCACTCTCTTCTGGCTTGTAGAGTTTCTGCCGAGAGATCCACTGTTAGTCTGATGGGCTTCCCTTTTAGTGTAACCCGACCTTTCTCTCTGGCTGCCCTTAACATTTTTTCCTTCATTTCAACTTTGGTGAATCTGACAATTACCTGTGTTGGAGTTGCTCTTCTCGAGGAGTATCTTTGTGGCGTTCTCTGTATTTCCTGAATCTGAACGTTGGCCTGCCTTTCTAGATTGGGGAAATTCTCCTGGATAATATCCTGCAGAGTGTTTTCCAACTTGGTTCTATTCTCCCCATCACTTTCAGGTACACCAATCAGACGTAGATTTGGTCTTTTCACATAGTCCCATATTTCTTGGAGGCTTTGCTCATTTCTTTTTATTCTTTTTTCTCTAAACTTCCCTTCTTGCTTCATTTCATTCATTTCATCTTCCATTGCTGATACCCTTTCTTCCAGTTGATCGCATCGGCTCCTGAGGCTTCTGCATTCTTCACGTAGTTCTCGAGCCTTGGTTTTCAGCTCCATCAGCTCCTTTAAGCACTTCTCTGTATTGGTTATTCTAGTTATACATTCTTCTAAATTTTTTTCAAAGTTTTCAACTTTTTACCTTTGGTTTGAATGTCCTCCCATGGCTCAGAGTAATTTGATCATCTGAGGCCTTCTTCTCTCAGCTCGTCAAAGTCATTCTCCGTCCAGCTTTCTTCCGTTGCTGGTGAGGAGCTGCGTTCCTTTGGAGGAGGAGAGGCACTCTGCTTTTTAGAGTTTCCAATTTTTCTGTTCTGTTTTTTCCCCATCTTTGTGGTTTTATCTACTTTTGGTCTTTGATGATGGTGATGTACAGATGGGTTTTTGGTGTGGATGTCCTTTCTGTTTGTTAGTTTTCCTTCTAACAGACAGGACCCTCAGCTGCAGGTCTGTTGGAGTACCCTGCAGTGTGAGATGTCAGTGTGCCCCTGCTGGAGGGTGCCTCCCGGTTAGGCAGCTCGGGGGTCAGGGGTCAGGGACCCACTTGAGGAGGCAGTCTGCCCCTTCTCAGATCTCCAGCTGCGTACTGGGAGAACCCCTGCTCTCTTCAAAGCTGTCAGACAGGGACATTTAAGTCTGCAGAGGTTACTGCTGTCTTTTTGTTTGTCTGTGCCCGGCCCCCAAGGTGGAGCCTACAGAGGCAGGCAGGCAGGCCTCCTTGAGCTGTGGTGGGCTCCACCCAGTTCGAGCTTCCAGGCTGCTTTGTTTACCTAAGCAAGCCTGGGCAATGGCGGGCACCCCTCCCCCAGCCTGGCTGCCACCTTGCAGTTTGATCTCAGACTGCTGTGCTAGCAATCAGCGAGACTCCGTGGGGTAGGACCCTCTGAGCCAGGTGCGGGATATAATCTTGTGGTGCGCCTTTTTTCAAGCCCGTCAGAAAAGCGCAGTATTCGGGTGGGAGTGACCCGATTTTCCAGGTGCCGTCCGTCACCCCTTTCTTTGATTAGGAAAGGGAACTCCCTGACCCCTTGCACTTCCTGAGTGAGGCAATGCCTCGCCCTGCTTTGGCTCGCGCACGGTGCGCGCACCCATTGACCTGCGCCCACTGTCTGGCGCTCCCTAGTGAGATGAACCCGGTACCTCAGATGGAAATGCAGAAATCACCTGTCTTCTGCGTCGCTCAGGCTGGGAGCTGTAGACTGGAGCTGTTCCTATTCGGCCATCTTGGCTCCTCCCTCCTATTTATTTTTTTTGGAGATGGAGTCTCCTTCTGTCGCCCAGGCTGAAGTGCAGTGGCTGCACGGTTTTCATATGTAAATGTTCAATGATGTTAAATGTTCATGAAGTTTAAACTGGCCAAGTATCCTAGTATAGTATTCAAGGACAGCATAAATAGAATCAGAATAATGACATGATTGAGGACCCATTAGCTCCATGTGAACTTACTCAAAAAACTCTCTATCCCAAATTTTACGATGAGATTAGATGAATATTAAACAGCCATTAAAAAACTGTAATACTATCTTTGAGGCATTTTCAATGTCTTTAATAAGATGGCATTAATCTTTTCAGAGGAGACCATTGGTGAGAAATTTTAGGCAAAAATGTTTACTATTAAATCTCTCGTGCTGTTTTTTAAATTTCCTTTTTGTCTTTACACATTTTCTAAATTGAAAATTAAACATTAATTTTTAAACATATGTTTTTGAGGAAGACGGAGTTACCAGTTCATTAGCAAGAGGCATGCCTTTGTAGGGCAGTGAATTGTACTGCAAACAGATTTCCTAAATTATAAATAATATGAACTGAAAGTGTGAATTTGAAATCTCAGATGGTAAGCAATGATTTATTTTAATAATATAAACTAGAAATATCAACTCCATCCCATTCCCTTCACATATAGTGTAAAATGGATACTTTTTTTAGGGAAGACAGCTATAATCCCCTCCTTACCACAAAATAACAAACCTATAAAAATATAACTGTGAAAGCAATCTATTCAAATGTGCAAATGAAGGTACATAAATTTTTTAAAATCAAATATATAATTTCAAAGGAACTAAATCCTATTCCTTCCTAAACATGATTAAGTGGAGGTTGTTTTATGTATTTTACTGATAGGCAATATGAAGCCAGGTCAGAGTATAATTTCTTTATGCCAGACGAGAATGTATAAAATAAGCCGCCTCACAGTCAGAACCTAATTTGTTTCTCTCTGAGTTTGACGTCAATCAACAATTTGGATTTGAATTTCCAAAAGGGCTTAAAGTTTCATTGTTTATCCCTTTCCATCTTGTTCAAGAAGATTTGAAGTTGTTAGAGGATTTTTCTGTGTATTCTTGGGAGTTTGGCAAGAAAAGAAAGCAAGCTATTTTCTATGCTCGGGGATTCTGAGATATGAGTAAATTATGTGATTTCACCATGCAGAAAGTGAGTTTCAGAACCTCTGCTGGAATCTGGCTTGTCTGCAGAGATTTAAAGTCCAAAATGCTCCCCTAAAACCAAGTCACCTCCCATTCTTTTATCTAAGCATGTGATTTATCCTTTTATTTTCCTTCCCTTATATCTCCTGGAAGAACGATACTGTAATGATTATTCTAGCAGACACACATCTAGTAGATACACAGAAACAGAGTCATGCTCCCGGTGTGGTGTCCCCCTGAAAATCTGTCTAATGTAGACACATGAATCAAATTTAAATAAGGACCCTACCTTGCTTCAAAATGAGTTGGAGCATGTTTCATTTAACAAGTGCCAACTTTGAAGACACGGGAGACCTCATTGGCTTAGGGACCATATGGCGTGACAAATACAATCCTGCACCTTCTAAGGGGGGAGCTCAGGAAGAATCACCTCCTGTGGGAGCAGACTCGGCTCCTTTGAGAAGCGGAATGGCTGACTCTACATCAGCCTGGCGAGGCGGTGGCGCCTGTGGTTCCGTCACACAGTCGTCTGGATGTGCTGTGAAGTTACCATGTGAAAGGGACTTGGTTTCGAGTCAGGAGAATTTGGGTAAAGCAGATTGTCCCCCGTAACATGGGTAGGTTTCCTCCAAATAATTGAAAACCAAAGACTGGGGTTACCCAAAGAACACAATCTGCCTAAAAGATTGCATGATCAAGTTTTTGCCTATATTTCTAGCCTGTCAATCTGCCCTGGAGATTTCAGACTTGCTCTCCGTGCTGGGGGCTGTCCATGTCCAGGGCCTGTCCATGCTGGGGGCTGTGCATGATAGGGTCTGTTTATGCTGGGAGAAGTCCACGATGGAGTCTGTCCGTGGTGGGGGCTGTCCATGTCCAGGGTTTGTCCATGCTGGGGGCTGTCCATGATAGGGTCTGTTTATGCTGGGGGCTGTCCACGATGGAGTCTGTCCGTGGTGGGGGCTGTCCATGTCCAGGGTCTGTCCATGCTGGGGGCTGCCTATGCCGCTGTCTGTCCATGGTGGGGTTTGTTTATGCTGGCGGCTGTCCATGCTGGGGGCTGTCCGTCCTGGGATCTGTCCATGCCTGGGCTCTCTGTGCTGGGCACAGTGTGGGGAGGCTGAGTCATGGAGCTTGTAGCAGGAGGATCGGATGAATATCTCTGAACACACTTGGGGATCAGTGAGGGCTGTTATTTGAAGCTGGGGAAGAGTGAGCTGTTTGTGGGCTAGGTTGGGACAGTTTAATGGATGAGAGATCAGGGAAGGAGAGAGGGAAAACAGGAAGAGAAGTCACTGGGCAGGGAGAGGAGGTGGGGTCGGGTATTTATGGTTAGTGACAGGAAGGGAGCTTCATCCTACTGCAGAATAGAAAGACGCTGTGCTTGTCTGTCAGCGATGGGAAGATGGAGCATTTCTGTGGGAACAGCCGTGTCCCATCATCAGCTGCAATGAGGAAAGGAGGGCTGGGAAGTTTGCGGACAGGGGTAGTGTAAGATGCACGTTGCAAAGTTAGAAGCAAAACTTACAAGAGAAATGAAGCAAGACCTCAAGATAATGCAGAATGATGGGAATACAGGGAGTCCAGGGGCATCTACGGCATAAGGACCTTGGTGTCAGAAAGGCAGAAGCTTCAGAGAATTTATTCGGTGTCAGAAGACAGGCTGTTCTGCCTTGACTTTCTTCTGGAGGAAAACACAGGCCAAGGATCCTAGTATAGTATTCAAGGACAGCATAAATAGAATCAGAATAACGACATGAATGAGGACCCATTAGCTCCATGTGAACTTACTCAAAAAGCTCTCTATCCCAGAACTTCCCCCAAATCATCACTAAGAACGTATTAGCTGGTTCACAATATATTAATTAAATAGAGCAGATGAATGCAACACTGTGTGTCTTCCTCTAGAGAAACGATAAAGGGTATACTAAGGCACTGATACTCTGCAGAAACAGGAGGAATGCTTTCTTTCCATTTTTGGTGCTTATTTTAGATTACAGTTTTGCAAAGACGAGTAAGTTTTGTGTAATAAAGAAAAGTATCATTTTATATAAAAGGTATATTTTCTCACTGAAGAGTATTTATAGCAGTAATCGTTCAGAGCTTAGAGGGTTCAGACATTTGCAGGGTCCACAAAATAGGAAATATATATATGTATTATTTATACATATTACATATTATATAATAAAAATTTATATATATACATTTTTATATTTTATATATATATATATATATTTTTTTTTTTTCAGATCCCAACCCGCAAAACAGAGGTCTTCTCTAGCTTGCTGGTGGCAGACCAGGAAAGGTAACTAAAACATTCAATATACTCATGTGCAACGGCAAATATGAATTTAACTTGAATTGAATTTCAAAGATTAGCTTATAAATGAAAAGACTTTTCCCAGAGTTTTAACCTGCAATCTGAAAACTCAAGCTGTGTTCTTCTCTCAGATTTCAAAGCTGATGATAGTGATTCTACAGTATAAATTTATTTGACAGTTCTGAGGATGATTGATAAGGGACATTCCGAGCATCTTAGCTCTGCAGCCTTAAGCAACACGGTCATTTGGTTGAAATATGCAGTTCTAAGGTCAAATGAGTAAGAATACTTTTTATTAATGACAAAAGCTTAAGAGATGATTTTCCTAGCTACTTTCTCTAAGATTTTAAGGTGTTAAAAATTCTCAAAAATATTCTTTCCATTGTATTTGTCATTTCTTAGATATATCTGCAGTGCCCTCTTAATGCTCTTTCAAAATACAGTGCAATAATATAATGCTTTAAAGCAACTATTTCTCCAGGCTTTTTACAGGAGCTAGCCAAATAGGAACCATGGGTCCAGGAATTTCTAACATTCCTATTAAAAAAGGTTGCCCCACTCTCATTCAAGGTAAATGATGAGGCATTGGGTTATTTAATAAATGTTAAATTGGCCAGTAATATTTTAAATTGTCTATGAATGATGGGCAGACAAAAGGAGTATAAGCTGGAAATCATTTATGAGCTACCCCAGTGATCAGTCTTACAAATGTTTCTATAAATGACTCACCATATTTTTCAAAGTGAAAAAAGATTTAATCACCTAATTTACAGCATAATATGACAAGACAAGTTGGAAATAAGTGTGAGTGAGAGAGAAATTGGATAAAGTTTGAAAAGGAGCTTCATTTACCAATGAATATAGTTCCAGTAGTATCACGTGACATCAATATAATAATTGGTAAAAAAACTCACGGGTGTCATCTTTAAAATGTTTTCATAATATTATAAGATAGGCATTGAGTACTGTGCCCACGTTTTTAAGGTGGCAAATCATGCTCAGGAAGGTTCTATCAATAGTAAGTAATAGAAATGGGGTTCAACTCCAGATCTCATGCCCTCAAAACTAGTTTGTGCACCATTATATTCTGTGGTCTCTGCCTTCCTATGTAAGCCTGTAATATGCACATATGGTCATATACACAGTGATAGCATCGATATTTACATACATTCCTTAGAAATGTTTTATGGCTCTGTGTGTGTATGTAGGAGATATGTGATATTTTCATTGTGGGAATTATATTATTAATAGGATTCAATGTGCTTATATTTCCATTTAAAATTCAAATTTAAATTTAAATATTTAAACATTAATTTGACAAGAAAATGAAGGTTGAAGGTAATTGTGTATGAAAAAATCCACTGATGATTATGAAGAAACTTTGGCGAAACTATAATTTTGTGTTTATAGATGCTCCTCCTTATTATCGTTGTATCAATTTGCATGACGGCAAAGTGTATCTTTAATGCAATTATTTCAATCATAATTTATTAAGTGTATCTAATGCATCTGGAAGCTTTTGCTCAGAAGCACTTATCACAGCCTAATGTGTTTATATGCTTTGATATTTATCTTTTGTTTAATAAATTTGACGGCAATATCTGTTCTCAGATGGCTTTGAGTCAAAGAGGAAGAAAAAGGTAAGAAATCAGTTACTCTGCAGTGTGCTGTAGCCTGTGATAAAGAACCCTTCTGAGGGCTTTGAAATCTTGCAGGTTGATGAATAATTAACCAAGTAGACAATGGTGGGTGTGCATTCTAAGCTGAGGAAGTGGCACACTCATGGGCTCACTGGTGTATGAAAGCATGACATATTTGGGTTCAGTGGAGCTGGGATGGGCAAGATACAGGTGAATTAGATGAAGTTGCACCGGTCGAGCTTCGGCTGAGGCATGGGGGTGTTATTATCTTTGTTATTTACTTCCTTTTCATTGTTTTGGCTTTATTTGCTCATTTCTTCCCTAAGTTCTTGAGGTAGAAGCTGATATTATTGATTTGAGGCTTTTTCTGTGTTTGAATGTATTCATTTCATGCTTTAAATGTCCCTGTCAGCTCTGCTTTAGCTCTACCCTACACGTTTTGATACATTTCTTTTTAATTTTCATTCTGTCTTTTAAAAATGTATTTGAGGCTTCCATTTTTATTCTGAATGTTTTAGATGTATCATATTTAGTTCTCAAATGTGTGGAGACTTCTCTGTAATCTTTCTGTTATAATTTCTCGTTTGATTTCCTTTTGGGTAGAGAACACACTCTGTATAATTTCTATTTTTAAAATTTGTTTCATACGTGGTCTATCTTGGTGAATACTCCATTCGACACATTAAAAGAATGTGTATTCTTTTGTTTTTGGGTGGAGTGTTCTACAAATATTGGTTAAATCCTGTTGGTTGATGATGTTGTTGATTTCTCCTATATCATTGCTATTTTTAAGTTGGTCTGTTAATTGAGTGAAGGATGTTGAACTCTCACTTTAATTTGGATTTGTCTATTTCTTCTTTCAGTTAGATTAGGATTGGCTTAATATATTTTTCAGCTTTGTTGTTTGGGGCATACACATTTAAGATTGCTATGTCCTCTTGGTGGATTGACCCTTTTGTCAGTCTTCAGTATCCCTGTCTGATTAATGTAGCCACTCCTGTTTTCCTTTGATTAATGCATGCATGATACATCATTTTTCTATTCTTTTACTTTGAACCTTCATAAACTATTATATTTGAAGTGTGTTTCTTGTAGGAAGCGTACAGTTTGGTCATGTGTTATAACACTGTCTTTTAATCCGTGTATTTGGACCATTTGTGTTAAGTGTAATTATTGCTATACTAGGACTTAATTTTGCCATTTTATTTTTGTTTTCTATTTGGTCTCTATATTTCCTGTTTCTCTGTGTTTTTTCTTGTCTTCTTTTGAGTTAAATTTTGGTCCCAAATTCTATTGTGATATATTGCTAGCGTTTTCGAATGTATCTCTTTGTATAGTGTTTTTAGTGGTTTCTCTAGGTCTTTATACAGACACAACTTAACATTATGTACTGCTGTTATATTACCAGTTTGACTGATTTATAGGAACCTTACCCTCATTTAAATTTCTTTACCTTTCTCCATTTATTATATAATTCTCTTAAGTATTTTGTCTATACTATATACATATATATATGGTTGGAATGACATCAAACTATGCCATAATTTTTGCTTCAACTATAAAGAGAAGAAAAAAAGTATTATATTTACCTATATTTTTTATTACCATCTTTTTTCTTATTTCCCTGTGATTTAAGTTTCCTTTTTTAGTCATTTTGTTTCTTTTCAGATGATTTCCTTTAGCTATTCTTTAAAATAGGCCTTCTAGAGACATATTCTCTTGATATACTTTTGTCTCATAATATTTTGATTTTTTTCTTTAATTCAGAATGATATTATTACAGGACACAGAATTCTGGTTTGACATTTTTTAGCACTTGAGAAATGTAATACTTCCTTCTGGTCTTTACAATTTCCAGGAACAAATCCACTGTAATTAGAATCACTTTTTATCTATAGGTAAGGTGTTACTACTCTGTCACCACTTTCAGGTATTTTTCTATCTTTATATTTTTCACTCTATGACTATAATGAGTGAATTTCTTTGGGGTTCATTCAGTTTTTTGAATCTGTGGGTTTTGTGTCTCTTGCCATTTGGGAAAAATTTTAATCATTATTTGAGTGCTTTTTTAGACCAACTTTTTTTCTTTTCATTCTGGACCTCTAATAATGTAAATGTTATTTTTTCCTTATATTTTTACTAGTTCCTAAGGTTATATTCAGTATGCTTTTTCCCTCTGTGTTATAGAATGGGCGTATTAGTCAGGGTTCTCTAGAGGGACAGGACTAATAGGATAGACGTCTATATGAAAGGGACTTTATTAAGGAGAATTGACTGACACGATCACAAGATGAAGTCCCACAATAGGCTGTCTGCAAGCTGAGGAGCCTGGAAGCCAGTCCGAGTCCCAAACCTCAAAAATGAGGAACTGACAGTGCAGCCTTCAGTCTGTGGCCGAAGGCCCAAGAGCCCCTGGCAAATCACTGGTGTGGGTCCCAAAGACCAAAAGCTGAAGAACTTGGAGTCTGATGTTCAAGGGCAGGAAGCATCCAGCAAAGGAGCAAGATGATGACCAGAAGACTCAGCAAGTCTGCTCTTCCAACTTCTGTCTGCTTTATTCTAGCTGTGCTGCCAGCTGACTAGATGGTGCCCACCCAGATAGAGGGTGGGTCTGCCTCTTCCACTCCACTGACTCAAATGTTAATCTCCTTTGAACACATCCCCACAGACACACCCAGGAACAGTACTTTGCATCCTTCAATCCAATCAGGTTGACACTCAATATTACACAATGGGCAATTTCTATTGTTCTCTATTTAGAACAATATTATTTCTATTGTTCTATATTTTTTCCACTTTTTTTCCTGTCTCCTCCGTTTTGCTGTTAAGCTCATCTATTGTGTGTATGTTCATGTGTGTGTTTTATTGTGGTTATACTTTTCAGTTCTAAAATTTCCATTTGGTTCCTTTTTATATCTTCTAATTTTTTTGCTCAGACTTTCTATTTGATGAGGCTTCTTTATTTTGTTTCAATTGTGTTCACAATTTTTCATTTTTTAGAATGGCTATTTAAAATCTTTATAATGTAATTCCAATTATCTGTCATCTCAGTGTTGGTATCTATTCATTTTTAAACATTCTATTGAGAACTCCCTGGTTCTTGGTATGATGAATGAGTTTTTTCATTGAAATTTGTACGCTTTGGAAGTTATGTTATATAGCGTAGTCTTACTCATTTCCTTATTTTAGCTATTTCTCTTGACACTGTTTAATATGTGAAGGACAGGTGCTACTCACTACCATCAGGTGAGGGTAGAAATCCAGGTTCCTCTGTTGACACCCAGTGAGGGTTACTGCTTGTAACTTCTGGCCAGGGTAGGATTTCTGGCTCCTCACTAGTTGCCATTGCTACCTTTCTTGCTGGGAAAGGTGAAAGTGTCTCACTAGTTGTTACGCACATGGCCTTCACTGGCTTCCTGTGTGTTTGTGAGCCTTGACCATTTCATTGCTGGGCAGGGTGAAGCCCCCACTCTTGTTTGATTCTGTCTCAGTGGGGTGGGGTGGAAAACCTGTTACTCCAGGACTGTTGTCAAGTCCTGTCCTTCAAATGGTTTCCACTGAAACCTGGGAGGGGAGGAAGTAGTCCTTAACTGCAGGACATCAAAGCAGAAATTCTTAAAAGCAAGCAGAGAATGAAAACAAACTATGTGTTACTCAGAAAAGCCTGAAAATTAACACACAGAGGACTCTCAAGAGGAACAATAAGTGGCAGAGGCAATGGAATAGTGTGGAGATAAACAGCTCTAAGTAGTTACTTTTTCAGCAATTATGATGAATAAGGTATTGTAATATAGCCACAACAGATTTTAATGTGAAAAGTTATAAGGAACACACTTCAAGAAGAAGGAAAATGATCCCAGGAGGAATATCTGAGATAAAGGAGGAAATGGCAAGCAAACAAACTTATAAACTTGCTTGTAAATAAAAACAAATATCGTTGAAGAGAAGAAAAGCAATGATGTCTAAAATTCTATGTTCTTGGAAAGACGAAATTAAAATATTGGACAGAAAAAACCCAACAAGTCGTAACTCAAGAGAAAGAAATAAGAATTAAAATACCTAAGATTTTATATTTTGTGAAAGCGAGTATAATTTTATTTTATACTTGGTTAACTTAAGTGTGCAATATAAAATATCAAGTGTAACCAAAATAAGAATAGTAACATCTAAGTTATTGAATTTCAACAACAAAAAGTAACAAAGTAACAACAAACAAAAACCCTAATTATACTAGAAAGAGAAAAGGAAAGACAGAAAATAGAAAGAAACCTACCTTTATTTTTTTTTTTTAATTTTTTGAGAGAGAGTCTCCTTTGGTGGCCCAGGCTGGAGTGCAGTGGCGTGATTTCAGCTCACTGCAAGCTCCGCCTCCTGGGTTCACGCCATTCTCCTGCCTCAGCCTCCCGAGTAGCTGGGACTACAGGCACCCACCACCATGCCTGGCTAATGTTTTGTATTTTTAGTAGAGACGGGTTTCGCCATGTTAGCCAGGATGGTCTCGATCTTCTGACCTCATGATCTGCGTCCCTCGGCCTCCCAAAGTACTGGGATTACAGGCGTGAGCCACTGCACCTGGCCCAAAACCTACATTTTAAAATTATAGTAAAAACAAGTCTCACTCTATCAGTTATTACTGATTATAATAAATGAAAATGAAAACATTTATTAGTTAAAAGGCAGGATTATCAGATTATACTTGAGAACTAAGTTCTAGTATGTGCCGTTTACAAAAACACACGTCAAAACAACAGAGAAAAGTGGTTTAAAAATATGTAACACAAATGATAACAACATAAACTGGATAACTTGGTAATATTAGAAAAATTGACTTTAGGAGAAAATCATTAAGAGGGATAAAAAGCTATTAAGAGGCTGGGCGCGGTGGCTCACACCTGTAATCCCAGCACTTTGGGAGGCCGAGGCAGGTGGATCACGAGGTCAGGAGATCGAGACCATCCTGGCTAACACAGTGAAACCCCATCTCTACTAAAAATACAAAAAAAAACAAAATTAGCCAGGCATGGTGGCGGGCGACTGTGGTCCCAGCTACTCGGGAGGCTGAGGCAGGAGAATGGCATGAACCCGGGAGGCGGAGCTTGCAGTGAGCCGAGATTGCACCACCGCACTCCAGCCTGGGCGACAGAGCGAGACTCTATTTCAAAAAAAAAAAAAAAAAAGAGGTATTACAAAATGGTATAGTAATCATTTTTCTTGAAGGATATACTAATCTAAATTTGTAGCCACATGTAAAATAATGTGAGGTTATTGAAAACCTAGAAATTTAAAAATTTTTGGGGGGGAATAGGGTCTTGCTTTGTTACCCAGGCTGAGTGCAGTGGTGTGATCAGGGCTCACTGCAACAGAGACTCCCCTGGCCGAAGCAATTTTTCCACTTCAGCCTCCCGGCTACCTGGGTCTACAGGTGCCAGCACAGCTGGCTAATATTTAATTTTAATTTTTTGTAGAGATGGGATCTTGCTATGTTGGCTAGGCTGGTCTCAAATTCCTAGGATCAAATAGTCCTCCTACTTTGGCCTTCTACAGTGCTGGGATTATAGGTGTGATTCATGGTTCCTGACCAAAATAAAATTGTGTGTGTGTGTGTGTGTGTCTGTGCGTGCGCGTGCGTTTGTATATTCTGACAGCAGAAGAATTCCCTGTCCCCATTATTGATTAGGGAGGCAAGAACATAAAAATGGTAAAATAGAAATTTAAACATGATTAACAAACTTATTTCATATAAATATAATTGTAATTTTTTGTTTTTTAATAATTGTAGTCTTAATTTAGGAAATATACATATTTTAGAGTTATATGAACTATTATAAAAATCTATGTTGTATTAGTTCATAAGACTAGTTGCTACACAATACATAGAATCAGCAAAATCCTAGCTATGTTGTCAAACCATAAAATAAATAATTAATATTTAGCAACAAAGAGGAAAATACCAACAACACGTTAGAAATTAAAGCTACATGTACACTAAACAATTTATGGTTTAAGAATAACTAACGTTATAGATTTATCGGGTATTTTAAACTAAATGATACCATGGGTACTATATTTTAAAATGTTCAACAGAGTAATTTAGAAAAAGTAAAATGCAATTATCCAAATTAATAAAGGAGATCATAAAGATAATAAAATAGGTATATGAAAAATAAAAATATTAATGTGAAAATTTTGTCCTCTGAAAAGCTGAAACAAAGAAACAAAACAAACAAACAAAATCGTGATAGGCCTATCTTGAGCTAGATCTAGGAGAAAAAAGGAAGAGAAATTCCAGAATAAATAATTGTAAAAATGAAAAAGTGACATACCATCTATTCAACAGAGATTGACAGGGTAATAAAAGGCTATTTTGCCATAAAATTAGAAAATTGAGATAAAATGTCCAAATAGCTAAGAATATTTTACCAAAATTGAATAAAAAAGAAATAGAAAACCAAAATATCACTGGAATCAGTTTAAAAATTCTTTATTAAGTAAACAATTGGCTGAAATTGTTTTACAGAGTTGTTCTTCCAAGTTGTCACAGAACAGAGCAATATACTTTCTATGAATAATTCTAAGGTACAGAAAGAGAGGGCAAACTCTCAATTTTATTCTGTAACACTGGGAAAATTCAGATGCCAAAACCATACAAGACAGAAAAGGGAATAAATATTACGAGGCAATAAATATTACGAGGGAATAAAAATATTAAAAAAAAATTCCTGTCCAGTCCACCAACCTTACAAAACTCAAGAAGGTTGAAGTTGGAGGAGCCACGTTTTGCTGTTCACAAAATTCCCTTTTTCCACTTTCCTAATGTAAGACAATGCTGGAAAATGAACACTCAGCCAGAAGCCACATTTCTCATCCCCTTTTAAGTGGGTGATACGTTAAGATGGAATTGACCAATGGGATGTGAGTATAGAAGATTTATACCTCTTTCAAACTTGGCTCATGAAAAATTGCATGTTTGAGCATCTGTGCTCTTTTCCTCTTCTGATTGGCTGGAATGAAGACAGCCCTCGTCAGACACTAAATCTGCCAGCACCTTGACGTTGAGCTTCCCAGCCTCCAGAACTATGAAAAATCAATTTCAGGACTTTATAAATTATTCAGTCTAAGAAATTTTGTTATAGCAGCAGGAAAAGCTCAGGACAGTATTCAATAACTATTTGCTGAATGAGTGAACAGTAGTATTTTCGTAGCATATTTAGCTACATTCTAATATTGTTGTTATTCAAATATTCTGTATTCCTATTTGTGTGTTCATTAAAGTAATATTTTCATAATCTACAAACAAGTAGGCTGCTTCTAAAATTCATCTATAAAACATACACGAAGAGTGAAATCTCTCACAGTTTGTTTATACATAAGTAATACAGTTTATTATTTATTTTGAATCACGAAGTGGAGAGTTTATTCAATGTAACAAAGAAATATTGGACAAATCTAATCCCTGAGTCTGTGAGTTTTTAGAGAGCTTTTATTGATTTTCTTTACAGTACATCTGTTTTTCTGGATTAATTAGTACTTCTCCTAGAAGACAGATCATATATCCAAAATAATCTATTTTCTTTTCCTTCAAGAAATTAATATCTAACAAAAAAATGACTGAAGCCTGCTGAGATTACTACACCAATGTGCATTCATCACTTTAATATACCACAGATGTATTTTCCATGTCTAGTGAAGCAAAATGTTGCCTAGATTAAAAGATATGGAAACTGGGGATTCCCAGGCAAGATGGCCAAATAGGACAGCTCCAGTCTGCAGCTCCCAGCGAGACCAACGCAGAAGGTGGGTGATTTCTGCATTTCCAACTGAGGTACTTGGTTCGTCTCATTGGGGCTGGTTAGACAGTGGGTGCAGCCCATGGAGGGTGAGCAGAAGCAGGGTGGGGCATTGCCTCACCCAGGAAGCAAAAGGGGCTGGGTAACTCCCTCCCCTAGCCAAGGGAAGCCGTGAGGGACTGTGCTGTGAGAGATGGTGCTGTCAGGCCGAGATACGATGCTTTTCCCACAGTCTTCACAACCCACACACCAGGAGATTCCCTCGGGTACCTACACCACAATGGACCTGAGTTTCAAGCACAAAACTGGGCCGCCATTTGGGCAGACGCCGAGCTAGCTGCAGGAGTCTTTTTTTGTACCCCAATGGCGCCTGGAACATCAGCGAGACAGAACCATTCACTCCCCTGGAAAGGGGGCTGAAGCCAGGCAGCCAAGTGGTCTTGCTCCAGTGGATCCCACCCCAACAGAACCCAGCAAGCTAAGATCCACTGGCTGGAAATTCTAGCTGCCAGCACAGCAGTCTGGTCAACCTGGGATGCTTGAGCTTGGTGGGGGGAGGGGTGTCTGCCATTACTGAGGCTTGAGTAGGCGGTTTTCTACTCGCAGTGTAAACAAAGACACCAGAAGTTCAGACTGGGCAGAGAACACTGCCAAGCTGCAAAGTCGCTGTAGCCAGACTGCCTCTCTAGATTCCTCCTCTCTGGGCAGGGCATTTCTGAAAGAAAGGCAGCAGCCCCAGTCAGGGACTTATAGATAAAACTCCCACCTCCCTGGGACAGAGCATCTGGGGGAAGAGGCAGTTGTGGGTGCAGCTTCAGCAGACTTAAGCGTTCCTGCGTCCCGGCTCTGAAGAGAGCAGCAGCTCTCCCAGCACAGCATTCAAACTCTGCTAAGGGTCAGACTGCCTCCTCAAGTGGGTCCCTGACCCCCATGCCTCCTGACTGGGATACACCTCCCAGCAGGGGTTGACAGACACCTCATACAGGAGAGCTCCAACTGCCATCTGGCAGGTTCCCCTCTGGGATGAAGCTTCCAGAGGAAGGAGCAGGCAGCAATTTTTGCTGTTCTGCAGCCTCCCCTTGTGATACCCAGGCAAACAGGGTGTGGAGTGGACCCCCAGCAAACTCCAGCAGACCTGCAGAAGAGAGTCCTGACTGTTAGAAGGAAAACTAACAAACAGAAAGCAATAACATCAACAAAAAGGATTCGAAGGTCACCAACAGCAAAGACCAAAGGTAGATAAATCCACAAAGATGAGGAAAACCCAGCACAGAATGGCTGAAAATTCCAAAAACTAGAATGCTGCTTCTCTTCCAAAGGATCACAACTCCTCACCAGCAAAGAAACAAAACTAGACAGAGAATGAGTTTGACAAATTGATGGAAGTAGGCTTCCGAAGGTGGGTAATAAACTCCTCTGAGCTAAAGGAGCATGTTCTAACCCAATGCAAGGAAGCTAAGAACCTTAATAAAAGGTTAGAAGAATTGCTAACTAGAATATCCAGTTTAGAGAAGAACATAAATGAACTGATGGAGCTGAAAACACAGCACAAAAACTTCGTGAAGCATATACAAGTATCAATACTAGAATTGATCAAGTGGGAGAAATCATATCAGAGATTGAAGATCAACTTAATGAAATAAAGCATGAAGACAAGATTAGAGAAAAAAGAATGAAAAGGAATGAACAAAGCCTCCAAGAACTATGGGACTATGTGAAAAGACCAAACCTACGTTTGATTGGTGTACCTGAAAGTGACGGGGAGAATGGAGCCAAGTTGGAAAACACACTTCAGGATATTATCCAGGAGAACCTCCCCAGTCTAGCAAGACAGGCCAACATTCAAATTCAGGAAATACAGAGAACACCACAAAGATACTCCTGGAGAAGAACAACCCCAAGACACATAATCATCAGATTCACCAAGTTTGAAATGAAGGAAAAAATGTTAAGGGCAGCCAGAAACAGAGGTTGGGTTACCCACAAAAGGAAGCCCATCAGATTAACAGTGGATCTCTCTGCAGAAACCCTACAAGCCAGAAGAGAGGGGGGGCCAAGATTCAACATTATTAAATAAAAGAATTTTTAACCCAGAATTTCATATCCAGCCAAACTAAACTTCATAAGTGAAGGAGAAATAAAATCTCTTACAGACCAGAAAATGCTGAGGGGTTTTGTCACCAGCAGGCCTGTCTTACAAGAGCTCCTCAAGGAAGCACTAAATATGGAAAGGAAAAACCAGTACCAGCCACTGCAAAAACAAACCAAAATGTAAAGACCATCAACACTATGAAGAAACTGCATCAACTAATGGGGAAAATAACCAGCTAGCATCATAATGAAAGGATCAAATTCACACATAACAATATTAAACTTAAATGTAAACGGGCTAAATGCCCCAATTAAAAGGCACAGAATGGCCACTTGCATAAAGAGTCAAGAGCCGTCGGTGTGCTGTATTCAGAAGACCCATCTCACATGCAAAGACACACATAGGCTCAAAATAAAAAGATGAAGGAATGTTCACCAACTAAATGGAAAGCAAAAAAAAAAAAAAAAAAAAAAGCAGAGGTTGCAATCCTAGTCTCTGATAAAACAGAATTTAAACCAACAAAGATCAAAAACGACAAAGAAGGACATTATATAATGGTAAAGGGATCAATGCAACAAGAGGAGCTAACTATCCTAAATTTATATGCACCCAATACAGGAGCACCCAGATTCAGAAAGCAAATTCTTAGAGACCTACGAAGAGACTTTGAGTCTCACACGATAACAGTGGGAGACTTTAACACTCCACTGTCAATATTAGACAGATCAATGAGACAGAAAATTAACAAGGATATTCAGGACTTGAACTCAGCTCTGGACCAAGTGAACCTAATAGACAGGTACAGAACTCTCCACCCCAAATCAAAAGAATATATATTCTTCTCAGCATCACATAGTACTTATTCTAAAATTGACCACATAATTGGAAGTAAAACACTCCTCAGCAAATTCAAAAGAACAGAAATCATAACAAACAGTCTCTCAGACCACAGTGCAATCAAATTAGAACTCAGGATTAAGATACTCACTCAAAACTGCACAACTAAATGGAAAGTGAACAACCTGCTCCTGAATGACTACTGGGTAGATAACAAAATTAAGGCAGGAACAAATAAGTTATTTGAAACCAATGAAAACAAAGACAAAACATACCAGAATCTCTGGGACACAGCTAAAGCAGTGTTTAGTGGGAAATTTATAGCACTAAATGCCCACAGGAGAAAGCAGGAAAGATCTAAAATCGACACCCTAACATCACAAAAGAACTAGAAAAGTTCTTTTAAATTAAAAAGCTAGCAGAAGACAAGGAATTAACTAAGATCAGAGAAGAGCTGAATGAGATAAACAAAAAACCCTTCAAAAAAATCAATGAATCCAGCAGCTGGTTGTTTGAAAAGATTAACAAAATAGATAGATGGCTAGCCAGACTAATAAAGAAGAAAAGAGAAAAGAATCAAAAAGACACAATAAAAAATGATAAAGGGAATATCACCACCGATCCCACAGAAATACAAACTACCATCAGAGAATACTATAAACACCTCTATGCAAATAAACTAGAAAACCTAGAAGAAATGGATAAATTCCTGGACACATACACCCTCCCAAGACTAAATCAGGAAGAAGTCGAATCCCTGAATAGACCAATAACAAGTTTTGAAATTGAGGCAGTAATTAATAGTCTACCACCCCAAAAAAGCCCTGGACCAGATGGATTCACAGCCGAATTTTACCAGAGGTACAAAAAGGAGCTGGTACCATTCCTTCTGAAACTATTCCAAACAATAGAAAAAGAAAGACTCCTCCCTAACTCATTTTATGAGGCCAGCATCATCCTGATACCAAAACCTGGCAGAGACACAACAAAAAAAGAAAATTTCAGGCCTATATCCCCGATAAACATCAATGCAAAAATACTCAATAAGATACTGGCAAACCGAATCCAGCAGCACATCAAAAAGCTTATGCACCACAATCAAACTGGCTTCATTCCCGGGATGCAAGGCTGGTTAAACATACGCAAATCAATAAACGTAATCCATCACATAAACAGAAGCAATGACAAAAACCACATGATTATCTCAATAGAGGCAGAAAAGGCCTTTGATAACATTTAACACCCCTTCATGCTAAAAACACTCAATAAACTAGGTATTGATGGAACGTATCTCAAAATAATAAGAGCTATTTATGACAAACCCACAGCCAATATCATACTGAATGGGCAAAAGCTGGAAGCATTCCCTTTGAAAACCGGCACAAGACAAGGATGTGCCTTGTCACCACTCCTATTCAACACAGTATTGGAAGTTCTGGCCAGGGCAGTCAGGCAAGAGAAAGAAATAAAGGGTATTCGAATAGGAAGTGAGGAAGTCAAATTATGTCTGTTTGCAGATGACATGATTGTATATTTAGAAAACCCCATCATCTCAGCCCAAAAACTCCTTAAGCTGATAAACCACTTCAGCAAAGTCTCAGGATACAAAATCAATGTTCAAAAATCACAAGCATTCCTATACACTAATAATAGTCAAACAGAGATCCGAATCATGAGCAAATTCCCATTCACAATTGCTACAAAGAGAATAAAATACCTAGGAATACAACTTACAAGGGATATGAAGGACCTCTTCAAGGAGAACTACACACCACTGCTCAAGGAAATAAGAGAGGACACAAACAAATGGGAAAACATTCCATGCTCGTGGATAGGAAGAATCAATATCATGAAAGTGTCCATACTGCCCAAAGTAATTTATAGACTCAATGCTATTCCCATCAAGCTACCATGGATTTTCTTCACAGAATTAGAAAAAACTACTTTAAATTTCATATGGAACCAAAAAAGAGCCTGTATAGCCAAGACAATCCTAAGCAAAAATAACAAAGCTGGAGGCGTCACGCCACCTGACTTCAAACTGTACTACAAGGCTACAGTAACCAAAACAGCATGGTACTGGTACCGAAACAGATATATAGACCTACGGAACAGAACAGAGGCCTCAGAAACAACACCACAAATCTACAACCATCTGATCTTTGACAAACCTGAGAAAAACAAGCAATGGGGAAAGGATTCCCTATTTAACAAATGGTGTAGGGAAAACTGGCTGGCCATATGCAGAAAACCAAAACTGGACCCCTTTCTTACACCTTATACGAAAATTAACTCAAGATGGATTAAAGATTTAAACTTAGGACCTCAAACCATAAAATCCCTAGAAGAAAACCTAGGCAATACCATTCAGGACATAGGCATGGGCAAAGACTTCATGACTAGAACTCCAAAAGCAATGGCAACAAAAGCCAAAACTGACAAATGGGATCTAATTAAACTAAAAAGCTTCTGCACAGCCAAGAAACTATCATCAGAGTGAATAGGCAACCCACAGAATGGGAGAAATTTTTGCAATCTATCCATCTGACAAAGGGCTAATATCAAGAATCTACAAGGAACTTAAACAAATGTACAGGAATAAAAAAAAACATCAAAAAGTGGGCAAAGGGTATGAACAGACACTTCTCAAAAGAAGACATTTATGCGGCCAAAACATATGAAAAAAAAGCTCATCATCACTGGTCGTTAGAGAAATGCAAATCAAAACCACATCTCATGCCAGTTAGAATGGCGATCATTAAAAAGTCAGGAAACAACAGATGCTGGAGAGGATGTGGAGAAATAGGAACGCTTTTACACTGTTGGTGGCAGTGTAAATTAGTTCAACCATTGCGGAAGACAGTGTGGCGATTCCTCAAAGATAGAGAACTAGGAATACCATTTAACCCAGCAATCCCATTACTGAGCGTATACCCAAAAGATCATAAATCATTCTACTATAAAAACACATTCACACATATGTTTATTGTAGCACTATTTACAATAGCAAAGACTTGGAACCAACCCACATGCCCATCAGTGCTAGGCTGGATAAAGAAAATGTGGCACATATACACCATGGAATACTATGCAGCCATAAAAAAGAATGAGTTCGGCCAGATGCTGTGGCTCACTCCTATAATCCCAGCACTATGGGATGCCAAGGTGGGCAGATCATGAGGTCAAGAGATTGACACCAATCTGGCCAGCCTGGTAAAACCCCATCTCTACTGAAAAATTCAAAACTTAGCTGGGTGTTGTGGCGCATTCCTGTAGTCCTAGCTACTCTGGAGGCTGAGGGAACAGAATCGCTTGGATCCGGGAGGTGGAGGTTGCAGTGAGCCGAGACTGTGACAATGCATACCAGCCTGGTGACAGAGCGAGGCACCATCTCAAAAACACAAAAACAAAAACAAAAAAGAATGAGTTCATGTCCTTTGCAGGGACATGGATGAAGTTGGAAACCATCATTCTCAGCAAACTAACATGGGAACAGGAAACCAAACACTGCATGTTCTCACTCGTCAGTAAACACTGAACAACGATAACATATGGGCATGGGGGGAACATCATACACGGGGGCTTGTCGGGTAGTGGGGGACAAGGGGAGGAATAGCATTAGGAGAAATGCCTAACGTAGATGACTGGTTGAAGGGTGCAGCAAACCACCATGGCAAGTGTATACCTATGTAACAAACTTGCATGTTGTGCACATGTATCCCAGAACTTAAAGTATAATTAAAAAAACTAAAAATATATGGAAACTGTCATTTGTTGGTCTACAATCTTGGCAGTATTGGTGCTTTGGGACTTTAAATGTAGACATTTTTAGGGTCAAAAATTGATTAGTTTGTGAAAAAAATTATGCCTTGACAATACACTTTGTTTTGGAGAGAAAAAAATTAATCCTATATACTGTGCTCCAAATAAGTTATTAGTTTAGCATTTTTACAGCCCATTAGACAAGCTGTGAAGAGATAATATTTCCATCTCGAGTGTGATAAAGTTATTCATCAAAAACATAGAAACTTACTCTGAGAAGCATTTTTTTCTCTTTTGAAAGTAATGAAAAAACACTCTTCAGACAATTATATACTAGATAGAAACTAGTGAAAGTAAGCCAGTAATTGTATCTATCTTAGTAGAAATGTTAAGGTCATTAGGCCACCAGCCTCACCGAAACACTTCACACTGCATGCTTCCCTATAAATTCTAGTCACTTTCATAGCCATTGACCTTTATTTGAAAAGTTGCTTTCAACTGTGATGACAAAAATATGAAGTATTACAAGAATAATTTAGAGACCATGATATAATTAGGTTATATTCAGTCTAGAGTCATTTAAACTCAGATTTTGAAGCAGCTGTGAAGCTCATATTAAAAAATTACCTATACCATTGAGGTAACAGCCAGCTACTGCCATCCTTGCTAAGTGAAAGAAAACATTAAAATAAAAATTCAAGCTCTCTTTCTCTGCTTATTGGAGCAGAGGGATGTACTGGCTGCATCAGTAGCTCTGTGATATATAACACATGTAGATGCACTGATTTGCTTTAGTATAGAAGAAAATATCTGGAAATACAGAAGCAACTGAAGTCAATAATTGTGTAATACACTGAATTCCACAAAGATACTTCTGTCTTTTTTACCAGCCAATCAAAAGGGTTAAATGAGCGTGTAATAGGATTGCTAGTCTCTGCATACAGGGTGACTTTGATGGTGGCAGTAATCTCTGCAGTCCCCTTGGCCATGTCATGTTGGTTTTAGTTTACAATTTTGACTGGGAGAGGGAGCTTCGGGGGTTTCCACTTGGACCTCTTAACTCAATAGCCATTTTTTTTTTAAGTTCTGGGATAAATGTGCAGGTTTGTTACATAGGTATACATGTGCCAGGATGGTTTGCTGCACCTACCAACCCATCATCTAGGTTTTAAGTTCCTCTTGCATTAGGTGTTTGTCCTAATACTTTACTTCCCCTTGATCACACCTCCCGACAGGCCCCAGTGTGTGATGTTCCCCTCCCTGTGTCCAGGTGATCTCATTGTTCAACTCTCACGTGTTCTTCCGTATGTGAGAACATGAGGTGTTTGGTTTTCTGTTCCTGTGTTAGTTTGCTGAGAATGATGGTTTCTGGCTTCATCCATGTCCCTGCAAAGGGCATGAGCTCATTCTTTTTTATGGCTGCATAGAATTCCATGGTGTATATGTGCCACATTTTCTGTATCCAGTCTATCATTGATGGGCATTTGGATTGGTTCCAAGTCTTTGCTTCAATAGCCAGATTTTAAGAGGCCAGCATGGTATCTGCCAACTGCTGGTTGTGTTTGCTCCATGGATGCATGCTGAACTTGAAAGACACTGCAAGATGTGTCCATGGTTTGCTGAGTTCCTAGGGCGAGCGCTTAGGCCCCAAACTCTCTGATCCCTGAAGAGACGCTCGACCACTCTTGCCAGTGACCCCTGCATATTCTGGAGGCTATTCATTCCCATTAAGTCAGTGTCAGCGCCAACAGATCTGGAATGTCTGGGTATTTTCCATTCCCCAGGGCAGGTTCACCCTAAGAAAGGGCTGTGGTGACCTTTCAGAGGAGGGTTCACAGGATGGACTTGCATGATGACCCCAGCACTCCCCTCAGACCTGCCAGCTTCCCCTTCACCAGAGGACTGTGGATTGACTCAGGACTGCGAATTCCTGGAGGTCATCACATCTTGACCGGGATGATGCAGGGAAAGCTGCCTCCAGACCTAGAGTTCCCCTAAGAACCTTTCCCTGGCTGGTGACCTCAGCAAGATGGCAGAGTCAGTGCCACAGAAGCACCAATGTGGCAGCTGCCCACATCTGAGAATACTTTTTTGGTAGCGCTGAGTCCCCTGAGATGCCAGGACGCTGTTGGAGTGGGAAACCCTTGTGGCCACAGTGAAGAGGGTAAGCCACCTCGAAAAATCGGACCCTACTGCATCCACTCCCCTGACATGTCCCTGGGCCAAGCCACCACCGTCTTTTGTCTGGATGGCTAGAGCAGCCTCCCAGCAGCTCTTCCTGCATGTGCACTTCCTTTCCCATTAATCTACTCTCAATTTTGCAATGAGTATTGTCCTATCATGATCATGGTTAAAACCTCAGTGTAAAAGCCCATGTCCTCACCGTGGTCTATGTGGCTCTCTGTATTAGATGTCCATCCCCCTCTGACCTCTCTATCCTGTTCTGTACACCCTCTACTTCCCAGGCCTGAATGTCTAGTCCATGCCTGCTCCTCCTTGAGCAGCCCATGTCCCCGTCCCCTCCTGCTTAAGGGCTTTTCACTGTGGATGCCTCTGTACCTTCATATCACCACGTAGATTCCTTCATGCATCTAGCGAAACTCTACGTTACCAGAGAGCCTTCCAATGACCTCTCTATAGGGGTGGAAGCCGCTCTAATCAACGGCCACAAGTGCCCCCAACTTATTACCCTTATTCCACCCAGGTTTAATTATCTTCCATTGTACAAACCACCACCTGGCATATCGTGTATTTTACTTACTTATCGTACTCATTTTGATCTTCCAAACCATGGTAGGAATTCCATGAAGAAACTATTTATCCCCACTGCCTTGAATCGAACACCACTCCACACATAAAGAGGCATTTAATAAATATTTGTTGAAAATAAATGAACAGTTGAATGGGTGAATGAATGAATCTGTGAAAATAATTGTGGTTCTATTTAAGGTATCTGAGACAACAATGGAAGAGAGGCAGTAGATGAAGCTCGGATATCTCTCATTTAAAATGTCCCTTCTTAGTGGACCCAACTAGGTTCTCAAACGAGAAGAACAAATAGTTTTGTCTTGCAGAGTAAAGAATTGTTACAGAAATGGAACCCATATCCATTCAGTCCCTGAAGTCAAAGTCCTGGCCATCACCACACTTTCTTCTTCATCTCTAGCATATAATCAGTTTTCAAGAATTTTTGGGTGTCTGTGCTGCCGCTGTCTGCCTTCAGACATGCAAAATTTTCTGCTTGGATTAATGCAAAGCCTCCTAATTTTTCCTTTCTCCCCTAATTTACTCTTGCAGTGATATTTCTAAATGATTTAAATTCCAAAAGAATTTATGGGGAACCTCCCATCTTGCTAACAAGGTTTACCATGTTACTCCTTAATTTAAAATGCTCAGTGGACTTAGATGTGTCTCAAGTTAATTCAGCTTCCTTAGTTTGACTTGCTCTGTCTTTCCTTAGGTAACCTCATTCTCTTATTAATTCAGCAACAGTTGTATCTCAAGCCATTTGGCAGGGAAATAAAGGTGAATAAGGCTGTATCCTGTCCTCAAGAATCTTCAAGCCCAGGCTAGTCACTGATACTTGAAATTATATTGTAATGTGACATGGAGGGTGTTCAATTCCAGGCAGTGGGGATAGAGATTTGCATGTGGGAGAAGGTGGGTTATGAAAGCTTCTTGAGGAGATAATGTCTGAGCAGAATCTTAGATGACAAGGAATACATGGTGAGCTAAAAAATGGGATAAAGATAGAACATCCTGAGCAGAAAAAGGTAACATGAGCCAGAGGCCAAACATGGAAAAAAACATGTTGGCTTCAGGGACTGAATGGAGATAGATTGCATTTCTGTAATAATTCTTTACTCTTCAAGATGAAATTGTATGTTCAATTTAGCAGATAATTACCTATGGGTGAGGAGTGGTGGTAGATGAGGGGGGAAAGCCAGGTGCCTGCGTGTGGGTCAACATAGCTGATGGTCACCTATGAGTGATGAGTGGTGATGGATGAATGAGGAAAGCCAGGCAAAGGTGATTCTTGTATGATCAGGACTTCCAGCTGACTCCAGGAAGGAAGGCCATCTGGGAAACTGATGCCCTAACCCAGATAATAAATTATTAAGTCTTGAACAAAGAAACAGCAGTGTGCTTGGAAATGCAACAGCCTCCTCTGGCTGATTGGGTTTTGGGACGGAAGCAAGGAATGAATTCTACATGCATCCTAGTTTTTCCTGTTGTAAATGAGGAGTATGGTGGGGTCATTCTTTGGCTTCTCTGTTAAAATGGTGAAATGTTATAGTCTTTTATTACTACAGACAAGTGGATGGCTTCATTAACCCTCCACCACCACCAATACAAGACAATGCAAATTGTTGGGAGTTTATCTGAGATTTTGTTCTTAATAAAGTCTTCACACTTTCTGTTTGGTCAAGAAAATAATTTCATCTGTCGGGTTTTCACTTCCAGCAAGTTTTCCAAATGCCCGTCTCTCTTGTTGTGGGAAATTTACAGCTGTCCAGGTGATGGATTGAGAGGGATTCTGTACTTAACGACAGGTTAACCTCCAAGTCCTTTCTGCATTGTTCCTTAAGTCTCTGCCACTTCAGAGCCCCCTTATAACGTCCACTTTCCTCTTTCTTGATAGTGAACCACTTTATCTCCTTCCTGCCTCTAGCCTTCCCACTCAATCTCTTCGGGTCAGCTTTACAGAGACATCGTTAAGGAGAGAATCTCACTTTGGCACTCACTTGGGTGACCCATTTATGTGCTTCTTTTAAAATTTTAAAAAAACAACATTCAATAAATATCAAATGGAAAGCATAATTAAGCATGGCTTTCTGTTCTGGTTTTCCAGTGGAAGAAACCTAAAATGATCCTTAGTAAAGTTTGTATACACAAGTTGTAACCTATTTTCCAAAACTGGGTAACTGCATCTAGAAGTTTAAGAAGTCTTTTCTAGCGCTTCATAGAGCACATCGGTTCCTTTTCAACCTCTATCTTAAAAGCTTTGGTGAATTTTCCGCAGTTAAGTACCTCGGGGGAAAATTGACATCATTTAACCTTAAGTAAAATGAATAAATCAGTGAAGAATTAGTTGGTGAATTGCCTAGCAATTTCTCAAGAAATGGAATAAATGTATATCTTAAAAGGAAAAGGACATCCAACTCATGAATATGTTTTCTGTCTGAGACCCAAAGACTCATCTAGCTGCTGCCACCCCTCTCGTAATGGGCTGGATCTCTCCTCCTGTTCCATCAGGTGCTGGTTTTCAGCTTACTGGGGACAAGATTCACTGGGGCTTCTCACAGCTGCTCCTTACCTGTTAGATGGGACGCTGCCTATCTCCCCAGTTTGTCACCGTTTCTCACCATTTCTAAGCTGAATGTGGTCCTTAAGCTTTGTGCCTTAGATGGTCTGCAACAATATTTCTGCAAAAGCTTTAAAGCAACTTTCTTCTCTCTAATCAAGATGAAAAAATGCTAATGTCTTAATCAGTACATGTGGTAGAGAAGTTCCTTGCTAGTGGACTTGCCCAGTGTAAGGCAAATACAAGAAGAATATTTTTCAGCTCCTTTATTGGCCCTTCCACAGGAGACAATAAATTACAGAAGTAATTTCAGTGTGAAATATTCAGTGGGCTAAGGTTTATAATTGGGATGGATGATGACAGTGAAAGACGACATCAATACACAATACTTCCGCTGTCGTAATTCTCCTAGTTAAGGTGGTTATTCATTTTGGGGATTGCTCTATGAAACTGAGCTTCTTTGACTGTCCAGTGGTGGAGGTGGGAACAAGATGAGGTGCTACCTCCTTATTTTTTGCAAAAGCACATCATTTTCCATTGTGCTACTGTTCCCTGTTTGTGTGCAGTGGGTGGATCTCATTTGACAAGTTCAGTTACACAGGGAACACCACATGCAACTTAATGTATACTTAGAGCTCCTGGGTTTAAACCTTGTACAAACTTTCCATGAGTCCATTAAGATCAAAAACAATGTCAAAGCCTAAAATGAATGACTGAAATATTTGGTTTTCTATTAAAATGTGAGCAAGTTTCATCCATTTTCTAGGATCTTAAGTTTAAAGTCCCAATTGTCTTGGTAATCTCAATTAAATTTTAGATTAAATGTAATAAAATAAAAAATGTATCCTTAAGAACTCCACATCCAATCCTTACCTGTTAGCATCTGTTGGAATTAACTGACCTACAGGGATAAAGAGAAAAGTCACAAAGTTCTGAACTTTATTAAGAACATGCCCCAGAGTTCTCAGATGGTTTTATAAATGAACGCATCAGACATGGTGATGTAGTCCCTTTTACATCATCCGCGCTGCCAAGAGCTATCATGGTTTCTAATCCAGCTGCAGGCCCATGGCCACGATGGAGGGTGGATGCAATGTTATACTTAAGGCTGAAACAGTCCTTTACATTAGTTTTGTACCCAGTCTTTCAGCCCTTGTTTAGACTCTTTCTGCCCTCTCTGTTGGGAGCCGTTCCTGAGTTATAGCCCTTAGCTTTTTAATTTTTTCTCAAATTTACAATCCATTCTCATACTGACAAATACCTCTTTGGTGGAAATATGTTTGTGTGTGACTGTGTGTGTGTGAGTGTGTGTGAGAGAGCATGTGTGTGTGAATGTGTGAATGAGTTGAGAGAGCATGTGTGTGTGAGAGAGAGCATATGAGTGTGTGTGAGAGAGCATGTGAGTGTGTGTGAGACAGCATGTGTGTGTGAGAGAGCATGTGTGTGTGTGAGAGACAGCATGTGAGTGTGAGTGTGTGAGTGTAGGAGAGAGCATGTGTGTGTGAGAGAGCATGGGAGAGTATGTGTGTGTGAGTGTGAGAGAGCATGTGTGTGTGAGTGTGTGTGAGAGCATGTGTGTGAGTGTGTGTGTGAGACAGCATGTGAGTGTGAGAGAGCATGTGAGTGTGAGAGCATGTGTGTGAGAGCATGTGTGTGTGAGCATGTGAGTGTGAGTGTGTGAGTGTATGAGAGAGCATGTGTGTGAGAGCATATGAGTGTGAGCATGGGAGAGTATGTGAGTGTGTGTGACTGTGTGAGCATGTGAGTGTGTGAGTGCAAATGTGTGTGAGAGAGCATGTGAGTGTGTGTGACAGCATGTGAATGTGTGTGAGACCATGTGTGTGTGAGTGTGTGTGAGTGTGTGAGAGAGAGCATGTGTGTGTGAGAGTGTGAGTGTGTGTGCATGCACATGTGTTTTTCTTCTTTGCTCCCATTCCTCCTACCGCTCTGACACCCTCTGGCTTCATGTGTTTGGAGGGGTTGACAGGTTACTTGCACTTAAAGACAAGACTCAGGTTTCATTCTCACACTTCATTCAGTGCTGACTGGTTCAGGGATGGATATATGGCCTGGACCACTCAGTAAGGCCTGAGATCAGGGTTTCAAGAGAGAATTTATCTCCTATTGCCGAACTTGGTGATGTTGGTGAAAGCCTAGAGTTGTTAGTGAGCAATTGGCTACTGCAATGGAGAAGATGCGTGAGCAGGAACGAGAGACTGGGGAGATTCTCTCAGCGGCCATGATATCGTACAAGTCCTGGGATCACCCATGACTGGAGTCAGGACTGCCCCTGGAACTTTCATTAATGTGTTATAAAGGATGTTGATGAAAGATGAAGGATGACCAACGCTGCATATAGTTGACAAGACCACAGATGGAGAAGGGCTCAGTCACTCAACGAGCTGTGTATCCTTGAAAGATGGTGGCTCAGCATTGGCTGAATGAATGAAGCCCATCGTTTCTACCTTTATAGGCTCAGCCATTTGTATTCTGCTCCCAAGTCCTCCCGGCTTCATTCCCCACGTCTCCCAGTGAGATCCGTGGTCGGTCGTTCACTTTCCATTCCACTTTCCCCCCAGATAGTCATTTTCACAATTAGGGATCTTTGCTTATGCCGAAACCTTTAACTGAAATAGCCTCTCTAGCGACCTACTTTCCTATCTCAAACTTGACAATCATTTCTTTTTTTTTAAATTTATTATTATTATACTTTAAGTTTTAGGGTACATGTGCACAATGTGCAGGTTAGTTACATATGTATACATGTGCCATGCTGGTGCACTGCACCCACTAACTCGTCATCTAGCATTAGGTATATCTCCCAATGCTATCCCTCCCCCCTACCCCCACCCCACAACCGTCCCCAGAGTGTGATGTTCCCCTTCCTGTGTCCATGTGTTCTCATTGTTCAATTCCCACCTATGAGTGAGAATATGCGGTGTTTGGTTTTTTGTTCTTGTGATAGTTTACTAAGAATGATGATTTCCAATTTCATCCATGTCCCTACAAAGGACATGAACTCATCATTTTTTATGGCTGCATAGTATTCCATGGTGTATATGTGCCACATTTTCTTAATCCAGTCTATCATTGTTGAACATTTGGCTTGGTTCCAAGTCTTTGCTATTGTGAATAATGCCACAATAAACATACATGTGCATGTGTCTTTATAGCAGCATGATTTATAGTCCTTCAGGTATATACCCAGTAATGGGATGGCTGGGTCAAATGGTATTTCTAGTTCTAGATCCCTGAGGAATCGCCACACTGACTTCCACAATGGTTGAACTAGTTTACAGTCCCACCAAGAGTGTAAAAGTGTTCCTATTTCTCCACATCCTCTCCAGCATCTGTTGTTTCCTGACTTTTTAATGATTACCATTCTAACTGGTGTGAGATGATATCTCATTGTGGTTTTGATTTGCATTTCTCTGATGTCCAGTGATGATGAGCATTTTTTCATGTGTTTTTTGGCTGCATAAATGTCTTCTTTTGAGAAGTGTCTGCTCATGTCCTTCGCCCTCTTTTTGATGGGGTTGTTTGTTTTTTTCTTGTAAATTTGTTTGAGTTCATTGTAGATTCTGGATATTAGCCCTTTGTCAGATGAGTAGGTTGCGAAAATTTTCTCCCATTTTGTAGGTTGCCTGTTCACTCTGATGGTAGTTTCTTTTGCTGTGCAGAAGCTCTTTAGTTTAATTAGATCCCATTTGTCAATTTTGTCTTTTGTTGCCATTGCTTTTGGTGTTTTAGACATGAAGTCCTTGCCCATGCCTATGTCCTGAATGGTAATGCCTAGGTTTTCTTCTAGGGTTTTTATGGTTTTAGGTCTAACATTTAAGTCTTTAATCCATCTTGAATTGATTTTTGTATAAGGTGTAAGGAAGGGATCCAGTTTCAGCTTTCTACATATGGCTAGCCAGTTTTCCCAGCACCATTTATTAAATAGGGAATCTTTTCCCCATTGCTTGTTTTTCTCAGATTTGTCAAAGATCAGGTAGTTGTAGATATGTGGGGTTATTCCTGAGGGCTCTGTTCTGTTCCATTGATCTATATCTCTGTTTTGGTGCCAGTACCATGCTGTTTTGGTTACTGTAGACTTGTAGTACAGTTTGAAGTCAGGTAGCATGATGCCTCCAGCTTTGTTCTTTTGGCTTAGGATTGACTTGGCTATGCGGGCTCTTTTTTGGTTCCATATGAACTTTAAAGTAGTTTTTTCCAATTCTGGGAAGAAAGGCATTGGTAGCTTGATGGGGATGGCATTGAATCTGTAAATTACCTTGGGCAGTATGGCCATTTTCACAATATTGATTCTTCCTACCCATGAGCATGGAATATTCTTCCATTTGTTTGTATCCTCTTTTATTTCCTTGAGCAGTGGTTTGTAGTTCTTCTTGAAGAGGTCCTTCACATCCCTTGTAAGTTGGATTCCTAGGTATTTTATTCTCTTTGAAGCAATTGTGAATGGGAGTTCACTCATGATTTGGCTCTGTGTTTGTCTGTTGTTGGTGTGTAAGAATGTTTATGATTTTTGCACATTGATTTTGTATCCTGAGACTTTGCTGAAGTTGCTTACCTACTTAAGGAGATTTTGGGCTGAGACAATGGGGTTTTCTAGATATACAATCATGTCGTCTGCAAACAGGGACAATTTGACTTCCTCTTTTCCTAATTGAATACCCTTTATTTCCTTCTCCTGCCTAATTGCCCTGGCCAGAACTTCCAACACTATGTTGAATAGGAGTGGTGAGAGAGGGCATCCCTGTCTTGTGCCAGTTTTCAAAGGGAATGCTTCCAGTTTTTGCCCATTCAGTATGATATTGGCTGTGGGTTTGTCATAGATAGCTCCTATTATTTTGAGATATGTCCCATCAATACCTAATTTATTGAGAGTTTTTAGAATGAAGGGTTGTTGAATTTTGTCAAAGGCCTTTTCTGCATCTATTGAGATAATCATGTGGTTTTTGTCTTTGGTTCTGTTTATATGCTGTATTACATTTACTGATTTGCATATATTGAACCAGCCTTGCTTCCCAGAGATGAAGCCCACTTGATCATGGTGGATAAGCTTTTGGATGTGCTGCTGGATTCAGTTTGCCAGTATTTTATTGAGGATTTTTGCATCAATGTTCATCAAGGATATTGGTCTAAAATTCTCTTTTTTGGTTGTGTCTCTGCCCGCCTTTGGTATCAGGATGATGCTGGCCTCATAAAATGAGTTAGGGAGGATTCCCTCTTTTTCTATTGATTGGAATAGTTTCAGAAGGAATGGTACCAGTTCCTCCTTGTACCTCTGGTAGAATTCGGCTGTGAATCCATCTGGTCCTGGACTCTTTTTGGTTGGTAAACTATTGATTATTGCCACAATTTCAGATTCTGTTATTAGTCTATTCAGAGATTCAACTTCTTCCTGGTTTAGTCTTGGTAGAGTGTATGTGTCGAGGAATTTATCCATTTCTTCTAGATTTTCTAGTTTATTTGTGTAGAGGTGTTTGTAGTATTCTCTGATGATAGTTTGTATTTCTGTGGGATCGGTGGTGATATCCCCTTTATCATTTTTTATTGCATCTATTTGATTCTTCTCTCTTTTTTTTCTTTATTAGTCTTGCTAGTGGTTTATCAATTTTGTTGATCCTTTCAAAAAACCAGCTCCTGGATTCATTAATTTTTTGAAGGGTTTTTTGTGTCCGTATTTCCTTCAGTCTGCTCTGATTTTAGTTATTTCTTGCCTTTCTGCTAGCTTTTGAATGTGTTTGCTCTTGCTTTTCTAGTTCTTTTAATTGTGATGTTAGGGTGTCAATTTTGGATCCTTCCTGCTTTCTCTTGTGGGCATTTAGTGCTATAAATTTCCCTCTACACACTGCTTTGAATGCGTCCCAGAGATTCTGGTTTGTTGTGTCTTTGTTCTCGTTGGTTTCAAAGAACAAACTTGGCAATCATTTCTAACGATGCAAATGAAATTTCACCTCCTGTGGGTTCGTTTTTCCTTTGAGAATACTGCATATTTTGAACAATGTCTATAACAGCATCTGTGATAGTTTTGCAATCTAATGAAATAGGTATGAGTTTGTTTCAAGCCATTGAGGTGCAACGCTCGTGAAATGTATTCCTTTAATTTTCTAAGGCAAATTATCTAAACCAAGTGAAGAGTCCTCCATGCATGTGGATGGATATTCAGTATTTCAAGCATTCCCTCCTTTCTCTGGGTTCTAAGGGTTTCTAAAAGGAAGCCACCCGTGTCATTAGGTGATCATTGGTAACAGAGCCCCTGGGACATCCCCACATCTCCAAGCAACCACACAGGCCCCCGGATGTCCCTTGCTGCCTCCTCAGAGCCACCGGGGAGCTGAAGTCCAGCCGTCAGGCACCCTCCCCTCCAGCTCCCACCCTATGACCGTCTTAGCAAGTATGTTTGTCTCTGCATTTGAGCCCCCGCCCCTCACCTTCATTAATGCCTTGATCCCTCTTTCCTATAGAGTGGCTGAGAGCTTTGCCTTTTTAAGGTTAGGTTTTCATAAACAAAGGCACATTAATTCCTTCAGGGGACAAGGGAAACACTTTACTCAGCGTCTCTAGGCAGGGCTATGCACAATAACTCATTCTTTACTAATGAACCATGGAAAGAAAGAATTTACCACCCAGATTAGACTCTGGCCCGTGTACTTGGTGATGTGCTGGTCTCTTCATTTGTAAGGTAGCCTTCTAAAAAGGAAGACCTGTATCTTATTTTGCTCATAGAGCCAATGCATATATAGAGAAGAATATTGTACACAATATTCTGTATACAACTTTTTATATCGAAAGGTCATGGACTAATAATAAATACAACAACAACAACAAAAATACAATTGGCATAGAGTGCTAAATATACACAAATTTAGACAAAGGACCTTAAGTCCCATTGCCTGTAGGGGCCAGCTTGGTGCAGTAAATAAGTGACCCAGGTCGAGGGGATGGGCAACTGCAGACACCACCCCGGGGACACTGAGCATCCAGGGGATGGGTAACTGCAAACATCACCCCAGGGACACTGAGCATCCAGGGGATGGACAACTGCAAACACCACCCCAGGGACACTGAGCATCCAGTTGTTGACGATCTGGATGGTAGGTCCAATTTTGCCAGATTTCTAACTTTTCAAGACAAGTTATAATAGCACATTTTCAGGGATATCATCTAACTTTTAAATCTTGTCTGTGAACTGATATTGTTTTATAAACATCTGTAAATAAAATGAAATATTTACACAAACCAGATGTGGCCTGAAGGCAGCTAGTTTGAAACTTCTGGAGTAAAATAATATATGAAAAGTATGAAAAACAGGAATCAAATAGCAAGAAAGATGAAGTAGACAGAGAGTTACATCAGACAACAAAAGCAATAATGCAGCGAGGACAATGATGAAAACCATGGAAAATGATGAAAAACAAGGGAAAGGGTGAAGAAAAGGGAAGATGGAGAGAATTTTATAACATTATTTCAAAAGGCCATGTGAATAGTAGAATATAAATTTAAATTGTCTTTTTCATCTTCTAACAAATGCAAAACTATCAGATGTGATGCTGTGTGACCCATAGTAACTGCAAAGTGAGAAGCATTTATGAATAGAAACATACCACATATAACAGGACGCCAGAGCTATTTTCCCCCTTTCCCTCTATTTCTTTACCCTGTAGCTTAGAAGAGTCAGGCTTGACGAAACACCTTCCTTTTCCTCTCACTTATTTTTCTGGCCCACAGTAAGCACCAAACAGGTTTCTTCAGGGAATGATGTGGCTGTGTCTCCACTGGGATTCTGCTTTCTGTTTCAAACAAATCCATCTGCAATCTATAAAATAGCATGATTATCATCGTGTTGGTAGGCTTTGTCTTTTGCGTTTTACTTAACATGTGTGCCAGGAGATTTGGTGATGGATGTATTTTCATAAACTTAATATAAACATAATATCTGCTACAGAAATCTCTACTGTGATCTTAATTGATAATGCCAGGAGAGAAAGTACTGATGGATATTCTGTTTACACCCTGTTCCTTAATCACCAAAAAAAATCACTCTGAAAGCGGGGGGCAAGTGAAAACTGGAGACCATTGCATTTGTGTTTCGGCAAGTTTCAAACAAAACATCAAAAACAGACTTTGCTTACATGTGTCAATGCATGAAGAAGTAGACTGTAAAATGGCCGGCAATGGTCTTCTTCGAGAAATGCAGATGCAAGGATGTAAAAAAAAAGTTGTACTGCCAAGATTTTTTTTAATTGGAATTATTTTTAGTTATTATTTATATGTGAGGGCATAATAATTTCTTTCTTTCTTATGGTTTGTATTAGTCCATTCTCATGCTGCTAATAAAGACGTACCCAGGACTGGGTAATTTATAAAGGAAAGAAGTTTAATTGACTCACAGTTCCACATGACCGGGGAGGCCTCAGCAAACTTACAATTATGGTGGAAGGGGAAGCAAACATGTTCTTCTACATGGCAGCAGGAAGGAGAAGTGCCCAGCTAAAAGGGGGAAAAGCCCCTTATAATGCCATCACATCTTGTGAGAACTCACTCACTATTATGAGAACTGCATGAGGGTAACCGCCCCCATGGTTAAATTACTTCCCACCAGGCCCCTCCCATGACACATGGGGATTATGGGAGCTCCATTTAAGATGAGATTTGGGTGAGAACACAGCCAAACCATATCACAGTTTTCTGGGGTCCTATCCAGGCCCAGGATCTCTGTCTGAGAGAAACACTTTGCATCTCCACGTTTCTGTCTTCATTACCCTCATTAGCACCTACTCAGTCGCTAACCCGCTGAATGTGACATCCTTTCATTTTTATGTTTGCCTTCATTCTTATCTTTGCTTTTCAAAACGTTTTCCTTTGCTGATGAGCTTTTTAGTACTTTGCCTTGCTTCCTTTGCTTGCTAACAATAAACTAATATAAGAGGAGTTTAAGAAAACCTTGGGTATGTGTTAGAAATTTATAAGCAATAACAGGAACAAAACATGTCATTTATCGATAGCATATGTGATTGAATTCCTTTCATCTGTTATAAATCACCTTAATTTCAAACATGCAAAATAGGTCCACTGTTCTACCTTATTAGAAGAATTAGGGTCCTGAGGTTCAAAGAGGTTTACTTACTTGTCCAAGGCTGTATGGTTAGTGACGCTTCAAACCAGAACCCAATCCCAAATGACTGAAGCTAAAAATCAAGCATTTTCCACTGTGAGCCTGCATCTCGTGTTTAAAGCTGATTCACATATAAGAGGTTGTGTCATTAAGGGCTCATCCATCCACAGATGTGTGCTTTCATTCAATAAACATGGCTTTCCTGCTGGTGAGAGGCCAGGCATCTACTCCAACACATCCCAAGGAGCTTCACTAAGAGTGAGGAGATTCCAGAAACGTACACACATGCACACGTGCACTCCCAATGTCATTCCTGATGTTTTGAAACGCACATAGAAATGCTCTAAAATCAATTTTTAAAAGCTTGTGAAATTTGTACAGATGTTGGGGCTCAGATCATAGGCATTAAAATGTACATTTATATTTTGGACAGGTAATCATTGAGTGATTTCCTTCAAGAACTTGCCAGGCTAAAAATGATATTAACATTACTATAGAATAATGCCACTTTAAACACATGTGGCAAACACTGATGGAACAACTATTGTATGTTAAAGAGATTGGCAGATAAAATTTTGGCTGACGACTTGGAGTTTTGAATTCCAGTCACACATCTGTTCTCCCATCCTCAAAAAGCTGAATCACCTGGGGCCTTGTTTTCTCATATATCAACTTAATGATGACTATAATTCTGCCTAGCTCCACAGCTCTGTTATTCTAAAATGAAAAACAGCAAACACACCATTGTAGGACTACAGAATCTTTATTTATCATTCACTCTTTCAACTACAAATAATAAGAACCTACATTTGATCAGTTATAGCAATGGGAAAAACACACAAACACCCAAACAGTAATGTTCTGCTCTCCTGAAAGTTCCATTCTCATTAACAGAGATTAGCAATAAGCAAATACAGAAATAACTGTATAGCCTGTCAGAAGGCAGTAATTACTATGGAGAAAAAAAAAGAAATAGAAGAAAAGGGAAAGGGGATGTCAGAAAGAGCCTGATGGAGTGGGGAGCCAGCCTTGCCGTCATTTGAGGACCAAGGTTGGGAGGCAGAGGTAGAGACAGCTGTGACACCCAGAGGCAGGAGTTCTGTGCATGGACCTGATGGAGGGAGGAGTGGGGTGCTCATAATGGCAAGTGAGTGGTAGTGGGTATAGTCACAGCAGGGGACGCAGAGTGATGGAGCATGCAACCCTTGTAGACAGACCATTCTAGGGTCTTTATTTAGATGCATGGAAGCCATTGGAAGCTTTGAGCAGAGGGGGCCATGACTTAGTACAGGTCAAAGAGTCACTCTGGCTGCTGCACTGAGGACAGACAGTGGGAGGAGGAGCCCCTGGGGAGCTGCTTGTGGGGAATCACAGTAAACCAGCAGGAAGTTCACAGTGAAAACGGTGTGGGGTGAAGAATGGTCAGATTCTGGATTCACTTTCAAGATGGAGCCAAAGGGACTTGCTGGTTAAATTGAAAGTAGAATGTGAGAGAAAGACAAGCGTCAGGAACGTCTTCCATGCTTTTTGACTGAGCTACACAAATGGGGTCTGAAGGGCTGTTGTTGTGGGAAGGTTGAGGGCAAAGCTAGTGGGAAGAAAACCAGGAGAGGATGAGGCAACAGAAGTCCAATGAAGGTGGGGCTTCAAGGGAGAGTTGTGAACTCTTCCCAGTGCAGCTGATGGGGTAAGTGGCATTAAGAACTGACATTTTTATTTGATGTAGCCATGTGGGGGCCATCGTGACATTCCAAAGGGGTGTTTCAGGAAGAAAGACTGATGAGAGATTATTCAACAGCCAAGGGAAAGAGAGAAGTTGGAGCCATAGACATGCCCCCTTTTGAAGAGTTTTTCTTAGGAAGGGATCAGGGAAACTGAACTGTGGCTGAAGTCATGGCATCACGTTTCTTGATTTTACAAAAAAATATTGGCAGTGTCTTTCTATGCACATGGAAATGATGTAGTTATGAAAAGTGATGCAGGAGAAATGTGGAAGAAAGGATGGGGATTTCGGGAGGGCATGAGGGGCGCCTTGCCTTTGCCTGGAAGATGGGCAGGTCTCGTACGGCAATGAGAGAAGCAGAGAACAGGATGGAGTCTCACCAGAGCTGGAAGATGCTGTATTTAAAGTGTATTAAGGACATAAACAGACACTTCCCAAAAGAAGATTTTGAAGCATCTTTCTGCCACCATGCAGGCACTTACAAAATGGAAAGAGAGATGTATTTTATTAGGCATTTTATTTATTTGTCCCTACAGGGAAGAACAAACAAGTTTTTTCTACTGAGAGAAGGAATGCCAAAGGTTAATCTGAAAGTTTGAGAAGAGAAAATAAGATGATGAATAAAGCCGCTATAAGCATCTATGTGCAGCAGGCTTTTGTGTGGACATAAGTTTTCAACTCCTTTGGGCAAATACCAACAGGCATGTTCTGAGGCTTTGGCCATTTTAATAGGTGGGTGAAGGTATCTCGTTGTTTTTTTTTTTTGAGACGGAGTCTTGCACTGTCACCCAGGCTGGAGTGCAGTGATGCGATCTCAGCTCACTGCAACCTCCACCTCCCAGATTCAAACAATTCTCTTGCTTCAGCCTGTCAAGTAGCTAGGATTACAGGTGCACACCACTACTCCTGGCTAATTTTTTGTATTTTTAGTAGAGATGGAGTTTCACTATGTTGGCCAGGCTGATCTCAAACTCCTGACCTCATTATCCACCCACCTTGGTCTCCCAAAGTGCTGGGATTACAGGCATGAGTCACTGTGCCTGGCCTCATTTTTGTTTTAATTGTTTGCCATATTTTTACTTCCCTATAGTGTCAGACTACATAGCTTCTATGTACTGATGATTTCCAAACATCTTTTTTTTTCTAGTTCACTAATCCTCTCGTTATTAACTCAGATTTAATGTTTCTTTATTTAACTTTTAGTTTCAGGGGTACATGTGCAGGCTGGTTCTACAGATAAATTGTGCATCATGGGGGTTTGGCGTACAGATTATTTTGTCACTCAGGTAATGAGCATAGTACCTGATCAGTGGTTTTTCCATCCTTCCTTCCTCCCCACATCCTCATGCGGGCTCTAGTGTTTCCTGTTTCCCTCTTTGTGTACTCGTGTACTCAGTGTTTAGTGCCCATTTTCAAGTCAATGGGACTTAATTCAACTAAAGAGCTTCTGTGCAGCAAAAGAAACTGTCAGCAGAGTAAATAGACAACCCACAGTAAAGGAGAAAATCTTGGCCGACTATTCATCTGACAAAGGTCTAATACCCAGAATCTCCAAGGAACTTAAACAAATTAACAAGCAAAAACAAACAACCCTGTTAAAAAGTGGGCAAAGGACATGAACAGACACTTCCCAGAAAAAGATATTCAAACATCTTTCTGTCACCATGCAGGTCTTTCTAACCAGAACTGGCATTTCTGTTCTCTTAAAGATCTGAAGTTTAGGCTGGGCGCAGTGGCTCATGCCTGTAATCCCAGCATTTTGGGATGCTGACGTGGGCAGATCACCTGAGGTCAGGAGTTTGAGACCAGCCTGGCCAACATGGTGAAACCCCCAGATCTACTAAAAACACAAAAATTAGCCAGGTGTGGTGACAGGCGCCTGTAATCTCAGCTACTCGGGAGGGAGGCTGAGGCAGGAGAATCTCTTGAACCCAGGAGGCGGAGGTTGCAGTGAGCCGAGATTGTGCCACTGTACTCCAGCCTGGGCAACAGAGCAAGACTCCATCTCAAAAAAACAAAAAAAAAAAGAAAGAAACAAAGAAAAAGAAAAAAAAAAAGATCTGAAGTTCAAAATTTCTTCAAATTACTTATTTACCTGCATAACTAATTTCATCTTCATAAGTCTTTGACTTGTTGGAACACAGTTATTTCAAAGGTACTCCTAACACCACACTATCCCTCCCATCACCCCCTCTTCCTGCTGCCCACATTTTTTTGACCACAAGCAAATTGTGCACATGAAAGCAACATAGCACAATGTTTATGAGCAGTGGCTTCACAGTGAAACACAGCAGAGTCTCCCGTGGGCGCAGCCGTTTTCTACAGCCGTATGGCCTTGGTCAAGACACTTGGATCCTCAGTTTCCTCAGATGTGAAATAAGCTCTGTAATTAAAAGTTGCTCAGCAGGAGAAAGTCAGGCAATACATACACAGCAGTAAGCACAAAAATCGTCTCCCACCAAATACTAGCACTCGTTCGTATTGAAAGCATGACCGTCTCTTCTAAGCTGAGCTCATCGCAAATTTTCCCTGCCTTTCCTCCCCTCCTTGATTTCTCCAGCTACGGCTGCATCGTCTTCCAGTGGACTGTCGTGCTGGGTGCTTACCTTTTTGAGTCCCTCCAGTTCTCCCTCCTGTTAGCTTAGACCTTTTAAAGAAATGTCCTTCCCTAACACAAGGCTAATGATATCATTTTATGCCTAACTATCTTCCTTAGAAACCAAAATGAAAATCAAGTCCACGCTTCTTTAAGAAACTCTCAAAGATTTTTGTACTTAATTTGGGTCCCACTGACTTTGTGACTTGTCTACGCTTGCAGAGCCGGCAAAGCGTGTTTGTTCAGCAATCCCAGCTCAACATCAGGCAGCCCCTGCTGCGCAGCTCCATCTGCTGGTGACACCTGCACACATCCCTGGAGCACCTGCTCACATCCCAGCTGTTCTCACAGGCCCCAATTCTCCATTTACACCTATGCACCTGCTCCCTTCGGGCGCTTCTGCACACCGCACTGTAGGGAGCATTCACCTGCTTTTCTCCTTTATGCTCCTCCAAACAGGAAGGCTCCAGTAGCCATTAAAGTGGATGGAGCATAGCTAATTTTCCAAATCGTATTGATGATGTCATCCACATTGCAAATAACTATATGGAATGTGAACAACATTAAACACTTCACCTTTCAGTACAGAGCGAATTCTAAGTATGACATAAGGTCATTAGAAGACTGTACATTTTGACGAGATTCAAGTTGCTATGATCATTAAAAGTAAAAGGGACTAGGAAATAACGGTGAACCTAGGAGTGCATTGATAACAATGAAATGCATATCTTTTGTCTATTTAAATGTTAAATCGGCGATTTCAGCATATTCTCTTTAGTAATCTCAGTGGGTTTGTAGTTACTCTGACAAATCTAATATCTTTACAATGTAGATATTCAACCAGCTTATCTATTTGACTGGATGGTACTGTGTTATCTGAATCTATTTTCCTTCTATTTGCTCAAGTGCAGTAGATGTCGCAAGTCATAATTTAAAACTTTGCCATTTGCTAATTCCTCCTTCCATCTGGCTGGATAATCTGAGCTTTTCCTTGTGTCTCCTCTATGTGTCTACCGCCCCAGGCCACAGGTTGAGAGTCTTTTTCCCGAAACTTGCCCTTCATGTCTTCCTCCTTTGACACCTGCTCAAAATGCTTCCCCCTTCAGTCACCACTGACCCCAAACCCTGACCATCTAGGATAAAAGTAGGTGTCAATGATATTTTAGTAACTGGCTGATCTAGTTTTGTTACAGGTTGATCAGAATGAATTTGAATTTTTTTTTTCTAAAAAGAGTGTTTTATGTTTCTAAACTCGAGTAGAGGACTACGCTAAATGACACTGCGGTTCCTTTCTATTTCTTCTTCTTTTATGTAGTAGAATTTAAGATTTTAAGAAAGCTGCACTGAAATATTCATATAAAAAGAAAATTTCCATATGAAGCAGAAAAATCGAATCCAATCCAAGTCTTTTTTTTTTTATAATACTGCATTTTTAAAGTCAATATTTGCCAAGAATCCTATTCATTTTTTTTTCTGTTTCTTTTATGAAAGCTCATTTATTTCAAGGGCAGAATCTATTTGAATCAGCCATCACTCTTCTTTTACAATAAGTACTGAATTTCATTAGATGTTAGGGCAATGACCTGGTTATGTATACTTCATTTATTGTCAAGTTTATCTATGGCTCTGCCACAATAAATAACAATAAAATGTTATGAAAAAGGCCTATGATAGAGGCACTACTTGTGGACTATTTAAATCAAAGTACAGTATTACTTTCCTCTTTTTTAATTTTTTTATTTTTATGTATTTATTTTTGAGATGGAGTCTTGCTCTGTCACCCAGGCTGGAGTGCAGTGGCACGATCTTGGCTCACTGCAGCCTCCTTCTCCCGGGTTCATGTGATTCACTTGCCTCAGCCTCCCGAATAGCTGGGATTACAGGCACCCACCACCATGCCCAGATAATTTTTTTATTTTTACTAGAGACACTGTTCACCCTGTTGGCCAGGCTGGCCTTGACCTCCTGACGTCAGGTGATCTGCCCAGGTCGACCTCCCAAGTGCTGGGGTTACCACCGTGAGCCACTGCACCTGGCCAGTATTAATTTCCTATTTGCAGCTGGGTGATCATCCAGTGCATGGTTTCCCAGGTGGAATGGAAATATCAGTGATACTGGCCTGGCAAATCAAGAAATCCATCACCAATCTCACTTCCTAGGTAAGCAGTGACATTTCTTGCTCTTCTGTGTGATCTTGGAATGTCCAAGATGCTGAGTGCCAATGTCACACAGATGTATGCCAATTGCCACCAATGTCACACAGATTTATGCCAATTCCAACCAGTGTCACACAGATGTATGCCAGTTCCGACCAGTGTCACACAGATGTATGCCAGTTCCCACCAAACCAACGAAACAAACAATTTTGAGGGAAGATGTGACAATCATTCACGACTACTAACTTAGCGGAAAATACTGAAATGTCATCTTACTGAATGAATTTGATTAAATGTCACTTTAGGAATCTACCTTCAAAAATGGTTTTAAAAAATTCTTGTGAAAATGAGCTATGAAGTGAGGTCTTTGAAGGGATCTGATTTGGATTGGGGCCTTAAAGAGCACTCAAAATTCCCTATTGGTTCTGAAACACAAGACTTCACATCCCTCAGACATGGCTGCTGCGGCTCGTGGTTCTGTCTGCACTGCATTTTGCATTTTGCTAACCCAGATGGGGTTTCATATTTGTTTAATGGGCTTTATGTTCAGCATGTGTGTTAAATAATTGGTTTCTCAAAAGTGAAAAAAAAAATGGGTCTCCCTTTGTCCCCTTCAGTCAGTAATTTTTTTCTTCCTCCTTTATAATAAGTCCCAGGTTTATTATTAGCTCTTTTGTGACACTCTGTGGCCTCTATTCTGCAATAACTCACTTGAGCATGGAGTTGCTGCCAGGCCTCTGGCCACACGGTAATAGCTCACCACTTTTGTCATCATCTGGTGTTCAATTTTGATGGCAAGGGGACACATCCTGCCAAATAAATCAGTCCATGCTCTGGTCTCATTTTAAAAGATTTTCAGGTTGTAGCAACAAAAGCTGTACTTTTGGCATAAAACTAGTTCAAACTTAAACCAATCCCTCAATGTATTGGTTACCAGTCACCAATGTCAGGAATTTACCCTAAAGAGTGGCCATATTAGGACAATACTTTTCGATTTTCTTAAAAGTAATTCAATTTATCATAGATAATGACAGATACGATTCAAAAATACTTACACTCAATGCCATTTTAAAAAAAGTAATTTTTCTAAAATTCTGTCATATGGTGAGTGGTTTCACCCAAGCTACAGATATTTAAAAGGCCTTATTTAACATGGAATGATTATGGTTTTCTCACATGACGGAAAATATTTTCATGGCGAGCAACTTTCATCGAGAGATAAACAGAACAAAAATAGATGATACGACCAGAGTGACTGCAGAATTAGTTCAGGCCATCTGATTTGGGAAAGGCCAGATACATGTGATGTAAAGAGCTCAAGCAGTGTGATGCAAATATTGGAAACCCCATAACGGTCCAATGCCGTCCCAGAGCACACCAGAGGTGCAAAGGCGGGAGGGAAATTCTCTGTACTCACAGGAAGCCTTCCAATTGAGATTTAGAATTGTCTTTGTTTTTTTTTCCATGAACTTCTGTTTTAAGTTCTGTGGTACGTGTGCAGGATGGGCAGCTTTGTTATATATGTAAATGTGCGCATAGTCACACGCACAATGTCACCTTCTGTGCACACCCCAATCCCAGGCCCCACACAGAGTCCCCCTCTGTGCACCTCACTCCCAGGCCCCACACAGTGTCCCCCTCTGTGCACACCCATTCCCATGTCCCACACGGAGTCTCCCTCTGTGCACCTCACTCCAGGGTCCCACACAGTTTCCCCCTCTGGGCACCTCACTCCAGGTTCCTCACAGTGTCCCCCTCTGTGCACCTCACTCCCAGGTCCCACCCAGTGTCCCCGTCTGTTCACACCCCATTCCCATGTCACACACAGTGTCCCCCTCTGTGCGCCTCACTCCCAGGTCCCACCCAGTGTCCCCCTCTGTTCACACCCCATTCCCATGTCACACACAGTGTCCCCCTCTGTGCGCCTCACTCCCAGGTCCCACACAGTGTCACCGTCTGCACATCTTGTTGTCAGGTACTTGTCTATCTTCCCTGGCAGCACGTCTTCCACCTCATGGCTCGTACCCCACACACTGCAGCCATAGCTTCTGGTTCTTGCCCTTGCTGTATTGCTACAGTCCCTCAATAGAGCACATGTATTTCTAAAATGTAAAATAAGTATTATTTTTGCTAAAGAATATTAACTCATCCATGAGTTAAAAGTAATTTGGATAGCCCCGTCAAATACATTTTCAAGCATTATATTCTCAGCTTTGATTTTCCTCAGTAGCTTGACTCTCTAAGGATAGCTCTCAATATTTCTTTCCATCATTGAGGTTCCAGTCCAAATTTGTAATTCAGAGGAATGTCTGTGATCCAGAAAGTTAAGAAAATTATTTCCCAAGCTGATTATGATTTGGAATTTAATATCGCCTGGTTTATCCTAGCAGAAGTTATTGTTTCTTTTTGTTGTAGTTAACCATAGAAATAATAACACTATTCATAATCATGTCTCATAATTTCTTTGTACATAACTTTTAAGAGGAGTTTATAGTCTGGTTTCTAAACATACTAATTATTTCTACATGTGTGGTCTTGGGTGTCCTCTGTGGCATTCCGGACTTACTCTCGAGGTGGGAGAACTAGAAAGGGCCATATGAAGACGTATCCTTCATGACAGGTGCTGTCCTGAAGGTGGCTGCAGAAGGAGCAGCTCAGAGCAAAGGCAGAAACGCCAGCCAGGGGGAGCCTGCAGGGCAGGGAGGCCCATGAGGTCGGGAGCTGGCAGCAGAGGCAAGGAAAGAGTGACAGAACTGGCTGCCTGCAAGATTCACAGCAAATGCAGACATGCACCGTGTAAGACACAGAAACACTGTGCTCAGAAAGCCAAGTCCTAAAGCAAGGCACATATGGGCTAGGTTTTTTAATTTTTTTAATATTTTTTAATTTTAATTTTTATTTATTTTTTATTTTGAGATGGAGTCTTGCTTTGTTGCCCAGGCTGGAGTGCAGTGGTGCGATCTTGGCTCACTGCAACCTCCACCTCCCAGGTTCAAGTGATTCTCCTTCCTCAGCCTCCCGATTAGCTGGGATTACAGTGCACCATGCCCAGCTAATTTTTGTATTTTTGGTGGAGATGGGGTTTCACCACGTTGGCCAGGCTGGCCTCGAACTCCTGACCTCAGGTGATCCTCCCACCTCAGTCTCCCAAACTGCTGGGATTACAGGAGTGAGCCTCTGTGCCTGGCAAGGGTCTTTCAGATGTAGAGTCCAGAAGCAGGTGTCAAGAAATGGGTAGACAACTGCAAGACACATGTAAACTCCTGCACTTCTACTTCACAGCAGGAGGAGCCCATCTAGCCTCTGCTGTCCCAGGTGGGCCTTAAGAGGAAATTGGCCGGCAAAGCTGGCAGAGGTTTTGTTACTTAACTACTCACGGCTCACTGTTCAAAAGCGGGTCCAGAACCTGCCAGGATAACATCTGGAGGCTTTTTCCTGTATCTCCATTTAGAAGAAGTCAAGGCCACCAAGGCCCCCTGAACCCTGGAATGCACCTGACAAGTCACGTGGCCTCCTCGCAGCCCTGCGGTAGATCTTGGCAAGGAAAACCTTGAACCTGGTGGCAGGGGTGTATAGTCCTCTTCTTTAACCCCGCAGCCGTGGCTGGCAGCTGCACGAAGGTGCTATACAAAGGCTCCACTGTGGTTTGAGCACTAGAGTAGCAGGTTAAGATGGTTTTTCCAACAGTAATTTTTACATCACAGAATAACTAAATAACTGTCGTCCTTAGTACAGGCTTCCCTGTCAAAGAACGCTTGGCCATTGTGGAGATTATAAATGATAGTGGCCCTTAGAGTGACAAAATGCATATAGTCACAGTTTTATACAAAAATTCTTTTAAGTTCTATACAGAGTACAATACTCGTAATTTTGAATATTATACAATTTGTGTAATGACATAATAGATCCAGTTAAATATACTGTAGTATGTGATTTAATTAGGGGGTTATGTTCTGCAATTGAATTATTCAAGGATTTTAAGGATTTTACTGTGTAAAATATGTGAGTACATTTATGAGGATTCCAATTTGCTGGACTTTCTCATTGGTGGTGATCATCTTCAACTTCTGCAGATGGTTTTGTACATTTCTCAAATTTTCTGTTGCCTTAAGGATACCTCAGGAGCCCACCTACAAGAATCTGGTCTGCAGCAGAGTGTGTTTTCCAGCCCATTGACACATGTCAGTCATAGGCTCAGGATAACTAGACTAACATGAGGCATTACATGGGAGGATCAAAAGAGGACACCCTGATACAGATATTAATAGAACATCACGAACTTTTCATTGGCAGCAGCAGGAGTGCAAGGTGGACAGCTGATTTGCCCCTACAGTTGGGCTGTAACAGAGAGAAATATTCGTCCAATGACAGATTGAGATATATGCCTCCAAGATTTCAGATGAAGCACCTCATTGGCGAATTGGAAAGAGAGATCCTAGTTACTTCACATATCTGTGTCAGCAAAGCTGTAGGCACCCCCTTCCCTGGGGCAGGTGCACCTCACAGCAGTCCTGTGAGAGGAGACACAATTTGCCTAGAAAATAAGCAATGCAGTGCCGTGCACTCAAGCATGGAATGGAATTCATTCATGACTGCGGCCTCCTCATGGTAACTCGTTTTTCTAGGTAAGTGTTTTCCTCAATCAAGAACTGCAGAGTAAGAGCCATGGTTAGTTACCATTCCGTTCCATTATCGTTTGTGTCTTTATTTCATTTTATTTCACTTTGCCAATTATGTACTCTTAAATTTTCAAATCTTAAATCTTTTTGAGATGAGAATCCTTTTCTCTGCCTACGTGAGTCTACAGTGCTCACTGAATGGAGAAACATAAGTTAACACATGAAAGTACGAGTAGACAACTTACTTGGAATTTTGTTGAGAAAGGGCTGGAAATAAGCACAGTGTTCATTCGATGAGTTGAATGAACCAAGCATTGTGTGGGGACTGGAGCTATCTAGAGAAAAGGTCCTCGCTGAGCACTCAGGCTAGCAGGGCTGTAAAACCCAAGGACGTCAGGACACATGGCGTGATGATGAAGTGAAGGAGGCCCGGATGGTGCTTGGAATAGAGGTGCCCGGTGACACAGGCATTCAATAAATATCCAGTGAGGTGATAAGTGAATCGGTACATCTATAAATAAGTGAAAAGAGGAGCTCAGAGAAGACTCAATCCGTGCGAATGGGAGGGATGCCTGAAGGCTTTATGAAGAAAATGTGCTGGGAAAATGCATTCCAGGTCATTGACAGACATTTTGCAAAGGGATCATCAGCCTAAACTCACCTCTCAGATTTTTCAGTGATTCTGGAACTCCTGAATAAAATGATGTCACTATTTCAATCCTATTAGTTTTCCTCCTTTTACCATTATTTCAACAGTATTTGACTAAGAATTGCTCAGTACCTTGGAAGCCTGTTTGTGGGAATTGATTCAGGCCTCTGAAGAAGCTGAGGGCTCCAGGCATGTTTGCAGGGGTAAGGGTTTGCTTCTCTCCGGTGCCTGGAGCTTGACTGTAAGTTTTTGACTTGAAGTCAGGTTGCAAACTGGCTTCGGACTTTCCCATGCTTCATATTCTCCTGACCATGCCCCCTCAACACTGGAGTTGTAGATGCTGCATTTCCTGGTGACACTGCTACTAACGGCGAATGGATTCATTTCTGATTTACCCCAGACTGGGGGTACAGCTTTTTGAGGCTCACCTTTGCAGTCAGGGAGAAAATCTCCAATTGGATTTCCCTTACTTAGTGGGTTCTGGTTTCAGACGCTGGAGCCTGTGAGAACCAACACTCACATTTTACCTTGCGGGGAAAGACAACTTCAGTGGTCTACTTGTGGCTTTCTCTTACCCTAAAGGTAAGAATTCCTTACTTAATTGCCAGCAAGTGGTGGCGTTTAAGAAATTATTGAATTTTATCTGGATTTGAGGTTGATTCCATGAGGAGGTATGGCCCAGGGATCCAACTTGCTGTGGTATCAAAAATGCATGTGATGATCATTTTTAAAGCAAAAGGAGACTTTTTATCCCCAGTTTGTGCATAATATATTTCTAAGGAGTTAGTAAGAAAATGCAAAGTCTGATTCCCAAACCAAGAATTTCTTCATAAGCAGAATTTAAACCTGACTTCCACCTTGAATTTACATTTTTGGAATCCTGTAAGACTTAGATATGAATTGAAACACACGCACACACACACACACACACACACACACACACACACACACGGAAGCTTCAGTATTCCCCTCCAAGGTCCAGAGTCTCAAACACCCTCCCACACATGTGGACATTAGCATAATGGGCAATGAAATAGAGACAATGAGATATTTTGTGTGAAATTGCCTTCCATTGTAGATTTAATATCAATGCAGATTTCTCTCATTTAATATTTGATTTATAAGTCTGATGATAACACCATGTTTTTCAAATTCTCTATCATAAATCAATCTTCTGTAACATATTTACAATGTCTACAATCATACAGGAGAATGGGTCTTTTTCACCTGTTTTATTATAGATGCGTGTGTTGCATGATGTCTCATTAACCCTTCAACTCCACTCATTCTTCCTGAGGGTCATTTCCTACGCAGTTCATAAATGTAGACTTGTAGACGAGTTAAAGTTTATGTGCTTAAGATTTTAAACCATAGTGGTTTCACAAAGAAGGAATAAGTGTGCCTCAAAGAAAATAGATCTTTGTATCTACTTGAAAAGAAATTTGGTCCCAGAAGCTTAAAATATTTATGTAATGGTTTTAAGTTTATAACATATACCAAGAGTATCTTATTTGAGAAAAAAATCTTTTGAAGACATAAGTTTCATATCTTTTTAAAAATTAATAGACTTTCTTTTCTGAGCAGTTTTAGGTTTACAGAAAAATTAAACAGAAAGTACAGAGTCCCTTGTATCCTCTGACACCACCCCTGGGTCTCCATTCTGTCAAAATCCTGCACTAGTGAGGTGCATTTGTTACAACTGATGAACTAGCATGATACTTTTTAGTAATTAAAGTCTTCAGTTTGCTTTAGGGTTCACTGTTGGTGTTGTAGGGCTCTAGAAGTTTTAACAAATGTATAATGACATGTACCCACAACTATGGTATCATACAGGGTAGTTTCACGGCCCGAAAAATCCTCTGTGCTCTGCCTGTTCATCCCTCTCTTCCCGCAAACTCCAGTAGCCCCCAATCTTTTTACTGTCTTCATGGATTTCCTTTCCAACAAATGTCGTAGAGTTGGAATCGCACAGTATGTAACCTTTTCAGATGGGCTTCTTTCACTTAGTAGTGTGCATTTGTATTAGTTCATTCTCATGCTGCTAATAAAGACATACATGAGACTGGGTAATTTATAAAGGAAAGCAGTTTAATGGACTCAGTTCTGTGGGCTGGGGAGGCCTCAGGAAACTTACAATCATGGTGAAAGGGGAAGCAAACAGGTCCTTCTTCACATGGTGACAGAAAGGAGAAGTTCTGAGCAATGGGGAAAAGTCCCTTATAAAACCATCAGATCACGTGAGAACTCACTCACTATCATGAGAACAGCAGCATGCGGGTAGCTGCCCCCATGATTCAGTTACCTCCCACTGGGCCCCTCGCATGACATATGGGGATTATGAGAACTACAATTCAAGATGAGATTTGGGTGAGGCCACAGCCAAACCATATCAACATTCAAGGTTCCTACATGCCTTTTTGTGGCCATGATAGCTCATTTGTTTGTCTTTCTTTCTCCTTTTTCCTGTTTTAGAGACAAAGTCTTGCTCTGGCACCCAGGCTGAAATGCAGTGGCATGGTCATAGCTCACTGTAACCTTGAACTCTACTCCAACAATCCTCCTGCCTCAGCCTCCTGAGTAGCTAGTACTACGGGTGTGCATTACCACGCCTGGCTAAGTTTTTTGGTTTTGAAACAGGATCTCACTATGTTGCCCAGGCTGGACTTGAACTACTGGCTTCAAACAATCCTCCAGCCTTGGTTTTCTAAAGTGTTAAGATTACAAATGTGAACCACGGCCCCTCGCCTCCCTTCTTTATATCACTGAATAACATTCCATTGCACGAATGTACCACAGCTTGTTTATTCATTCACCTATTAAAGAAATCTTCGTTGCTTCCAACTCTTGCCAATTATGAAGAAAGCTACTATACACATCCATGTGAAGGTTGTTGTGTGGACATAAGTTTTTAGCTTACTTAAGTAGATATCTAGGACTATGATTGCTGGATCATATAATATGTTTAGTTTTATAAGAAATCGTCAAACTGTGTTCCAAAGCCACTGTGCTATTTTGCCTTCCCACCAGCCATGCATGAGAGTTCCTTTTGCTCCACATCCTCACCAGCATTTGGTATTGTCAGTGCTTTGGATTTTAGCCATTCTAGTAGGTGTGTTCAGTATCTCATTATTTTAACATGAGCTTTTCTAAAGTCTCTTTCATTTACTTAGTTCCGATCAGCATATTTTTTTTTTTTTGGTGATATGTACAGATTGTTTGTCCATGTTTTAATTGGGTTATTTTCTTATTGCTGAGTTTTAAGGATTCTTTGTATATTTTGGGTATCAGTGTTTTATCAGACACACCTTTTAAAAACACTTGCTGCTAGTCTCTGGCTTGTCTTCTTATTGTACGAACAGTGTCTTTTGCAGAGCAGAGGTCTCTAATTTTAATGAAGTCCATTTTTTTCTTTCTGGTAAATTACACTCCAGGCAAGCTGAGCTCAAATCATTGACCAGAAGCATTTTAAATAGAATTTTCCCCTATGTGTATGAAGTCAATACTAAGGCAGCGTGCAGAAAACTCTCTTCCTGCAGGGACACGTGACGATATTCATGTCTGTGCAAAGGACAGCCTCACTCTCTGATGGTCTGATAGTGTGACTATCCACTATGCCTGGCCCACACAGCAAGCCAGACAGCCTTCAGCACCTCCGTATGCCTGACTACAGGCTCTGCATCCCTCCAGCAAGGTGGATATGTGCTGTTCCAGGCCAAGTCTTACAGACGGGTTGGGGTGGTAAGTCAGAGCTGGTTAAGTGATTCGGTCGCCTGGGTGAGCAAGCTGTGGCAAGAATCATAGCATCCTCCCATGGGCCCTGAGCCTGGGGCAGGATCTTAGAGCAGTGGTTCTCTGATTCTGGGATTTCAGGGCACGTGAGAATCACCTGCAGGGCTCCTGATAACTCAAATGCAGGACCCCCCATCCCCCAGTGGCTGATCCTGGAGACCTTGAATAGGGCTCCCTCTGAGTTTCTAAAGAACCATCAACTCTCACCAATGCCGATACCTCTTTCTGGAAACAGCATCAGAGGCATGGCTGGCTTTCTATTTCTTTCTTTCCCGTATGACAGCCTGGCCCACCCAGGCTCTATTCTGGGTATGAATGCACCGTCATAAGATTATCTTTCTTTTTAAAATGAAACCAGTATCTGATGAGTGAGCCAGGCCATGGAATAGTCCAGAACAATTCAAATATGGCTTAATATGGTAGGACCAACTCTTCACTGATTTTCTTCACTGATTTCACACGATACACACAGAGGTTCATGTGCTTTTAGAAACCCTTTTGGTTTATCATCCTCACACGTCTATGCACCCTAGGAATTATATATAAGATGTAGGGAAATAAAGGGGAGATTAATGTTATTAACCTAAGCCTGACTTTACCATAAAGCTTGAATAATGCAATTATGTCAGTGACAAGAAATCGTTCATCCGGATTTCCAATGCCAGAGTGATGCCAGAAGCGCTGAGCGAGTTGTCTGTCTTCTTTGTGCTGGTGTGGTCTGGCTTCTGAAAGGAAAACTAAACTCTACCCCTTAATTTATAGAAACTGGACTGAATTCTAATTTTCTTGCTGAATTATGCAATGTTTCACATTTTATTTTACAGTAGATATTAGAATTGAATGAAAATGTATCCCTGTTTTTCTAATAAGAGGCTATCACTATAACATGGCTTTTGTGGTCTTGTGTATGTGCACAAGTACACACACAGATAAGCATATGCACAGCTATTTATTCTCTTTTTGATTCCTTTTTTCTCCTCATCTGCATTACCTTTCCTCTTCCATTTTTGCCTTTTTCAAAATCTGCTCCTCTACTCTTGTCTTTGCTTCAGATGAGCATTAATGTCTTTAGTCACTGGATCTTTGCATCTGAGGCTGGTACACTTGCCTACATTAAATCAAAATGCATTCAGATAGGAAGTTTAGAATTACAGAACATTCTGTGTAGCCCAAGACTTTCAAAATCTATTTATGCAAAACCCTAGAGTGAATGTTATCACAACTATATTTACTGCTTGTTTCAGGACTTTTGTGCTGACTTCAATGTGGCACGGGGGAAATTTTAATACCTGCAGGGGTTGAGCTTGTGTTGAGGTGATGTCCCACTAACAAAGGACATTAATTGGTTTATGGAGAAAAAGTAAATGTAAGAAATATAATAAATAGCAAGGATATTATAGGAAAGCACTTTCTACACATTGAGAAGGTCTCCATGCACTTATGGGTCTGCCAGGGGGACGCAGACTCACAAGCAGCAAAGGGTGTGGACATACAGTGGGAGAACATCGCAGGTGGTATTTAGATTGCTGCACTTATTTGTGTTAATTTCAAAATGCAGGAGTGCTGCAACTGTGGGTTTCCTTTGTTAAGCAAAAGAGGGTGAGTTTTTTGAGCTGTCAAGAGCCTTTTGTCTCAGTAAGTGACAGATGTGACTAATCTTTTCACTCCAATATCCAATTTATTATTTCAGAAAATGCTGTGATAGTTGACCACCTTTAGTGAGTAGCAAGGACTTCATCCTTCAATAATCAAACTATGATATCATAATAAATTTTTAATAAAAATGTGATGCATAAATGGAAATGATCAATTTCCCATGTTAACTTAGAAAAAAAAGAGTACCTTTATATCAGCAGACATCTAACCACTTATTTTGATTACAGTTAGAAAATGTGATGGAAAGCCTTTATTTTCTTCTGTAAGTAGGTGTCTGTATGTGTAAGAAGCCCAGATGTAAGGAATAAAGACAATTTATGTAACTTCTTAATGATGCACAAAAATCATACTGAAGCAGTTGAATCTAATTGCTTCTGGAATCTGTTGCACCGCTGAGCTACATTGTTATGGATCTGAAAAAACAGAAAGGTATCCATGACTTTCATACTTTGTAATCAGTGCTGTTTATTTCCTCTTTTCAAATCTGCTGGCTGTGAAAATGGACAATGCACACATCCTGTGAGATAATATTCAACATAAAGCCAAATCTGAGATGAGCTGCATGTGCGAGGAAAGCACTCAATGATGACAAACAGGAAGCCTCCACCTGCCATTACAGGTGACAGCCTGGCGGATGACAGAAGCAGTCAGTCCTTGCCCTCAGAAAGCCAACAATCTACTTGGAAAAAGAAGACATATGTTGATGGCTAAACAGTAGGTGTAAAGTCTAAGTTTCCAGAGAATGCAGAGAAGAAAGAAATGTTTGGATCAGAAGAATCAGGACTGACTTTCCGGAATGCGTGAGAATTGAAAAGCATCACAAGACAGACTGAAGTTTAATAGAATTAAGGAAGGGATGGGCTTTCCACAAGGATTTCCAGGTTGGGCAAAGAACATGAGCAGAAGTAAACTTGGTCCCCTCAACATCAATGAATCTAGTGCAGTGTCTTACCAATGCAAGCATGCACAGTCCCCACATATAAATACACACACTCACACCTCTCACAGACACAAAGAGACCCTACATATACACACATGTACACCCTACACACACGTACACACTATATACACACACACCCCTCTCACAGACACACACACACACCTCTCACAGAGACCCTACATATACACACATGCACACACTACACATACAGATACACATAAACATACACAGATGACACACCCAAGCCCCACACCTACACACACACAGACACATTCGCACACAGAGACACATAATTCAAAAGAATACATTATTTTTACCTAAATTGGTGGTTTTTAATGATGACTCACCTGCCCTCTAAGCTTGGGAACTTCATGGGCAGTTTTGTTCTTTACAGTGTCAGGAACATCTATGCTGGGATGCTCCACACCGCTGGATGAGTAGGTTTCCAGTGCAGGACCACATCCCATTTCTATAAAACTTCCGAATCTTTCTGAAGATGAGAAAACCTTCTTGTAACTACCTGAGTCCAGAATATGACTGCACTTTTTTCATATGAGATAAATCATTTTTACATGGTTTTTGCACACAAAAATAGGTTGAGAAAACGCTGTGTAATCTTTGATTATGAACTTTAGCACAAGTTCCTTTTTCTTGAAAAAAATACCTCCAGTTTCAATGACATGATGGCATTTTATTTGTTATTGAAGCAATTCCCATTTGTGTTTCTCTAGGCAGCTTTCATAAGAGTTCCTCACAAAGCTGCAAGCAGCCAACAATTTCATTGTTTTCAGTGTAAAACACAGTGGTCAATTAGAGGGCAATGCATGCCCATTCTGCTGTAAACTGTCCTTTTTTTAATTTTTTATGCATATTATATTTATAAATGTTTTGATTTGATTTTACTTTTTTATGATATGCCTAGGTCAGTATGAATTTCAATAGAGGACAAAGAGAAGGGCTGATAAAACGTTTCATATAAAAAGGATGAATTGGGCAGGATAAATTTGAAAATCACTGATATCAATATTTGTGTATATATTAGAATTCATGTATTCAAAATTAAAATTATATATGTATATATAAAATACAACACAAAAACCCACGTATGTGCATATGGCTTAATGAAGTCATCTCTGTCTCTCATAATGTTTTAAAAACAGAGAAAAACCAAAATCACATCTTATCATAATCCATCCAGGCTGCTAACAGAATACTATAGGCTGGTGGCTCATAAAGAGCTGAGATTTACTCCCTACAGTTCCAGAGGGCGAAGTCTTAGATCAAAGCGTGGCAGACATGGTGTCTGCTGAAGACAGCGTCCTGGTTCATGGCCAGCGCTTTCTGGCTGTGTGGGAAAGGGTGATGGCTCTCTCTGGGGCCTCTTTTAAAAGGGCACAAACCCCATCCTGAGGGCTCTACGCCCATGACCTGATAACTTCCTTCTTCCCATCTCTCCAGGCACCAGAACACCTGCGACACTCCATCCTTTACTTCTTTCAGGTTTCCAACCTCTATTTAAAATGCTCCTGTAACCCTCATCAGTCTGTATCTACTTACCTTGTTTGGTTTGATTTTGTTTATAATCATGTTTCATCCGACAGTACACTCTATATTGTGCCCATGTATGGCATATCAGAAACACGCAGTACATTCTTGGTGGATGAAATAAACAGGTAGGAACCCAAACATACACATCTCGGCCAAAAATTGGGTACCAATTGGTTTACGGCCTGAATATTACCAAAATTTTAACATATCTGTATGTCATTAACATTTCAATGCAAAGGCTGAGTAATATGGCATTATTAATATATTCATGGTATTTTGAGCTAAGAGTTCTAAACAAATTTATCTAAAGTAAATTATAAAAATTTGAGCAAAATCTTAGTGAAAATAGTAAGTCATTATACATATATTATTTCAAGAAAGCACAAAATTGAGCCAAATATGAAATAATAACTCTTTCGTGCTAAAAGTACCTTTCCAAAGCCTGATGTTGCACTTTTCTATTGAGAAATAATTTGGAAACTGTTTACTTCATGTTTTTTTCTGATTTATTGGATTTTGATTAGATATTATTTCTTATCTGTTTTCCTAGCTGCTGTACTTTGTACTATTTCGTTCAGCAATTTCTACTCATACACATTAGCAAATCAACTAACTTGTATTCTTCATCTTTTATTAATAAAGGTGATTTGTCTTTGGTTCTTTCATGCTTTTCATATTTTCTTCAAGTTTCTTAATGTAACATTTTTGGTATGCCTGCGAGATAAACTTATTAAATAATATTCTCTTCCACTTCTAATATTCATGTTGATAAGCTCATTATTTCTTTGGTTTCAGAAAAAAATGGCAACAAAATGGATCACTATATTTTAAAAATAGCCTAACAATTATCATGCCTTTTTCTTTGCTGAGTTATACTTACAGCTTGGAGGATTTAATTTTTTTTATATATCTTTTTATTATACTTTAAGTTCTAGGGTACATGTGCACAACCTGCAGGTTTGTTACATAGGTATACACGTGCCATGGTGGTTTGCTGCACCCTTCAACCAGTCATGTACGTTAGGCATTTCTCCTAATGCTATTCCTCCCCTTGTCCCCCACTACACGACAGGCCCCCGTGTATGATGTTCCCCCCATGCCCATATGTTATCGTTGTTCAGTGTTTACTGACGAGTGAGAACATGCAGTGTTTGGTTTCCTGTTCCCGTGTTAGTTTGCTGAGAATGATGGTTTCCAACTTCATCCATGTCCCTGCAAAGGACATGAACTCATTCTTTTTTTTGTTTGTTTTTGTTTTTGTGTTTTTGAGATGGTGCCTCGCTCTGTCACCAGGCTGGTATGCATTGTCACAGTCTCGGCTCACTGCAACCTCCACCTCCCGGATCCAAGCGATTCCGTTCCCTCAGCCTCCAGAGTAGCTAGGACTACAGGAATGCGCCACAACACCCAGCTAAGTTTTGAATTTTTTAGTAGAGATGGGGTTTTACCAGGCTGGCCAGATTGGTGTCAATCTCTTGACCTCATGATCTGCCCACCTTGGCATCCCATAGTGCTGGGATTATAGGAGTGAGCCACAGCATCTGGCCGAACTCATTCTTTTTTATGGCTGCATAGTATTCCATGGTGTATATGTGCCACATTTTCTTTATCCAGCCTAACACTGATGGGCATGTGGGTTGGTTCCAAGTCTTTGCTATTGTAAATAGTGCTACAATAAACATATGTGTGAATGTGTTTTTATAGTAGAATGATTTATGATCTTTTGGGTATACGCTCAGTAATGGGATTGCTGGGTTAAATGGTATTCCTAGTTCTCTATCTTTGAGGAATCGCCACACTGTCTTCCGCAGTGGTTGAACTAATTTACACTGCCACCAACAGTGTAAAAGCGTTCCTATTTCTCCACATCCTCTCCAGCATCTGTTGTTTCCTGACTTTTTAATGATCGCCATTCTAACTGGCATGAGATGTGGTTTTGATTTGCATTTCTCTAACGACCAGTGATGATGAGCTTTTTTTTCATATGTTTTGGCCGCATAAATGTCTTCTTTTGAGAAGTGTCTGTTCATACCCTTTGCCCACTTTTTGATGTTTTTTTTTATTCCTGTACATTTGTTTAAGTTCCTTGTAGATTCTTGATATTAGCCCTTTGTCAGATGGATAGATTGCAAAAATTTTCTCCCATTCTGTAGGTTGCCTATTCACTCTGATGATAGTTTCTTGGCTGTGCAGAAGCTTTTTAGTTTAATTAGATCCCATTTGTCAATTTTGGCTTTTGTTGCCATTGCTTTTGGAGTTCTAGTCATGAAGTCTTTGCCCATGCCTATGTCCTGAATGGTATTGCCTAGGTTTTCTTCTAGGGATTTTATGGTTTTAGGTCCTAAGTTTAAATCTTTAATCCATCTTGAGTTAATTTTCGTATAAGGTGTAAGAAAGGGGTCCAGTTTTGGTTTTCTGCATATGGCCAGCCAGTTTTCCCTACACCATTTGTTAAATAGGGAATCCTTTCCCCATTGCTTGTTTTTCTCAGGTTCGTCAAAGATCAGATGGTTGTAGATTTGTGGTATTGTTTCTGAGGCCTCTGTTCTGTTCCGTTGGTCTATATATCTGTTTCAGTACCAGTACCATGCTGTTTTGGTTACTGTAGCCTTGTAGTACAGTTTGAAGTCAGGTAGCGTGACGCCTCCAGCTTTGTTATTTTTGCTTAGGATTGTCTTGGCTATACAGGCTCTTTTTTGGTTCCATATGAAATTTAAAGTAGTTTTTTCTAATTCTGTGAAGAAAATCCATGGTAGCTTGATGGGAATAGCATTGAGTCTATAAATTACTTTGGGCAGTATGGACACTTTCATGATATTGATTCTTCCTATCCACGAGCATGGAATGTTTTCCCATTTGTTTGTGTCCTCTCTTATTTCCTTGAGCAGTGGTGTGTAGTTCTCCTTGAAGAGGTCCTTCATATCCCTTGTAAGTTGTATTCCTAGGTATTTTATTCTCTTTATAGCAATTGTGAATGGGAATTTGCTCATGATTCTGATCTCTGACTATTATTAGTGTATAGGAATGCTTGTGATTTTTGAACATTGATTTTGTATCCTGAGACTTTGCTGAAGTGGTTTATCAGCTTAAGGAGTTTTTGGGCTGAGATGATGGGGTTTTCTAAATATACAATCATGTCATCTGCAAACAGACATAATTTGACTTCCTCACTTCCTATTCGAATACCCTTTCTTTCTTTCTCTTGCCTGACTGCCCTGGCCAGAACTTCCAATACTGTGTTGAATAGGAGTGGTGACAAGGCACATCCTTGTCTTGTGCCGGTTTTCAAAGGGAATGCTTCCAGCTTTTGCCCATTCAGTATGATATTGGCTGTGGGTTTGTCATAAATAGCTCTTATTATTTTGAGATACGTTCCATCAATACCTAGTTTATTGAGTGTTTTTAGCATGAAGGGGTGTTAAATGTTATCAAAGGCCTTTTCTGCCTCTATTGAGATAATCATGTGGTTTTTGTCATTGCTTCTGTTTATGTGATGGAATACGTTTATTGATTTGCGTATGTTTAACCAGCCTTGCATCCCGGGAATGAAGCCAGTTTGATTGTGGTGCATAAGCTTTTTGATGTGCTGCTGGATTCGGTTTGCCAGTATCTTATTGAGTATTTTTGCATTGATGTTTATCGGGGATATAGGCCTGAAATTTTCTTTTTTTGTTGTGTCTCTGCCAGGTTTTCGTATCAGGATGATGCTGGCCTCATAAAATGAGTTAGGGAGGAGTCTTTCTTTTTCTATTGTTTGGAATAGTTTCAGAAGGAATGGTACCAGCTCCTTTTTGTACCTCTGGTAAAATTCGGCTGTGAATCCATCTGGTCCAGGGCTTTTTTTGGGTCGTAGACTATTAATTACTGCCTCAATTTCAAAACTTGTTATTGGTCTATTCAGGGATTCGACTTCTTCCTGGTTTAGTCTTGGGAGGGTGTATGTGTCCAGGAATTTATCCATTTCTTCTAGGTTTTCTAGTTTATTTGCATAGAGGTGTTTATAGTATTCTCTGATGGTAGTTTGTATTTCTGTGGGATCGGTGGTGATATTCCCTTTATCATTTTTTATTGTGTCTTTTTGATTCTTTTCTCTTTTCTTCTTTATTAGTCTCGCTAGCCATCTATCTATTTTGTCAATCTTTTCAAACAATAAGCTGCTGGGTTCACTGATTTTTTTGAAGGGTTTTTTGTGTCTCTACCTCATTCAGTTCTTCTCTGATCTTAGTTATTCCTTGTCTTCTGCTAGCTTTTGAATGTATTTGCTTTTACTTTTCTAGTTCTTTTAATTGTGATGTTAGGGTGTCGATTTTAGATCTTTCCTGCTTTCTCCTGTGGGCATTTAGTGCTATAAATTTCCCACTAAACACTGCTTTAGCTGTGTCCCAGAGATTCTGGTATGTTTTGTCTTTGTTCTCACTGGTTTCAAATAACTTATTCGTTCCTGACTTAATTTCGTTATCTACCCAGTAGTCATTCAGGAGCAGGTTGTTCACTTTCCATTTAGTTGTGCAGTTTTGAGTGAGTATCTTAATCCTGAGTTCTAATTTGATTGCACTGTGGTCTGAGAGACTGTTTGTTATGATTTCTGTTCTTTTGCATTTGCTGAGGAGTGTTTTACTTCCAATTATGTGGTCAATTTTACAATAAGTACTATGTGGTGCTGAGAAGAATATATATTCTTTTGATTTGGGGTGCAGAGTTCTGCACCTGTCTATTAGGTTCACTTGGTCCAGAGCTGAGTTCAAGTCCTGAATATCCTTGTTAATTTTCTGTCTCATTGATCTGTCTAATATTGACAGTGGAGTGTTAAAGTCTCCCACTATTGTCGTGTGAGACTCAAAGTCTCTTCGTAGGTCTCTAAGAATTTGCTTTATGAATCTGGGTAGTCCTGTATTGGGTGCATATAAATTTAGGATAGTTAGCTCCTCTTGTTGCATTGATCCCTTTACGATTCTATAATATCCTTCTTTGTCTTTTTTGATCTTTGTTGGTTTAAAGTCTGTTTTATCAGAGACTAAGATTGCAACTTCTGCTTTTTTTTTTTTTTTGCTTTCCATTTAGTTGATAAATATTCCTTCATCTTTTTATTTTGAGCCTATGCATGTCTTTGCATGTGAGATGGGTCTCCTGAATACAGCACACCAACGGCTCTTGACTCTTTATCCAATTTGCTATTCTGTGACTTTTAATTGGGGCATTTAGCCCATTTATATTTAAGGTTAATATTGTTATGTGTGAATTTGATCCTGTCATTATGATGCTAGCTGGTTATTTTCCCCATTAGTTGATGCAGATTTTTCATAGTGTTGATGGCCTTTACATTTTGGTTTGTTTTTGCAGTGGCTGGTACTGGTTTTTCCTTTCCATATTTAGTGCTTCCTTGAGGAGCTCTTGTAAGACAGGCCTGCTGGTGACAAAACCCCTCAGCATTTTCTGGTCTGTAAGAGATTCTATGTCTCCTTCACTTATGAAGGTTAGTTTGGCTGGATATGAAATTCTGGGTTAAAAATTCTTTTATTTAATAATGTTGAATCTTGGCCCTCACTCTCTTCTGGCTTGTAGGGTTTCTGCAGAGAGATCCACTGTTAATCTGATGGGCTTCCTTTTGTGGGTAACCCAACCTCTGTTTCTGGCTGCCCTTAACATTTTTTCCTTCATTTCAAACTTGGTGAATCTGATGATTATGTGTCTTGGGGTTGTTCTTCTCCAGGAGTATCTTTGTGGTGTTCTCTGTATTTCCTGAATTTGAATGTTGGCCTGTCTTGCTAGACTGGGGAGGTTCTCCTGGATAATATCCTGAAGTGTGTTTTCCAACTTGGCTCCATTCTCCCCGTCACTTTCAGGTACACCAATCAAACGTAGGTTTGGTCTTTTCACATAGTCCCATAGTTCTTGGAGGCTTTGTTCATTCCTTTTCATTCTTTTTTCTCTAATCTTGTCTTCATGCTTTATTTCATTAAGTTGATCTTCAATCTCTGATATGATTTCTCCCACTTGATCAATTCTAGTATTGATACTTGTATATGCTTCACGAAGTTTTTGTGCTGTGTTTTCAGCTCCATCAGTTCATTTATGTTCTTCTCTAAACTGGATATTCTAGTTAGCAATTCTTCTAACCTTTTATTAAGGTTCTTAGCTTCCTTGCATTGGGTTAGAACATGCTCCTTTAGCTCAGAGGAGTTTATTACCCACCTTCGGAAGCCTACTTCCATCAATTTGTCAAACTCATTCTCTGTCTAGTTTTGTTTCTTTGCTGGTGAGGAGTTGTGATCCTTTGGAAGAGAAGCAGCATTCTAGTTTTTGGAATTTTCAGCCATTCTGTGCTGGGTTTTCCTCATCTTTGTGGATTTATCTACCTTTGGTCTTTGCTGTTGGTGACCTTCGAATCCTTTTTGTTGATGTTATTGCTTTCTGTTTGTTAGTTTTCCTTCTAACAGTCAGGACTCTCTTCTGCAGGTCTGCTGGAGTTTGCTGGGGGTCCACTCCACACCCTGTTTGCCTGGGTATCACAAGGGGAGGCTGCAGAACAGCAAAAATTGCTGCCTGCTCCTTCCTCTGGAAGCTTCATCCCAGAGGGGAACCTGCCAGATGGCAGTTGGAGCTCTCCTGTATGAGGTGTCTGTCAACCCCTGCTGGGAGGTGTATCCCAGTCAGGAGGCATGGGGGTCAGGGACCCACTTGAGGAGGCAGTCTGACCCTTAGCAGAGTTTGAATGCTGTGCTGGGAGAGCTGCTGCTCTCTTCAGAGCCGGGACGCAGGAACGCTTAAGTCTGCTGAAGCTGCACCCACAACTGCCTCTTCCCCCAGGTGCTCTGTCCCAGGGAGGTGGGAGTTTTATCTATAAGTCCCTGACTGGGGCTGCTGCCTTTCTTTCAGAAATGCCCTGCCCAGAGAGGAGGAATCTAGAGAGGCAGTCTGGCTACAGCGACTTTGCAGCTTGGCAGTGTTCTCTGCCCAGTCTGAACTTCTGGTGTCTTTGTTTACACTGCGAGTAGAAAACCGCCTACTCAAGCCTCAGTAATGGCAGACACCCCTCCCCCAACCAAGCTCAAGCATCCCAGGTTGACCAGACTGCTGTGCTGGCAGCTAGAATTTCCAGCCAGTGGATCTTAGCTTGCTGGGTTCTGTTGGGGTGGGATCCACTGGAGCAAGACCACTTGGCTGCCTGGCTTCAGCCCCCTTTCCAGGGGAGTGAATGGTTCTGTCTCGCTGATGTTCCAGGCGCCACTGGGGTACAAAAAAAGACTCCTGCAGCTAGCTCGGCGTCTGCCCAAATGGCGGCCCAGTTTTGTGCTTGAAACTCAGGTCCATTGTGGTGTAGGTACCCGAGGGAATCTCCTGGTGTGTGGGTTGTGAAGACTGTGGGAAAAGCATCGTATCTCGGCCTGACAGCACCATCTCTCACAGCACAGTCCCTCACGGCTTCCCTTGGCTAGGGGAGGGAGTTACCCAGCCCCTTTTGCTTCCTGGGTGAGGCAATGCCCCACCCTGCTTCTGCTCACCCTCCATGGGCTGCACCCACTGTCTAACCAGCCCCAATGAGACGAACCAAGTACCTCAGTTGGAAATGCAGAAATCACCCACCTTCTGCGTTGGTCTCGCTGGGAGCTGCAGACTGGAGCTGTCCTATCTGGCCATCTTGCCTGGGAATCCCCAGTTTCCATATCTTTTAATCTAGGCAACATTTTGCTTCACTAGACATGGAAAATACATCTGTGGTATATTAAAGTGATGAATGCACATTGGTGTAGTAATCTCAGCAGGCTTCAGTCATTTTTTTGTTAGATATTAATTTCTTGAAGGAAAAGAAAATAGATTATTTTGGATATATGATCTGTCTTCTAGGAGAAGTACTAATTAATCCCGAAAAACAGATGTACTGTAAAGAAAATCAATAAAAGCTCTCTAAAAACTCACAGACTCAGGGATTAGATTTGTCCAATATTTCTTTGTTACATTGAATAAACTCTCCACTTCATGATTCAAAATCAATAATAAACTGTATTACTTATGTATAAACAAACTCACTGTGAGGGATTTCACTCTTCATATATGTTTTATAGATGAATTTTAGAAGCAGCCTACTTGTTTGTAGATTATGAAAATATTACTTTAACATACAAATAGGAATACAGAATATTTGAATAACAACAATATTAGAATATAGCTAAATGTGCTACGAAAATACTACTGTTCACTCATTCAGCAAATAGTTATTGAATACTGTCCTGAGCTTTTCCTGCTGCTATAACAAAATTTCTTAGACTGAATAATTTATAAAGTCCTGAAATTGATTTTTCATAGTTCCGGAGGCTGGGAAGCTCAACGTCAAGGTGCTGGCAGATTTAGTGTCTGACGAGGGCTGTCTTCATTCCAGCCAATCAGAAGAGGAAAAGAGCACAGATGCTCAAACATGCAATTTTTCATGAGCCAAGTTTGAAAGAGGTATAAATCTTCTATACTCACATCCCATTGGTCAATTCCATCTTAACGTATCACCCACTTAAAAGGGGATGAGAAATGTGGCTTCTGGCTGAGTGTTCATTTTCCAGCATTGTCTTACATTACGAAAGTGGAAAAAGGGAATTTTGTGAACAGCAAAACGTGGCTCCTCCAACTTCAACCTTCTTGAGTTTTGTAAGGTTGGTGGACTGGACAGGAATTTTTTTTTAATATTTTTATTCCTTCGTAATATTTATTGCCTCGTAATATTTATTCCCTTTTCTGTCTTGTATGGTTTTGGCATCTGAATTTTCCTAGTGTTACAGAATAAAATTGAGAGTTTGCCCTCTCTTTCTGTACCTTAGAATTATTCATAGAAAGTATATTGCTCTGTTCTGTGACAACTTGGAAGAACAACTCTGTAAAACAATTTCAGCCAATTGTTTACTTAATAAAGAATTTTTAAACTGATTCCAGTGATATTTTGGTTTTCTATTCCTTTTTTATTCAATTTTGGTAAAATATTCTTAGCTATTTGGACATTTTATCTCAATTTTCTAATTTTATGGCAAAATAGCCTTTTATTACCCTGTCAATCTCTGTTGAATAGATGGTATGTCACTTTTTCATTTTTACAATTATTTATTCTGGAATTTCTCTTCCTTTTTTCTCCTAGATCTAGCTCAAGATAGGCCTATCACGATTTTGTTTGTTTGTTTTGTTTCTTTGTTTCAGCTTTTCAGAGGACAAAATTTTCACATTAATATTTTTATTTTTCATATACCTATTTTATTATCTTTATGATCTCCTTTATTAATTTGGATAATTGCGTTTTACTTTTTCTAAATTACTCTGTTGAACATTTTAAAATATAGTACCCATGGTATCATTTAGTTTAAAATACCCGATGAATCTATAACGTTAGTTATTCTTAAACCATAAATTGTTTAGTGTACATGTAGCTTTAATTTCTAACGTGTTGTTGGTATTTTCCTCTTTGTTGCTAAATATTAATTATTTATTTTATGGTTTGACAACATAGCTAGGATTTTGCTGATTCTATGTATTGTGTAGCAACTAGTCTTATGAACTAATACAACATAGATTTTTATAATAGTTCATATAACTCTAAAATATGTATATTTCCTAAATTAAGACTACAATTATTAAAAAACAAAAAATTACAATTATATTTATATGAAATAAGTTTGTTAATCATGTTTAAATTTCTATTTTACCATTTTTATGTTCTTGCCTCCCTAATCAATAATGGGGACAGGGAATTCTTCTGCTGTCAGAATATACAAACGCACGCGCACGCACAGACACACACACACACACACACAATTTTATTTTGGTCAGGAACCATGAATCACACCTATAATCCCAGCACTGTAGAAGGCCAAAGTAGGAGGACTATTTGATCCTAGGAATTTGAGACCAGCCTAGCCAACATAGCAAGATCCCATCTCTACAAAAAATTAAAATTAAATATTAGCCAGCTGTGCTGGCACCTGTAGACCCAGGTAGCCGGGAGGCTGAAGTGGAAAAATTGCTTCGGCCAGGGGAGTCTCTGTTGCAGTGAGCCCTGATCACACCACCGCACTCAGCCTGGGTAACAAAGCAAGACCCTATTCCCCCCCAAAAATTTTTAAATTTCTAGGTTTTCAATAACCTCACATTATTTTACATGTGGCTACAAATTTAGATTAGTATATCCTTCAAGAAAAATGATTACTATACCATTTTGTAATACCTCTTTTTTTTTTTTTTTTTTTTGAAATAGAGTCTCGCTCTGTCGCCCAGGCTGGAGTGCGGTGGTGCAATCTCGGCTCACTGCAAGCTCCGCCTCCCGGGTTCATGCCATTCTCCTGCCTCAGCCTCCCGAGTAGCTGGGACCACAGTCGCCCGCCACCATGCCTGGCTAATTTTGTTTTTTTTTGTATTTTTAGTAGAGATGGGGTTTCACTGTGTTAGCCAGGATGGTCTCGATCTCCTGACCTCGTGATCCACCTGCCTCGGCCTCCCAAAGTGCTGGGATTACAGGTGTGAGCCACCACGCCCAGCCTCTTAATAGCTTTTTATCCCTCTTAATGATTTTCTCCTAAAGTCAATTTTTCTAATATTACCAAGTTATCCAGTTTATGTTGTTATCATTTGTGTTACATATTTTTAAACCACTTTTCTCTGTTGTTTTGACGTGTGTTTTTGTAAACGGCACATACTAGAACTTAGTTCTCAAGTATAATCTGATAATCCTGCCTTTTAACTAATAAATGTTTTCATTTTCATTTATTATAATCAGTAATAACTGATAGAGTGAGACTTGTTTTTACTATAATTTTAAAATGTAGGTTTTGGGCCAGGTGCAGTGGCTCACGCCTGTAATCCCAGTACTTTGGGAGGCCGAGGGACGCAGATCATGAGGTCAGAAGATCGAGACCATCCTGGCTAACATGGCGAAACCCGTCTCTACTAAAAATACAAAACATTAGCCAGGCATGGTGGTGGGTGCCTGTAAGTCCCAGCTACTCAGGAGGCTGAGGCAGGAGAATGGCGTGAACCCAGGAGGCGGAGCTTGCAGTGAGCTGAAATCACGCCACTGCACTCCAGCCTGGGCCACCAAAGGAGACTCTCTCTCAAAAAATTAAAAAAAAAAAATAAAGGTAGGTTTCTTTCTATTTTCTGTCTTTCCTTTTCTCTTTCTAGTATAATTAGGGTTTTTGTTTGTTGTTACTTTGTTACTTTTTGTTGTTGAAATTCAATAACTTAGATGTTACTATTCTTATTTTGGTTACACTTGATATTTTATATTGCACACTTAAGTTAACCAAGTATAAAATAAAATTATACTCGCTTTCACAAAATATAAAATCTTAGGTATTTTAATTCTTATTTCTTTCTCTTGAGTTACGACTTGTTGGGTTTTTTCTGTCCAATATTTTAATTTCGTCTTTCCAAGAACATAGAATTTTAGACATCATTGCTTTTCTTCTCTTCAACGATATTTGTTTTTATTTACAAGCAAGTTTATAAGTTTGTTTGCTTGCCATTTCCTCCTTTATCTCAGATATTCCTCCTGGGATCATTTTCCTTCTTCTTGAAGTGTGTTCCTTATAACTTTTCACATTAAAATCTGTTGTGGCTATATTACAATACCTTATTCATCATAATTGCTGAAAAAGTAACTACTTAGAGCTGTTTATCTCCACACTATTCCATTGCCTCTGCCACTTATTGTTCCTCTTGAGAGTCCTCTGTGTGTTAATTTTCAGGCTTTTCTGAGTAACACATAGTTTGTTTTCATTCTCTGCTTGCTTTTAAGAATTTCTGCTTTGATGTCCTGCAGTTAAGGACTACTTCCTCCCCTCCCAGGTTTCAGTGGAAACCATTTGAAGGACAGGACTTGACAACAGTCCTGGAGTAACAGGTTTTCCACCCCACCCCACTGAGACAGAATCAAACAAGAGTGGGGGCTTCACCCTGCCCAGCAATGAAATGGTCAAGGCTCACAAACACACAGGAAGCCAGTGAAGGCCATGTGCGTAACAACTAGTGAGACACTTTCACCTTTCCCAGCAAGAAAGGTAGCAATGGCAACTAGTGAGGAGCCAGAAATCCTACCCTGGCCAGAAGTTACAAGCAGTAACCCTCACTGGGTGTCAACAGAGGAACCTGGATTTCTACCCTCACCTGATGGTAGTGAGTAGCACCTGTCCTTCACATATTAAACAGTGTCAAGAGAAATAGCTAAAATAAGGAAATGAGTAAGACTACGCTATATAACATAACTTCCAAAGCGTACAAATTTCAATGAAAAAACTCATTCATCATACCAAGAACCAGGGAGTTCTCAATAGAATGTTTAAAAATGAATAGATACCAACACTGAGATGACAGATAATTGGAATTACATTATAAAGATTTTAAATAGCCATTCTAAAAAATGAAAAATTGTGAACACAATTGAAACAAAATAAAGAAGCCTCATCAAATAGAAAGTCTGAGCAAAAAAATTAGAAGATATAAAAAGGAACCAAATGGAAATTTTAGAACTGAAAAGTATAACCACAATAAAACACACACATGAACATACACACAATAGATGAGCTTAACAGCAAAACGGAGGAGACAGGAAAAAAAGTGGAAAAAATATAGAACAATAGAAATAATATTGTTCTAAATAGAGAACAATAGAAATTGCCCATTGTGTAATATTGAGTGTCAACCTGATTGGATTGAAGGATGCAAAGTACTGTTCCTGGGTGTGTCTGTGGGGATGTGTTCAAAGGAGATTAACATTTGAGTCAGTGGAGTGGAAGAGGCAGACCCACCCTCTATCTGGGTGGGCACCATCTAGTCAGCTGGCAGCACAGCTAGAATAAAGCAGACAGAAGTTGGAAGAGCAGACTTGCTGAGTCTTCTGGTCATCATCTTGCTCCTTTGCTGGATGCTTCCTGCCCTTGAACATCAGACTCCAAGTTCTTCAGCTTTTGGTCTTTGGGACCCACACCAGTGATTTGCCAGGGGCTCTTGGGCCTTCGGCCACAGACTGAAGGCTGCACTGTCAGTTCCTCATTTTTGAGGTTTGGGACTCGGACTGGCTTCCAGGCTCCTCAGCTTGCAGACAGCCTATTGTGGGACTTCATCTTGTGATCGTGTCAGTCAATTCTCCTTAATAAAGTCCCTTTCATATAGACGTCTATCCTATTAGTCCTGTCCCTCTAGAGAACCCTGACTAATACGCCCATTCTATAACACAGAGGGAAAAAGCATACTGAATATAACCTTAGGAACTAGTAAAAATATAAGAAAAAAATAACATTTACATTATTAGAGGTCCAGAATGAAAAGAAAAAAAGTTGGTCTAAAAAAGCACTCAAATAATGATTAAAATTTTTCCCAAATGGCAAGAGACACAAAACCCACAGATTCAAAAAACTGAATGAACCCCAAAGAAATTCACTCATTATAGTCATAGAGTGAAAAATATAAAGATAGAAAAATACCTGAAAGTGGTGACAGAGTAGTAACACCTTACCTATAGATAAAAAGTGATTCTAATTACAGTGGATTTGTTCCTGGAAATTGTAAAGACCAGAAGGAAGTATTACATTTCTCAAGTGCTAAAAAATGTCAAACCAGAATTCTGTGTCCTGTAATAATATCATTCTGAATTAAAGAAAAAAATCAAAATATTATGAGACAAAAGTATATCAAGAGAATATGTCTCTAGAAGGCCTATTTTAAAGAATAGCTAAAGGAAATCATCTGAAAAGAAACAAAATGACTAAAAAAGGAAACTTAAATCACAGGGAAATAAGAAAAAAGATGGTAATAAAAAATATAGGTAAATATAATACTTTTTTTCTTCTCTTTATAGTTGAAGCAAAAATTATGGCATAGTTTGATGTCATTCCAACCATATATATATGTATATAGTATAGACAAAATACTTAAGAGAATTATATAATAAATGGAGAAAGGTAAAGAAATTTAAATGAGGGTAAGGTTCCTATAAATCAGTCAAACTGGTAATATAACAGCAGTACATAATGTTAAGTTGTGTCTGTATAAAGACCTAGAGAAACCACTAAAAACACTATACAAAGAGATACATTCGAAAACGCTAGCAATATATCACAATAGAATTTGGGACCAAAATTTAACTCAAAAGAAGACAAGAAAAAACACAGAGAAACAGGAAATATAGAGACCAAATAGAAAACAAAAATAAAATGGCAAAATTAAGTCCTAGTATAGCAATAATTACACTTAACACAAATGGTCCAAATACACGGATTAAAAGACAGTGTTATAACACATGACCAAACTGTACGCTTCCTACAAGAAACACACTTCAAATATAATAGTTTATGAAGGTTCAAAGTAAAAGAATAGAAAAATGATGTATCATGCATGCATTAATCAAAGGAAAACAGGAGTGGCTACATTAATCAGACAGGGATACTGAAGACTGACAAAAGGGTCAATCCACCAAGAGGACATAGCAATCTTAAATGTGTATGCCCCAAACAACAAAGCTGAAAAATATATTAAGCCAATCCTAATCTAACTGAAAGAAGAAATAGACAAATCCAAATTAAAGTGAGAGTTCAACATCCTTCACTCAATTAACAGACCAACTTAAAAATAGCAATGATATAGGAGAAATCAACAACATCATCAACCAACAGGATTTAACCAATATTTGTAGAACACTCCACCCAAAAACAAAAGAATACACATTCTTTTAATGTGTCGAATGGAGTATTCACCAAGATAGACCACGTATGAAACAAATTTTAAAAATAGAAATTATACAGAGTGTGTTCTCTACCCAAAAGGAAATCAAACGAGAAATTATAACAGAAAGATTACAGAGAAGTCTCCACACATTTGAGAACTAAATATGATACATCTAAAACATTCAGAATAAAAATGGAAGCCTCAAATACATTTTTAAAAGACAGAATGAAAATTAAAAAGAAATGTATCAAAACGTGTAGGGTAGAGCTAAAGCAGAGCTGACAGGGACATTTAAAGCATGAAATGAATACATTCAAACACAGAAAAAGCCTCAAATCAATAATATCAGCTTCTACCTCAAGAACTTAGGGAAGAAATGAGCAAATAAAGCCAAAACAATTAAAAGGAAGTAAATAACAAAGATAATAACACCCCCATGCCTCAGCCGAAGCTCGACCGGTGCAACTTCATCTAATTCACCTGTATCTTGCCCATCCCAGCTCCACTGAACCCAAATATGTCATGCTTTCATACACCAGTGAGCCCATGAGTGTGCCACTTCCTCAGCTTAGAATGCACACCCACCATTGTCTACTTGGTTAATTATTCATCAACCTGCAAGATTTCAAAGCCCTCAGAAGGGTTCTTTATCACAGGCTACAGCACACTGCAGAGTAACTGATTTCTTACCTTTTTCTTCCTCTTTGACTCAAAGCCATCTGAGAACAGATATTGCCGTCAAATTTATTAAACAAAAGATAAATATCAAAGCATATAAACACATTAGGGTGTGATAAGTGCTTCTGAGCAAAAGCTTCCAGATGCATTAGATACACTTAATAAATTATGATTGAAATAATTGCATTAAAGATACACTTTGCAGTCATGCAAATTGATACAACGATAATAAGGAGGAGCATCTATAAACACAAAATTATAGTTTCGCCAAAGTTTCTTCATAATCATCAGTGGATTTTTTCATACACAATTACCTTCAACCTTCATTTTCTTGTCAAATTAATGTTTAAATATTTAAATTTAAATTTGAATTTTAAATGGAAATATAAGCACATTGAATCCTATTAATAATATAATTCCCACAATGAAAATATCACATATCTCCTACATACACACACAGAGCCATAAAACATTTCTAAGGAATGTATGTAAATATCGATGCTATCACTGTGTATATGACCATATGTGCATATTACAGGCTTACATAGGAAGGCAGAGACCACAGAATATAATGGTGCACAAACTAGTTTTGAGGGCATGAGATCTGGAGTTGAACCCCATTTCTATTACTTACTATTGATAGAACCTTCCTGAGCATGATTTGCCACCTTAAAAACGTGGGCACAGTACTCAATGCCTATCTTATAATATTATGAAAACATTTTAAAGATGACACCCGTGAGTTTTTTTACCAATTATTATATTGATGTCACGTGATACTACTGGAACTATATTCATTGGTAAATGAAGCTCCTTTTCAAACTTTATCCAATTTCTCTCTCACTCACACTTATTTCCAACTTGTCTTGTCATATTATGCTGTAAATTAGGTGATTAAATCTTTTTTCACTTTGAAAAATATGGTGAGTCATTTATAGAAACATTTGTAAGACTGATCACTGGGGTAGCTCATAAATGATTTCCAGCTTATACTCCTTTTGTCTGCCCATCATTCATAGACAATTTAAAATATTACTGGCCAATTTAACATTTATTAAATAACCCAATGCCTCATCATTTACCTTGAATGAGAGTGGGGCAACCTTTTTTAATAGGAATGTTAGAAATTCCTGGACCCATGGTTCCTATTTGGCTAGCTCCTGTAAAAAGCCTGGAGAAATAGTTGCTTTAAAGCATTATATTATTGCACTGTATTTTGAAAGAGCATTAAGAGGGCACTGCAGATATATCTAAGAAATGACAAATACAATGGAAAGAATATTTTTGAGAATTTTTAACACCTTAAAATCTTAGAGAAAGTAGCTAGGAAAATCATCTCTTAAGCTTTTGTCATTAATAAAAAGTATTCTTACTCATTTGACCTTAGAACTGCATATTTCAACCAAATGACCGTGTTGCTTAAGGCTGCAGAGCTAAGATGCTCGGAATGTCCCTTATCAATCATCCTCAGAACTGTCAAATAAATTTATACTGTAGAATCACTATCATCAGCTTTGAAATCTGAGAGAAGAACACAGCTTGAGTTTTCAGATTGCAGGTTAAAACTCTGGGAAAAGTCTTTTCATTTATAAGCTAATCTTTGAAATTCAATTCAAGTTAAATTCATATTTGCCGTTGCACATGAGTATATTGAATGTTTTAGTTACCTTTCCTGGTCTGCCACCAGCAAGCTAGAGAAGACCTCTGTTTTGCGGGTTGGGATCTGAAAAAAAAAAAATATATATATATATATATAAAATATAAAAATGTATATATATAAATTTTTATTATATAATATGTAATATGTATAAATAATACATATATATATTTCCTATTTTGTGGACCCTGCAAATGTCTGAACCCTCTAAGCTCTGAACGATTACTGCTATAAATACTCTTCAGTGAGAAAATATACCTTTTATATAAAATGATACTTTTCTTTATTACACAAAACTTACTCGTCTTTGCAAAACTGTAATCTAAAATAAGCACCAAAAATGGAAAGAAAGCATTCCTCCTGTTTCTGCAGAGTATCAGTGCCTTAGTATACCCTTTATCGTTTCTCTAGAGGAAGACACACAGTGTTGCATTCATCTGCTCTATTTAATTAATATATTGTGAACCAGCTAATACGTTCTTAGTGATGATTTGGGGGAAGTTCTGGGATAGAGAGCTTTTTGAGTAAGTTCACATGGAGCTAATGGGTCCTCATTCATGTCGTTATTCTGATTCTATTTATGCTGTCCTTGAATACTATACTAGGATCCTTGGCCTGTGTTTTCCTCCAGAAGAAAGTCAAGGCAGAACAGCCTGTCTTCTGACACCGAATAAATTCTCTGAAGCTTCTGCCTTTCTGACACCAAGGTCCTTATGCCGTAGATGCCCCTGGACTCCCTGTATTCCCATCATTCTGCATTATCTTGAGGTCTTGCTTCATTTCTCTTGTAAGTTTTGCTTCTAACTTTGCAACGTGCATCTTACACTACCCCTGTCCGCAAACTTCCCAGCCCTCCTTTCCTCATTGCAGCTGATGATGGGACACGGCTGTTCCCACAGAAATGCTCCATCTTCCCATCGCTGACAGACAAGCACAGCGTCTTTCTATTCTGCAGTAGGATGAAGCTCCCTTCCTGTCACTAACCATAAATACCCGACCCCACCTCCTCTCCCTGCCCAGTGACTTCTCTTCCTGTTTTCCCTCTCTCCTTCCCTGATCTCTCATCCATTAAACTGTCCCAACCTAGCCCACAAACAGCTCACTCTTCCCCAGCTTCAAATAACAGCCCTCACTGATCCCCAAGTGTGTTCAGAGATATTCATCCGATCCTCCTGCTACAAGCTCCATGACTCAGCCTCCCCACACTGTGCCCAGCACAGAGAGCCCAGGCATGGACAGATCCCAGGACGGACAGCCCCCAGCATGGACAGCCGCCAGCATAAACAAACCCCACCATGGACAGACAGCGGCATAGGCAGCCCCCAGCATGGACAGACCCTGGACATGGACAGCCCCCACCACGGACAGACTCCATCGTGGACAGCCCCCAGCATAAACAGACCCTATCATGGACAGCCCCCAGCATGGACAAACCCTGGACATGGACAGCCCCCACCACGGACAGACTCCATCGTGGACTTCTCCCAGCATAAACAGACCCTATCATGCACAGCCCCCAGCATGGACAGGCCCTGGACATGGACAGCCCCCAGCACGGAGAGCAAGTCTGAAATCTCCAGGGCAGATTGACAGGCTAGAAATATAGGCAAAAACTTGATCATGCAATCTTTTAGGCAGATTGTGTTCTTTGGGTAACCCCAGTCTTTGGTTTTCAATTATTTGGAGGAAACCTACCCATGTTACGGGGGACAATCTGCTTTACCCAAATTCTCCTGACTCGAAACCAAGTCCCTTTCACATGGTAACTTCACAGCACATCCAGACGACTGTGTGACGGAACCACAGGCGCCACCGCCTCGCCAGGCTGATGTAGAGTCAGCCATTCCGCTTCTCAAAGGAGCCGAGTCTGCTCCCACAGGAGGTGATTCTTCCTGAGCTCCCCCCTTAGAAGGTGCAGGATTGTATTTGTCACGCCATATGGTCCCTAAGCCAATGAGGTCTCCCGTGTCTTCAAAGTTGGCACTTGTTAAATGAAACATGCTCCAACTCATTTTGAAGCAAGGTAGGGTCCTTATTTAAATTTGATTCATGTGTCTACATTAGACAGATTTTCAGGGGGACACCACACCGGGAGCATGACTCTGTTTCTGTGTATCTACTAGATGTGTGTCTGCTAGAATAATCATTACAGTATCGTTCTTCCAGGAGATATAAGGGAAGGAAAATAAAAGGATAAATCACATGCTTAGATAAAAGAATGGGAGGTGACTTGGTTTTAGGGGAGCATTTTGGACTTTAAATCTCTGCAGACAAGCCAGATTCCAGCAGAGGTTCTGAAACTCACTTTCTGCATGGTGAAATCACATAATTTACTCATATCTCAGAATCCCCGAGCATAGAAAATAGCTTGCTTTCTTTTCTTGCCAAACTCCCAAGAATACACAGAAAAATCCTCTAACAACTTCAAATCTTCTTGAACAAGATGGAAAGGGATAAACAATGAAACTTTAAGCCCTTTTGGAAATTCAAATCCAAATTGTTGATTGACGTCAAACTCAGAGAGAAACAAATTAGGTTCTGACTGTGAGGCGGCTTATTTTATACATTCTCGTCTGGCATAAAGAAATTATACTCTGACCTGGCTTCATATTGCCTATCAGTAAAATACATAAAACAACCTCCACTTAATCATGTTTAGGAAGGAATAGGATTTAGTTCCTTTGAAATTATATATTTGATTTTAAAAAATTTATGTACCTTCATTTGCACATTTGAATAGATTGCTTTCACAGTTATATTTTTATAGGTTTGTTATTTTGTGGTAAGGAGGGGATTATAGCTGTCTTCCCTAAAAAAAGTATCCATTTTACACTATATGTGAAGGGAATGGGATGGAGTTGATATTTCTAGTTTATATTATTAAAATAAATCATTGCTTACCATCTGAGATTTCAAATTCACACTTTCAGTTCATATTATTTATAATTTAGGAAATCTGTTTGCAGTACAATTCACTGCCCTACAAAGGCATGCCTCTTGCTAATGAACTGGTAACTCCGTCTTCCTCAAAAACATATGTTTAAAAATTAATGTTTAATTTTCAATTTAGAAAATGTGTAAAGACAAAAAGGAAATTTAAAAAACAGCACGAGAGATTTAATAGTAAACATTTTTGCCTAAAATTTCTCACCAATGGTCTCCTCTGAAAAGATTAATGCCATCTTATTAAAGACATTGAAAATGCCTCAAAGATAGTATTACAGTTTTTTAATGGCTGTTTAATATTCATCTAATCTCATCGTAAAATTTGGGATAGAGAGTTTTTTGAGTAAGTTCACATGGAGCTAATGGGTCCTCAATCATGTCATTATTCTGATTCTATTTATGCTGTCCTTGAATACTATACTAGGATACTTGGCCAGTTTAAACTTCATGAACATTTAACATCATTGAACATTTACATATGAAAACCGTGCAGCCACTGCACTTCAGCCTGGGCGACAGAAGGAGACTCCATCTCCAAAAAAAATAAATAGGAGGGAGGAGCCAAGATGGCCGAATAGGAACAGCTCCAGTCTACAGCTCCCAGCCTGAGCGACGCAGAAGACAGGTGATTTCTGCATTTCCATCTGAGGTACCGGGTTCATCTCACTAGGGAGCGCCAGACAGTGGGCGCAGGTCAATGGGTGCGCGCACCGTGCGCGAGCCAAAGCAGGGCGAGGCATTGCCTCACTCAGGAAGTGCAAGGGGTCAGGGAGTTCCCTTTCCTAATCAAAGAAAGGGGTGACGGACGGCACCTGGAAAATCGGGTCACTCCCACCCGAATACTGCGCTTTTCTGACGGGCTTGAAAAAAGGCGCACCACAAGATTATATCCCGCACCTGGCTCAGAGGGTCCTACCCCACGGAGTCTCGCTGATTGCTAGCACAGCAGTCTGAGATCAAACTGCAAGGTGGCAGCCAGGCTGGGGGAGGGGCGCCCGCCATTGCCCAGGCTTGCTTAGGTAAACAAAGCAGCCTGGAAGCTCGAACTGGGTGGAGCCCACCACAGCTCAAGGAGGCCTGCCTGCCTGCCTCTGTAGGCTCCACCTTGGGGGCCGGGCACAGACAAACAAAAAGACAGCAGTAACCTCTGCAGACTTAAATGTCCCTGTCTGACAGCTTTGAAGAGAGCAGGGGTTCTCCCAGTACGCAGCTGGAGATCTGAGAAGGGGCAGACTGCCTCCTCAAGTGGGTCCCTGACCCCTGACCCCCGAGCTGCCTAACCGGGAGGCACCCTCCAGCAGGGGCACACTGACATCTCACACTGCAGGGTACTCCAACAGACCTGCAGCTGAGGGTCCTGTCTGTTAGAAGGAAAACTAACAAACAGAAAGGACATCCACACCAAAAACCCATCTGTACATCACCATCATCAAAGACCAAAAGTAGATAAAACCACAAAGATGGGGAAAAAACAGAACAGAAAAATTGGAAACTCTAAAAAGCAGAGTGCCTCTCCTCCTCCAAAGGAACGCAGCTCCTCACCAGCAACGGAAGAAAGCTGGACGGAGAATGACTTTGACGAGCTGAGAGAAGAAGGCCTCAGATGATCAAATTACTCTGAGCCATGGGAGGACATTCAAACCAAAGGTAAAAAGTTGAAAACTTTGAAAAAAATTTAGAAGAATGTATAACTAGAATAACCAATACAGAGAAGTGCTTAAAGGAGCTGATGGAGCTGAAAACCAAGGCTCGAGAACTACGTGAAGAATGCAGAAGCCTCAGGAGCCGATGCGATCAACTGGAAGAAAGGGTATCAGCAATGGAAGATGAAATGAATGAAATGAAGCAAGAAGGGAAGTTTAGAGAAAAAAGAATAAAAAGAAATGAGCAAAGCCTCCAAGAAATATGGGACTATGTGAAAAGACCAAATCTACGTCTGATTGGTGTACCTGAAAGTGATGGGGAGAATAGAACCAAGTTGGAAAACACTCTGCAGGATATTATCCAGGAGAATTTCCCCAATCTAGAAAGGCAGGCCAACGTTCAGATTCAGGAAATACAGAGAACGCCACAAAGATACTCCTCGAGAAGAGCAACTCCAACACAGGTAATTGTCAGATTCACCAAAGTTGAAATGAAGGAAAAAATGTTAAGGGCAGCCAGAGAGAAAGGTCGGGTTACACTAAAAGGGAAGCCCATCAGACTAACAGTGGATCTCTCGGCAGAAACTCTACAAGCCAGAAGAGAGTGGGGACCAATATTCAACATTCTTAAAGAAAAGAATTTTCAACCCAGAATTTCATATCCAGCCAAACTAAGCTTCGTAAGTGAAGGAGAAATAAAATACTTTACGGACAAGCAAATGCTGAGAGATTTTGTCACCACCAGGCCTGCCCTAAAAGAGCTCCTGAAGGAAGCGCTGAACATGGAAAGGAACCACCGGTACCGGCTGCTGCAAAATCATGCCAAAATGTAAAGACTATCGAGATTAGGAAGAAACTGCATCAACTAACGAGCAAAATAACCAGCTAACATCATAATGACAGGATCAAATTCACACATAACAATATTAACTTTAAATGTAAATGGACTAAATGCTCCAATTAAAAGACACGGACTGGCAAATTGGATAAAGAGTCAAGACCCATCAGTGTGCTGTATTCAGGAAACCCATCTCACGTGCAGAGACACACATAGGCTCAAAGTAAAAGGATGGAGGAAGATCTACCAAGCAAATGGAAAACAAAAAAAGGCAAGGGTTGCAATCCTAGTCTCTGATAAAACAGACTTTAAGCCAACAAAGATCAAAAGAGACAAAGAAGGCCATTACATGATGGTAAAGGGATCAATTCAACAAGAAGAGCTAACTATCCTAAATATATATGCACCCAATACAGGAGCACCCAGATTCATAAAGCAAGTCCTGAGTGACCTACAAAGAGACTTAGACTCCCACACATTAATAATGGGAGACTTTAACACCCCACTGTCAACATTAGACAGATCAACGAGAGAGAAAGTCAACAAGGATACCCAGGAATTGAACTCAGCTCTGCACCAAGCAGACCTAATAGACATCTACAGAACTCTCCACCCCAAATCAACAGAATACACATGTTTTTCAGCACCACACCACACCTATTCCGAAGTTGACCACATACTTGGAAGTAAAGCTCTCCTCAGCAAATGTAGAAGAACAGACATTATAACAAACTATCTCTCAGACCACAGTGCAATCAAACTAGAACTCAGGATTAAGAATCTCACTCAAAACCGCTCAGCTACGTGGAAACTGAACAACCTGCTCCTGAATGACTAGTGGGTACATAACGAAATGAAGGCAGAAATAAAGATGTTCTTTGAAACCAACGAGAACAAAGACACAACATACCAGAATCTCGGGGACGCATTCAAAGCAGTGTGTAGAGGGAAATTTATAGCACTAAATGCCCACAAGAGAAAGCAGGAAAGATCCAAAATTGACACCCTAACATCACAATTAAAAGAACTAGAAAAGCAAGAGCAAACACATTCAAAAGCTAGCAGAAGTCAAGAAATAACTAAAATCAGAGCAGAACTGAAGGAAACAGAGACACAGAAAACCCTTCAAAAAATTAATGAATCCAGGAGCTGGTTTTTTGAAAGGATCAACAAAATTCATAGACTGCTAGCAAGACTAATAAAGAAAAAAAGAGAGAAGAATCAAATAGATGCAATGATAAATGGGATATCACCCATTTATAAAATGGTAAAGGGGATATCACCACCGATCCCACAGAAATACAAACCACCATCAGAGAATACTACAAACATCTCTATGCAAATAAACTAGAAAATCTAGAAGAAATGGATAAATTCCTTGACACATACACTCTCCCAAGACTAAACCAGGAAGAAGTTGAATCTCTGAATAGACCAATAACAGGATCTGAAATTGTGGCAATAATCACTACCTTACCAACCAAAAAGAGTCCAGTACCAGATGGATTCACAGCCGAATTCTACCAGAGGTACAAGGAGGAACTGGTACCATTCCTTCTGAAACTATTCCAATCAATAGAAAAAGAGGGAATCCTCCCTAACTCATTTCATGAGGCCAGCATCATTCTGATACGAAAGCCGGGCAGAGACACAACCAAAAAAGAGAATTTTAGACCAATATCCTTGATGAATATTGATGCAAAAATCCTCAATAAAATACTGGCAAACCGAATCCAGCAGCACATCAAAAAGCTTATCCACCATGATCAAGTGGGCTTCATCCCTGGGATGCAAGGCTGGTTCAATATACACAAATCAATAAATGTAATCCAGCATATAAACAGAGCCAAAGACAAAAACCACATGATTACCTCAACAGATGCAGAAAAGGCCTTTGACAAAATTCAACAACGCTTCATGCTAAAAACTCTCAATAAATTAGGTATTGATGGGACATATTTCAAAATAATAAGAGCTATCTATGACAAACCCACAGCCAATATCATACTGAATGGGCAAAAACTGGAAGCATTCCCTTTGAAAACTGACACAAGACAGGGATGCCCTCTCTCACCACTCCTATTCAACATAGTGTTGGAAGTTCTGGCCAGGGCAATTAGGCAGGAGAAGGAAATAAAGGGCATTCAGTTAGGAAAAGAGGAAGTCAAATTGTCCCTGTTTGCAGATGACATGACTGTATATCTCGAAAACCCCATTGTCTCAGCCCAAAATCTCCTTAAGCTGATAAGCAACTTCAGCAAAGTCTCAGGATACAAAATCAATGTGCAAAAATCACAAGCATTCCTATACACCAACAACTGACAAACACAGAGCCAAATCATGAGTGAACTCCCATTCACAATTGCTTCAAAGAGAAGAAAATACCTAGGAATCCAACTTACAAGGGAGATGAAGGACCGCTTCAAGGAGAACTACAAACCACTGCTCAAGGAAATAAAAGAGGATACAAACAAATGGAAGAACATTCCATGCTCATGGGTAGGAAGAATCAATATCGTGAAAATGGCCATACTGCCCAAGGTAATTTACAGATTCAATGTCATCCCCATCAAGCTACCAATGCCTTTCTTCCCAGAATTGGAAAAAACTACTTTAAAGTTCATATGGAACCAAAAAAGAGCCCACATCACCAAGTCAATCCTAAGCCAAAAGAACAAAGCTGGAGGCATCACACTATCTGACTTCAGACTATACTACAAAACTACAGTAACCAAAACAGCATGGTACTCGTACCAAAACAGAGATATAGATCAATGGAACAGAACAGAGCCCTCAGAAATAACACCACATATCTACAACGATCTGATCTTTGACAAACCTGAGAAAAACAAGCAATGGGGAAAGGATTCCCTATTTAATAAATGGTGCTGGGAAAACTGGCTAGCCATATGTAGAAAGCTGAAACTGGATCCCTTCCTTACACCTTATACAAAAGTCAATTCAAGATGGATTAAAGACTTAAACGTTAGACCTAAAACCATAAAAACCCTAGAAGAAAACCTAGGCATTACCATTCAGGACATAGGCATGGGCAAGGACTTCATGTCTAAAACACCAAAAGCAATGGCAACAAAAGCCACAATTGACAAATGGGATCTAATTAAACTAAAGAGCTTCTGCACAGCAAAAGAAACTACCATCAGAGTGAACAGGCAACCTACAAAATGGGAGAAAATTTTCGCAACCTACTCATCTGACAAAGGGCTAATATCCAGAATCTACAATGAACTCAAACAAATTTACAAGAAAAAAACAAACAACCCCATCAAAAAGAGGGCGAAGGACATGAGCAGACACTTCTCAAAAGAAGACATTTATGCAGCCAAAAACCACATGAAAAAATGCTCACCATCACTGGCCATCAGAGAAATGCAAATCAAAACCACCATGAGATACCATCTCACACCAGTTAGAATGGCGATCATTCCAAAGTCAGGAAAAAACATGTGCTGGAGAGGATGTGGAGAAATAGGAACACTTTTACACTCTTGGTGGGACTGTAAACTAGTTCGACCATTGTGGAAGTCAGTGTGGCGATTCCTCAAGGATCTAGAACTAGAAATACCATTTGACCCAGCCACCCCATTACTGGGTATATACCCAAAGGACTATAAATCATGGTGCTATAAAGACACGTGCACACGTATGTTTATTGCGGCATTATTCACAATAGCAAAGACTTGGAACCAACCCAAATGTCCAACAATGATAGACTGCATTAAGAAAATGTGGCACATATACACCATGGAATACTATGCAGCCATAAAAAATGATGAGTTCATGTCCTTTGTAGGGACATGGATGAAATTGGAAATCATCATTCTCAGTAAACTATTGCAAGAACAAAAAACCAAACACCGCATATTCTCACTCATAGGTGGGAATTGAACAATGAGATCACATGGACACAGGAAGGGGAACATCACACTCTGGGGACTGTTGTGGGGTGGGGGAGGGGGGAGGGATAGCATTGGGAGATATACCTAATGCCAGATGACGAGTTACTGGGTGCAGCACACCAGCATGGCACATGTATACATATGTAACTAACTTGCACAATGTGCACATGTACCCTAAAACTTAAAGTATAATTTAAAAAAATAAATTAAAAAATAAATTAATAAAAATAAAATAAAAAGAAAAACGTGAGTCATTTTGAACATGTGATTTTTTAATACCAAGCATCTTCATGTTTTTCTCGCATGTGAGAGAAGAAAGAATGTTTATTACTATGTGATAGGATCTATTATTATTTAAAATCAAAGTTCCTTAAGGTTGTAGTGTTAAATATTGCAACAGGAACTGCTTAAAGTCATTTTGTTAAAATCAGCTGAGAATCCTCCACCACACCAGCGTCAGAGGCTCACAGAGGCTCCGCCCCCTCATGACGGCAGCCTCACGCCCTGTTCCTCCGGGTTCCAGGGCAAGCGTAGGACCAGGAGAGCCAATCAGATACCTCAGCCCCATCACGCTCTCCATGGTTTCCACTCACAGTTCGCCGGTTATAACGAGTCACAAGGCCACACCTAAAGTCAAGGAAGTAGGAATGATGATGGTCTATGGAGACAGAGGACAACTGGGTGTGGTGAATCTCAGTCTCGCCGACCCCAGCCCAACCTCGTAGCAGGGCAGAGCACAGCAGCGCAGCGCAGGGGTGAACAGCACGCACCCTGCAGGCAGATGGTGAGGGTTGCAAGGTGGATGCCTGCAGTTACTTCCCTATAATACCGGGGCAAGTTGTTGAAGCGCTCCAGACCTCACGGTCCTTGCCTGTAAAGCTACGTATAGAACAATATCTGTCTCTGGGATTCTGCTAAGAGCTGAGTTAACAGATGTTAAGCACGGAAACAGTGCGTGGGACCCATGAACACTCAGTAATCACTCCCAGTACTGTGATGTGAGTCCAGCAAAGACCCAGCTGTGCCCTACCAAGACCATATTTACTTCAAGCACAATAAATAGAAAAGCCCACACCTCGTTTAGAGCTTACTCCATCACTTTATGGTAAAGAGCTCACTCTAAGTTTCATTCTGGGTTCAGCATCAAATATAAGATGTTAAAAGGCAACAGGCACAGTCGTCTTGGGTTCCTCTCCTAAGGAAGAGTTATCCCCTAAGGAAAGGTATCCCCCAGGTTCCCGGGTGTCTGCAAGAGCTTGGGACACAGAAGAAGCAGTTTTGCAGAACCAAGTGTATTCTTAGAAGAGAGAAGATTTTGCCCCAAATATTCCAAATTTTTGCATTGAAGAAATTACGAAAAAAATTAGAAGATTATGCTACCAAGCAAAAGAGCTCTTTTCTTTTTCTTGCGATTTTATCCATGTTTTAATAAATAAAGGACAAGCATTTTGCTACCACTCCAAGCAAACACCAAGAAAGTGAAGGCCTTCCACACCTCCCCAGTCCCCCACACCTCCCCAGTCCCCCACACTCCAACCTCATTCTCTAGGAGCCACCCGAAGAAGATTAGCATCAGCACACGGCACGGTTAGTAAATGTGTGTGCTGTTCAATTGTCCACATTTATGGATCAATGCATTCAAATATGACATTTACTTTAATGCACCTCGTTTTTTAAAAACGGTATTGCTATTCTTCCATACTACATATGGCAATTTTTGTCTTTCAAAACTTCTATACTTTGGTGTAGCAGAATACATCTAGATTTTGTCTTGCAAAGCTTCTATACTTTGGTGTAGCAGAATACATCTAGAAAAACATAGTAGAAGATTATTTGGATGTAAAAGGACATAAGTATAACAATTTTATTACTTTTGTAAAAAAAAGGACTGGATGTTTTTGTGTAAGTATTATATCATTATTATTTAAGTAATATTATCAAATAAAATATTGCAACAGGAACTGCTTAAAGTCATTTTGTTCAAATCACTTGAGATCCCTCCGCCAAGTAACTTTTATGATCTGCCTTAAGTCATTTTAATATTTCAAAAATACCTTAAGAAATATATAAACATAAACAAAATATTATTTAAAATAATCATTGTTTCATAACTGAGCAGTATCACTTTAATATAAAGTGATTTTAATAGAAAGCCTGCCAAAATAGCTTATTAATATCTATATTTTTCTGAACTAAAGTCTAAATATAATTTTAATAATTTTTATGTCTTCTTTAATAAATAGTGATGTCTTCTTTTCTCTGTAGGTGGTCTTCCCATTGCAACTTGCATTTATTTGTTTATTTATTTTGAGACGGAGTCTCACTCTGTAGCCCAGGCTGGAGTGCAGTGGTGCTACCTCGGCTCACTGCAACCTCCACCTCCCAGGTTCAAGCAATTCTCCCGCCTCAGCCTCCCAAGTAGCTGGGATTACAGACACCTACCACCATGTCCAGCTAATTTTTGTATTTTTAGTAGAGACGGGGTATTACCATGTTGGCCAGGCTTGTCTCAAGCCCCTGACCTCAGGTGATCCATCCGCCTCAGCCTCCCAAAGTCCTGGGATTACAGGCATGAGCCACCACGCCCAGCCACATAGATGCCTTTTTAAGGCTGAATCCTGTTCTGTTGCACATAGATGCCACAGTATGTGGATCTATTCATCCATTGATGGACACCTGGGTTGCTTCCACCCTCTGGCTGTTACGAATGGTGTTGCTATGAACGTGGATATAAAATATCTCTTTAAGACACTGATTGAATTCTTTTAGGTACATACTCAGAAGTGAGACTGGCAGGTTATATGGTAGTTCTATCTTCAGTTTTTTTGAGGAACCACCAGACTGTTTTCTGCAACCGCTGCCCCATTAACTTGTTTGTGGTAATCACTATACAATCTATATACATATAAAATAATAACATTGTACACCACGGCTCTCTGGTGGTCACTCACACAGGTGAACAGGGCAGAAAGCCTCAAGCCGCCCAGCTGAGGTTGAACAAGGCTCCACACGGTGAGACGCGTGTCCTTTTCACAGTGGATGTAGTGCCCTGCTTTTGCATGTGTGAGTGTGTATGTTGGTGATTTCACTGTTTAAGTGGCCCCCAATCAATACTGAAGTGCTGACGGCTGCTTCTAAGTACATGAAGGCTGTTACGTGCTTTATGGAAAAGACTTTTGCTCGAGCAGGCAGGAGTTATAGTGATGGTGGCCATGAGTTCAAAGAGAAGGAGTCAACAATAGATATTAAATCAGTTGTCTTTAAACAGAAATACACATTCAACAGCAACTTCCATTTCCTCCTCCAGCCTTTGGAAGCCACCATTCTATTCTCTGCATCCACAAATCTGAGTAGTTCAGATATCTCAATTAGGAAAACTCACACAGTATTTTTCTTCTATGACTGGCCGTTTCACTTACCATCATGTCCTCCAGGTTCTCTTCAAAGTCTCACTTACGCAAGATGAAAAAGTTCTAGACATCTTCTGCACAATATTTGGCTTTCACTTAATGATACCGTACTGCACACTTAAAAATTTGTTAAAAAGATACATCTTCTGTTATCTGTTCTGACTACAGTAAAAATAATAAAATAATAATTATAATAAATAGAGTGCTGGTTGCCAATAAACAGGAAGTAAAACAGAAACACATTAAACAAGCTTGTGTATTGATCAGTAGAAGAATACGTTGAGATAAAAGCTCAGAGGAATCTAACCTAGTATTTCCCTCAGGAGCAATGGTTTGGTGTTTGCTAATCCAGGGTTTGTAGTGAGTCTGTAGAATATATTTCCCACAAATCATGAGAATACACATAAAATTAACATATAAAAGTCAAAAGCCTTTGTATACCAAACTATAATGAGCCAGAGAACACAAAGGTAGAAAAAAATAGCACAAAGATCAAATACAAAGAAGTAAACTTCACAAAAAACACGTAAACCGATAGCAGAAAAACTTACAACAATCCCAAAAAGCACAAGAGTCTTTAAGCCCTGAGCCTGAACCAACCCAAAGCCAACCATGCTGGCACCCTGAGCTCCAACCTCAACCTCCACAAAATAAATGTCTGCTGTCGACAAGTCACCCCGTGTGTAATACTTTGTCAGAGCCGCCTGAACAGACTAAGAAGAGGCTGATGAAGAGAGGACTCTGCACAAAGGCTGAGCTCTGCTCAGTAGATTTGCTTCTCCGAGAAGGATACATCAGCAATTCTGAACCCGCTTTGTGTCTATGCCAGGAATAGAACAAATAAGTAAATATATTGTGGATAATGAGAGTCCAGTTCTCACTGTCAGAAAAGGAAGTTACAAATAAGGAAGGGGGCTTGCTGGAATGATTCCTCTAGTGTCGGATTAAAATTGGAAGTGTCGGTATTGACTCACTCTCTGATACATGGATATAGATACAGACATAGATACACATAGAAATAAATACGGAAGTGTGTGTATGTGTACAGGTTAATAATATACATGCCTTTATTTCCACAACTGTCCACTGAGCAGCCTAGAAATGATGATACCTCAGTAGCAATGAGCACACCTATGTAAAATTCATGATTTATAAAAGCCATTCTCTTATAAAAGGGATCAGGTCTGCTTGGAGAAGTGGCTGACTCCACGACCTGAGTCTGGAAATAACGTGTGGTGCTGCAAAGTAAGGCTATACCCACACCCCTGAAAAAGGGGGAAAAAAAGAAGGCTGGGAGAATGTTTGGAGGAACACTGGAGTCACTCCAAAGCCAGAGGGGCCCCCGGTCACCAAAGCTGGATCAATTGGAAATCAATAATGATAGTATTGCATCATAACCCGCAGAATAAGATAAATACCCACAAGTCCATACCTAAAATAGTTAATGGAATAAATGTACATAAGTGAGTAGAAGGGGTAGCACTTCCTTGTAAAACAATGCCAAGTAGCAGGTGTAGAGGAAGGAAGAAAGAATGAACTGACCACAACCAATCATCACATCAACACAGCAACCAGGGCAAGACCCGCCATGGGCGCCACTCCCTGCAGGGAAGCTGCCTTTATCTCCAGCTGCCTCAATAGAGACAACAGAGGAAGTAAGAGAAAGGTGATATTCAAATTTCCTCTTTCTAAGAGCTCAGGATGTCCAAGAGGTGATGAAAGACACTGATGTTTGCATGCTTGTTGACTGGCATTTCCATGCCCCCTGTCTCTCTCTTTCCACTGCCCTTCTCCTATCTCATCCCAAATGAGAGGACCTGTGCAAACCTGAAGTCTTGGACTAAGGCACAGTTGTCCGTTAAGTGTTGCTCTAAATTATTTTTAACCCCACAAGGTTGGCACTAATATTTCTATGCAGTGTTTACTATACGGATGTGTGTGTACACACAATAAAGATTATTCAGATGTGTATGTCTATACACATACACACATCCATATAATAAATGGAATTATTAGTTTTAACCCCACAAGGTTGGCAGTAATATCTCTATGCAGTGTTTAGTATACCCAAAATCCTCTATTTTTGTTGCCTTTAAAACTTCTTTTGTAGATCACTTTTTCCACGTAAGTACATCATTTAGAAGATTATGTCTTCAAGTGAGCATTTGTGGTCATTCTATTTATCTAAAACGTCTTTATTCTTGAGATGTACAATTCCTTTTTTTTTTCATTGCTTGATTGACACTTACATTTCCTCAGCCTTTATTGTTGTGAGGAACTGGGCTGCAGAGCAGGAGGTGAGTGGGGGCATCCTCTGTATTTACAGCCCCTCCCCATCGCTCACATGACCTCCTGAGCTCCTCCTCCTGTCCGATCAGCGGCAGCCTTAGATTCTCATGGGAGTGCGAACCCTATGGTAAACGGCATATGTGAGGGATCTAGGTTATGTGCTCCTTACAAGGATCTAATGCCTGATGATCTGTCGCTGTCTCCCATCACCCCCAGATGAGACCATCTAGTTGCAGGAAAACAAACTCAGGGCTCCCACTGATTCTATGCAAAATGGTGAGTTGTGTAATTATTTTGTTATATATTGCAAAGTAATAAGAATAGAAATAATGTGCACAATAAATGTAATGTGCTTGAATCACCCCTAAACCATTCCCCTGCACACCGGGTTCGTGGAAAATTGTCTCCCACTAAACCGGTCCCTAATGCCAAAAAGGTTGGGGACTTCTGGGCTAAAGAAATAAAAAAAAAATCCAGGACTTGAGAGGATTTCAGGGAAAGACTTGAATGCCTGGGAGAGCCCGGTTCCTGTTAAAGCAAGTACGTTAAAGTGTTCTGCTGTGCAGGAGCTTTTTAGTTTGATGTAGTTCCACTTGTTTGTTTTCATTTTTATTACCTGTGCTTTTGGCGTCTTCTCTAAAAAACCATTGCCAAGACTAATGCCAAGAAGCTTTCCCTTAAGTTTTCTTCAAGAAGGTTTGTGGTCTCAGATCTCATACTTAAGCCTTTATCCATTTCCAGTGGATTTTTGTGTATGATGCAAGATAAGAGTCCAGTTTTTTTCTTCTGCATGTGGACATCCAGTTCCTGTCACACTGTTTGTTGAAGAGACTTTCTTTTCTACACTGTGTGTTCTTGGTGCCCTTGTCAAAGATTAATGGACAGCATACACCTGAGTTTGTTTCTAGACTCTATTCTATTCCGTTGGTCTGTGCATCTGTTTTTATGCCAGTGCCACACTGTTTTGAATACTGTAGCTTCATGATATGCTTTGAAATCAGGAAATGTGATGGCTCCAGCTTTATTCTTCTTTCTCAAAATTGCTTTGGCTATATAGGGTCTTCTGTGGTTCCATGCAAATTTTAGAATATGTTTTCTATTTTTGTAAAGAATGGCATTGGAATTTGTGATGGGTGTTTTAATTAACTTGTTTGTGGTAATCACTACACAATGTATATGCATATCAAATCATCACACTGTACACCTTAAAAATATTCAATGTTAATTTGACAATTCAATATTTTAAAATAAAAAAAAATTTAACAGGAAGTAGCTTAAAGGGAATTCCAGAGATGCACATGAGGATACTTTGAGAGTCAGGATGATGGCCCACATGGTGGAATGGCAGGACCTAAGCAGATGAGTCAGCGAGTGAGATGGAAGCAAAAGAGGTTGATGGGAGAGCTTATAAAGCTTGCAGGATATAGGAGCAACACACACAAAAGTTACTAGCATTTGTAAATACCCAAGCCTTGTATATTTCTTACCTCAGGCCAGGTGCTGTTCTAAGTGTTTTCATACATTTTCCCATTTAATCCTACAAATGACCCCTTGAGCAAAAGCCAGCCAGCGACACCTGCATCTCAGGCAGCAGGGCTCCAGAGTCCACAATCTTGAGCTCTGTGGGGTTCTCAGTCCTGTGCCAGGAAAGACTCTAGTGTGGAGGACAGCATTGATTTTAAAAATCTAAAACGTCGGCCCTGAAAGAGTTTACAGTTTATTAATGGATGCACAGTGGATGATTTCAAACACTGAGAAGACACCAATCGACAGCCCTGGATGTGGAATGGGAGTGCTCTTTTATCCTGGCCTGCAACTGGGGCGGGCTTTCAGTCCAGTGCTAAGAAAACATGTGCGTAGAGTAATTTTGGACAATTACCCTGCTTGGATATTTGATTTCTCTTGGCTATCAGAAATAATAACAATGATAATTTTGCTTAAGGATGTTTCTCATTTGATCTACAGATACAAGCACAAATTTCTAATAAACCTCTCTTACAGAAGACAACTACACGTTACACAAAAATTTGTTCCAGAAAAAGCCAAAACTTTCTTTTTAATAGCACTACAACCATCTTGTTGCTGTATTTCTACATTGTGAGAGAAGGAGAAGATGGGGTTTTGTGTACAGAAATTTGTTCTCCAAACATTCATGTTTAAAATTTGATCCGTATCACTTGTTGGCATATCAAGCATGCTTATTTCTAAATTGCCATAATATATCCAATTAGGTAGAATATTTCTGGAAAGCACAATTATCATACACATATTACTACAAAATGTGATATCATATTATGTTCTCTTATCATTACAGTGAGATATGGCACTATGAGGAGATTTTATCAGTGCAAAATTGCATTATGTTCAAATTTATCCATGTGTTAATTTACATTAAACCCATTCTACTTCTTCAGATGAATGCAAATTCTAGGATTTGCTGGCCTGTATTTTACCCGGAAATTGGTGCAGATAAGAGGCAAAGGAGTAAGAAGGATTGCTGTCTAGGAGCTCTGAAACAAGCCAAAATTAACTTTCCTTGCAGCTGCTATTCTGTTAAAAAGCCAAGATTTAAGGAGAATAATATAGCAATGTAATTTATTCTAACTAGAAATGAGGAAAACCGTAACGAACAAAACCCTTGAAAGTTGGACTATTCTTACAAATTATACTAACAATGGGAATCAACAATCCCATCAGAGTTTGTAGATTTCAGATAATCCCATCAGGCTTGTTTCTTAATTATCAAGGTGCTTTGAAGAAATTTCCTATTTGAATCCCTCAAAATAATGACTTTGGGGTTTGTTTTCACATCAGCTATGGGTGCTGTTTTGACAAAGCCTTAGCTGAAAACTTGAGGCCATCAGCATCCCTTTCTCCCCTGCAACAATACAGTTCACACAGGCACTCTTCCTTCCCCACCCATCTTGTGCATAAGGCCTTGATTTTACTTAGATTTCCCCTCATGAGCTCCTTGTTTATTGGTTGGTTGGTTCATTGGTTTTGTTGAGTTGGTTTGTTTTGTTCTGTTTTCACAGTCTTATTAAGAAGGAAATTTACATTCCGTAGAATTCACCCATGTAAGGTGTACAATTGAATGGTTTCTAGTATATTCACAGAATTATGCATCCATCACCACTACCAGTTATAAAACATTTTCACTACCTGGAAAAGAAACATGGTACTCAGCCATGGCCGCTCAATCTCTGGATCCCCCACTCTAGTCCTAGGAAACCACTAATCTACTTTCTGTCCCTATAGATTTGCTGATACTGGACATTTCATATAAATGGAATCACACAATACAAGGCCTTTTGTCACTGGCTTTTTCACTAACATGATCTTTTCAGGGTTATCCAACATAGCACAGATCAGTATTTTATTTTCATTGCCAAATCATCTTCCATCCTAAGGTTATACCACATTTCCTTTATCTATCCATTCATTATCTGCTGAGAATTTGGGTTATTTCCACTATTTGGCTATTATAAATATTGCTGCTTATGAACATGTTTGTACAAGTTTTTGTATGAACCTGTGTTTCCTGTCTCTGGACTACACACCTAGGAGTAAGTCATTTATTTAACCACATGGGGGCTGCAAACACCTGCATACATGGCGGGGCTCTCTGTCCCCGGCATCAGTCCTCACTGACTTGACTATTTTAACTTCATGACGGGTGTTGCGACTCTCTCTGCTTTATTCTCCTTATCAATATTATCTTGATTATTTTTAACCTTTTACTCCTTGTAAATACTAAAATCTGTGCAACATCTATATGAAAAACACTGCTTGGATTTTGGAATTAAAATTAATCTATAGATTATTGGGGGTACACTTGAAAGCACTTTAATATTGAGTACTACCCGTGGATGTGGAATATCTTAAGATAATCGTTAATGCTTTTTAATAAATGTTTGGCACATTTGTGTACAGTTTTGCACATATATCATTAGTTTTATGCCAAGATACTTGATAACATTGTTGCTCATATGATTTTTAAATTATATCTTATGATTGCTGTTTGTTTGCAGAAACACTTGCTAGGCCCTCCAATAAAATGTTACAGGGGTACCATGAAAGGAGACATTCTTGTTTGTCTTCCTTACTTAAATAAATGCATCTATATTTTCTATTGAGACTCTTTTTGTTGTGGGACTTCTGTAGTTATCTCTTATGAGGTTAAGAAAGTCTTCTTGTGGGGAGGAGCCAAGATGGCGGAATAGGAACAGCTCCGGTCTACACCTCCCAGTGTGAGCGACGCAGAAGACGGGTGATTTCTGCATTTCCATCTGAGGTACCGGGATCATCTCACTAGGGAGTGTCAGAGAGTGGGCGCAAGTCAGTGGGTGCATGCACCGTGCGCGAGCCGAAGCAGGGCGAGTCATTGCCTTACTCGGGAAGTGCAAGGGGTCAGGGAGTTCCCTTTCCTAGTCAAAGAAAGGGGTGACAGACAGCCCCTGGAAAATCAGGTCACTCCCACCCGAATACTGCGCTTTTCCGATGGGCTTAAAAAACAGCGCACCAGGAGATTATATCCCACACCTGGCTGGGAGGGTCCTAGACCCATGGAGTGTCGCTGATTGCTAGCACAGCAGTCTGAGATCAAACTGCAAGGAGGCAGCGAGGCTGGGGGTGGGGGGGGCGTGCCATTGCCCAGGCTTGCTTAGGTAAACAAAGCAACCGGGAAGCTCGTACTGGGTGGAGCCCACCACAGCTCAAGGAGGCCTGCCTGCCTCTGTAGGCTCCACCTCTGGGGGCAGGGCACAGACAAACAAAAAGACAGCAGTAACCTCTGCAGACTTAAATGTCCCTGTCTGACAGCTTTGAAGAGAGCAGTGGTTCTCCCAGCACGCAGCTGGAGATATGGGAACCGGCAGACTGCCTCCTCAAGTGGGTCTCTGACCCCTGACCCCCAAGCAGCCTAACTGGGAGTCACCCCCCAGCAGGGGCACACTGACACCTCACACGGCAGGGTACTCCAACAGACCTGCAGCTGAGGGTCCTGTCTGTTAGAAGGAAAACTAACAAACAGAAAGGACATCCACACCAAAACCCATCTGTACATCACCATCATCAAAGACCAAAAGTAGATAAAACCACAAAGATGGGGAAAAAACAGAGCAGAAAAACTGGAAACTCTAAAAAGCAGAGCGCCTCTCCTCCTCCAAAGAAACGCAGTTCCTCACCAGCAACGGAACAAAGCTGGACGGAGAATGACTTTGATGAGCTGAGAGAAGAAGGCTTCAGACGATCAAATTACTCCGAGCTACGGGAGGAAATTCAAACCAAAGGCAAAGAAGTGGAAAACTATGAAAAAAGTTTAGAAGAATGTATAACTAGAATAACCAATACAGAGAACTGCTTAAAGGAGCTGATGGAGCCGAAAACAAAGGCTCGAGAACTACGTAAAGAATGCAGAAGCCTCAGGAGCCGATGCTATCAACTGGTAGAAAGGGTATCAGCGATGGAAGATGAAGTGAATGAAATGAAGTGAGAAGGGAAGTTTAGAGAAAAAAGAATAAAAAGAAATGAGCAAAGCCTCCAAGAAATATGGGACTACGTGAAAAGACCAAATCTACGTCTGATTGGTGTACCTGAAAGTGATGGGGAGAATAGAACCAAGTTGGAAAACATTCTGCAGGATATTATCCAGCAGAACTTCCCCAATCTAGCAAGGCAGGCCAACATTCAGATTCAGGAAATACAGAGAACGCCACAAACATACTCCTCGAGAAGAGCAACTCCAAGACACATAATTGTCAGATTCACCAAAGTTGAAAGGAAGGAAAAAATGTTAAGGGCAGCCAGAGAGAAAGGTCGGGTTACCCACAAAGGGAAGCCCATCAGACTAACAGTGGATCTCTCGGCAGAAACCCTACCAGCCAGAAGAGAGTGGGGGCCAATATTCAACATTCTTAAAGAAAAAAGTTTTCAACCCAGAATTACATATCCAGCCAAACTAAGCTTCATAAGTGAAGGAGAAATAACATACTTTACAGACAGGCATATGCTGAGAGATTTTGTCACCACCAGGCCTGCCCTAAAAGAGCTCCTCAAGGAAGCGCTAAACATGGAAAGGAACAACCGGTACCAGCCGCTGCAAAATCATGCCAAAATGTAAAGACCATCGAGACTAGGAAGAAACTGCATCAACTAATGAGCAAAATAACCAGCTAACATCATAATGACAGGATCAAATTCACACATAACAATATTAACTTTAAATGTAAATGGACTAAATGCTCCAATTAAAAGACACGGACTGGCATATTGGATAAAGAGTCAAGACCCATCAGTGTGCTGTATTCATGAAACCCATCTCACGTGCAGAGACACACATAGGCTCAAAGTAAAAGGATGGAGGAAGATCTACCAAGGAAATGGAAAACAAAAAAAGGCAGGGGTTGCAATCCTAGTCTCTGATAAAACAGACTTTAAGCCAACAAAGATCAAAAGAGACAAAGAAGGCCATTACATGATGGTAAAGGGATCAATTCAACAAGAAGAGCTAACTATCCTAAATATATATGCACCCAATACAGGAGCACCCAGATTCATAAAGCAAGTCCTGAGTGACCTACAAAGAGACTTAGACTCCCACACATTAATAATGGGAGACTTTAACACCCCACTGTCAACATTAGACAGATCGACGAGACAGAAAGTCAACAACAATACCCAGGAATTGAACTCAGCTCTGCACCAAGCAGACCTAATAGACATCTACAGAACTCTCTACCCCAAATCAACAGAATATACATTTTTTTCAGCACCACACCACACCTATTCCAAAATTGACCACATACTTGGAAGTAAAGCTCTCCTCAGCAAATGTAAAAGAACAGAAATTATAACAAACTATCTCTCAGACCACAGTGCAATGAAACTAGAACTCAGGATTAAGAATCTCACTCAAAACTGCTCAACTACATGGAAACTAAACAACCTGCTCCTGAATGACTACGGGGTACAAAACAAAATGAAGGCAGAAATAAAGATGTTCTTTGAAACCAACGAGAACAAAGACACAACATACCAGAATCTCTGGGACGCATTCAAAGCAGTGTGTAGAGGGAAATTTATAGCACTAAATGCCCACAAGAGAAAGCAGGAAAGATCCAAAATTGACACCCTAACATCACAATTAAAAGAACTAGAAAAGCAAGAGCAAACACATTCAAAAGCTAGCAGAAGTCAAGAAATAACTAAAATCAGAGCAGAACTGAAGGAAATACAGACACAAAAAACCTTTCAAAAAATTAATGAATCCAGGAGCTGGTTTTTTGAAAGGATCAACAAAATTGATAGACCACTAGCTAGACTAATAAAGAAAAAAAGAGAGAAGAATCAAATAGACGCAATAAAAAATGATAAAGGGGATATCACCACCGATCCCACAGAAATACAAACTACCATCAGAGAATACTACAAACACCTCTACGCAAATAAACTAGAAAATCTAGAAGAAATGGATACATTCCTCGACACATGCACTCTCCCAAGACTAAACCAGGAAGAAGTTGAATCTCCGAATAGACCAATAACAGGATCTGAAATTGTGGCAATAATCAATAGCTTACCAACCAAAAAGAGTCCAGGACCAAATGGATTCACAGCCGAATTCTACCAGAGGTACAAGGAGGAACTGGTACCATTCCTTCTGAAACTATTCCAATCAATAGAAAAAGAGGGAATCCTCCCTAACTCATTTTATGAGGCCAGCATCACCCTGATACCAAAGGCGGGCAGAGACACAACCAAAAAAGAGAATTTTAGACCAATATCCTTGATGAACATTGATGCAAAAATCCTCAATAAAATACTGGCACACCGAGTCCAGCAGCACATCAAAAAGCTTATCCACCATGATCAAGTGGGCTTCATCCCTGGGATGCAATGCTGGTTCAATATATGCAAATCAATAAATGTAATCCAGCATATAAACAGAACCAAAGACAAAAACCACATGATTATCTCAATAGATGCAGAAAAGGCCTTTGACAAAATTCAACAACCCTTCATTCTAAAAACTCTCAATAAATTAGGTATTCATGGGACATATCTCAAAATAATAAGAGCTACCTATGACAAACCCACAGACAATATCAAACTGAATGGGCAAAAACTGGAAGCATTCCCTTTGAAAACTGACACAAGACAGGGATGCCCTCTCTCACCACTCCTATTCAACATAGTGTTGGAAGTTCTGGCCAGGGCAATTAGGCAGGAGAAGGAAATAAAGGGTATTCAATTAGGAAAAGAGGAAGTCAAATTGTCCCTGTTTGCAGATGACATGATTGTATATCTAGAAAACCCCATTGTCTCAGCCCAAAATCTCCTAAAGCTGATAAGCAACTTCAGCAAAGTCTCAGGATACAAAATCAATGTACAAAAATCACAAGCATTCTTATACACCAACAAAAGACAAACACAGAGCCAAATCATGAGTGAACTCCCATTCACAATTGCTTCAAAGAGAAGAAAATACCTAGGAATCCAACTTACAAGGGATGTGAAGGACCTCTTCAAGGAGAACTACAAACCACTGCTCAAGGAAATAAAAGAGGATACAAACAAATGGAAGAACATTCCATGCTCATCGGTAGGAAGAATCAGTTTTGTGAAAATGGCCATACTGCCCAAGGTAATTTACAGATTCAATGCCATCCCCATCAAGCTACCAATGCCTTTCTTCCCAGAATTGGAAAAAACTACTTTAAAGTTCATATGGAACCAAAAAAGAGCCCGCATAGCCAAGTCAATCCTAAGCCAAAAGAACAAAGCTGGAGGCATCACACTACCTGACTTCAAACTATACTACAAGGCTACAGTAACCAAAACAGCATGGTACTGGTACCAAAACAGAGATATAGATCAATGGAACAGAACAGAGCCTTCAGAAATAACGCCGCATATCTACAACTATCTGATCTTTGACAAACCTGAGAAAAACAAGCAATGGGGAAAGGATTCCCTATTTAATAAATGGTGCTGGGAAAACTGGCTAGCCATATGTAGAAAGCTGAAACTGGATCCCTTCCTTACACCTTATACAAAAATCAATTCAAGATGGATTAAAGACTTAAACGTTAGACCTAAAACCATAAAAACCCTAGAAGAAAACCTAGGCATTACCATTCAGGACATAGGCATGGGCAAGGACTTCATGTCTAAAACACAAAAAGCAATGGCAACAAAAGCCACAATTGACAAATGGGATCTAATTAAACTAAGGAGCTTCTGCACAGCAAAAGAAACTACCATCAGAGTGAACAGGCAACCTACAAAATGGGAGAAAATTTTTGTAATCTACTCATCTGACAAAGGACTAATATTCAGAATCTACAATGAACTCAAACAAATTTACAAGAAAAAAACAAACAACTCCATCAAAAAGAGGGCGAAGGACATGAACAGACACTTCTCAAAAGAAGACATTTATGCAGCCAAAAATCACATGAAGAAATGCTCACCATCACTGGCCATCAGAGAAATGCAAATCAAAACCACAATGAGATACCATCTCACACCAGTTAGAATGGCCATCATTAAAAAGTCAGGAAACAACAGGTGCTGGAGAGGATGTGGAGAAAGAGGAACACTTTTACACTGTTGGTGGGACTGTAAACTAGTTCAACCATTGTGGAAGTCAGTGTGGCGATTCCTCAGGGATCTAGAACTAGAAATACCATTTGACCCAGCCACCCCATTACTGGGTATATACCCAAAGGACTATAAATCATGCTGCTATAAAGACACATGCACATGTATGTTTATTGCGGCATTATTCACAATAGCCAAGACTTGGAACCAATCCAAATGTCCAACAATGATAGACTGGATTAAGAAAATGTGGCACATATACACTATGGAATACTATGCAGCCATAAAAAATGATGAGTTCATGTGCTTTGTAGGGACATGGATGAAATTGGAAATCATCATTCTCAGTAAACTATTGCAAGAACAAAAAACCAAACACCGCATATTCTCACTCATAGGTGGGAATTGAACAATGAGAACACATGGACACAGGAAGGGGAACATCACACTCTGGGGACTGTTGTGGGGTCGGGGGAGAGAGGAGAGATAGCATTGGGAGATATACCTAATGCTAGATGACGAGTTAGTTGGTGCAGCGCACCGGCATGGCACACGTATACATATGTAACTAACCTGCACAATGTGCACATGTACCCTAAAACTTAAAGTATAATAATAATAAATTTAAAAAAAAGAAAGTCTTCTTGTACTAAGAGCTCTCTTTTATTAATTATATTAATAATTAATAAGTGAAATTATAGAATTATATATAATAAGTGAAAGCTGCTGAATCAATTGAGATAATCACATTTTCTCTTTAATCTGTTATTGAGCTGAATAACATTTAAATGTTTTCTACTACTCCTCCATCTTTGCAGTAGAGAACCAAACTGACTTGGAAATGTGCATATCTGTAAAATGATGTTGACTTCCCTTTGCTAACACTATGCTTTTGGTTTTGGAATTGCACATATCATTGAGATTGTCCTGCCATTTTCTTTTCTACTACTGTCCTGTGACTTTGGCATCGAGATTGCACTGCTCATTAAATTAGGTGAATAAAATGCCCCCTCCTTCTATTCTGTTTTGTTTTTCCACTTGTGTAAAATTGGAACTGTGATATCCTTTGGCTGTGTCCCCACCCAAATCTCATCTTGAATTGTATTCCCCATAAACCCCACATGTCATAGGAGGACGTGGTGGGAGGTAATTGAATCCTGGGGGCCGTTTCCCCCATGCTGTTCTCGTGATAGTGAGTGAGTTCTCAAGAGATCTGATGGTTTTATAAGCATCTGGCATTTCCCCTGCTGGCACTCCTTCTCTCTCCTGCCACCCTGTGAAGATGTGCCTTTCACCATGATTGTAAGTTTCCTGAGGCTTCCTCAGGCAGGTGGAACTGTGAGTCAGTTAAACCTCCTTTCTTTGTGAATTACCCAGTTTCGGGTATTTCTTTATAGCAATGTGAGAACAGACTCACACAAACTGTCTTTAGAATCTTGGCAGAAGTCATCCATGTAATTATCTGAGTGCTAGCACTCACCTGTAAACTTATCTGGGGCTGGAAAATCCCTGTGGCAATCTTTTAAACTACTAACTCAATTTCCTTGAGAAAATTATTCAGACCTCTACATTCTTAATTCACTTTTGGCAAAATATACTATTTAATAATTTTTCTACTTTTATAAGATTTGCATTTTATCTGAGATTTATAGAGTATTCCATTTTATCTTGGATTACTAAAAACTAACAAAATTTTTCATATTTTCTAATTTTGATATCTCATACAATTGCGATTATGCCAACATGTTATTCTCTAATATCACCAATTTTCCTTTCCCTTTCTCATCTCGATCAAAGTTGCCAAAATCATGCTCCTTTCGTCGGTCGTTTTAAAAACTTCTGGCTCTGTTAAGGCTTTGCTTTACCTCTGCTATTGATGAAGCTTTAAGGCCTTTGTCATTACTGTTGCCTTCTTCCAACTTTTATGAGGTTGGGTCTTGCTCTTTTTCTTACATCTGAAGGTGTGCACTTCACTCATTAACTTTCAACTTTTTTCTGTTCTCATATTTGTTTCTAATGCGTAAAATTCTCATATAAGCCCTGCTCTATTGGGCCTCTGAGTTTTGATGTGTTATTTACTTCTGTTGCCTTCTGGTGGCATCAGAGGGCACAGTGAACACGACCCACCCTCTTGACGTGAACATGTGATGTCCTACTGATCACACCCCAGAGTCCCCACTGCGCTTTTTACTTAACTTTTGTGTGGATCGCATAGGTTGTATTATGACCATTGGTCTATGCGTCTCAAAACTAGCGCGTGAATTTCTTGAAAACAGAATTGTGTTTCTCCTATATTTGTATTCAGAGGTCCTAGGCCAGCATTGTGCTGGCTCAAAATAGGCACTTAGGAAATGTTCCTGGAATATACATTTGCAACGTAAAATGGGTAAGACAAAGTGTGCATTGATGCAGGAGAAATAAGACCTGTTTGGTTACGAAGGCACAGAAATGTATATAAACCACTTCAAAATGTGTATTTATTAACTATATTTAACTTGAAAAGATGCACTCACTGAAGCATCCACTAGGATGAATGGAAATTATACCAGCCTTTAAATTCAGCCGTCAACCTGGTCCTTCTCACAGCAAAGTCAAAGGTCAGCACATAATGGTTGTGCATTATAATATTCTCAAGAGCAGTCCTCTCACAGGGATGCTGTTTGAATTAGCTAATTGATGATTGCCAAGGGCTTTGGCGAGGCAAGGCTCTGCATAACTGATAATTACTATTATTATCACAGGGACTAAGATGTTCTGCATTGCTCTGTGAACAAAGGGCCAAGAAATGAATTTGCTATAAGATATAATGTAGCTAACAAAAAAGAAGTGTGAAAAGATAGAACATACGACGTCTCAAGTAGCTGAGATTTGTTTAGGAAGTTGTTTCTGCTTTGTGTTCCTGATAAGGACATCAAAACAGGCAAAATAATGGACTTTTTAGATACCCATAAAAGCATCCCAAAAGATTGCTCATTTCCTTTGTGTTAAAAATATGCGACTTTGCACGCAGAGAAGAGTTCTCAAGATTGCCAGACACTGAGCACAAGTCGTCAGAAGTTTAGACAATAAAGGGACATCTGAAAGACACCTGAGACAAGACAGAGAAAAATATCCAGCTTTAAAGGTGTCATACCCAACGTGTGTATTTTCCTGCACCAATTTTTTAAAAAAATGCCAAACTGATTCTTTCCTTAAATAAATTTGGGACATTCTGACCAGGCACGGTGGCTCATACCTGTAATCTCAGCACTCTGGCAGTCTGAGGCAGGCAGATCGAAGCCAGGAGATCAAGACCAGCTTAGGTAACAAGACAAAATCCCATCTGTACAAAAAATACAAAAAATTAGCCGCGTGTGGTGGCACACACCTGTAGTCCCAGCTACTCAGGGGACTGAGGCAAAGGGTCACTTGAGCCCAGGAGGTTGAGGCTGCAGTGAGCCATGACGGTGCCACTGCCCTCCAGCCTGGGTGACAGAGCGAGACCATGTCTCAAAAAATAAAAGTAAAATAGTAAATTTGGGGCATTCTTTCTGTCCTCCTGGCAGACAGGGTTGGTTGGTTTGATTTGGTTTTATTTTTTCCCTGGGTCATCGGATCATGAGAACACACACGAGTCTTCAGCCTCAATGGGTGGCTCCATCCTGCCCACTGGAGAGGTCAGTTTCTCAGCGCAGCTCATTCCAGCTCACAGGCCTCACCGTCAGGCCTGCCAGGATCGCAGCAACCTGCCTGGAAGACGAGCTGATGAGCTACTGGCCGGGTTTCCAGTGATACCAAGTTGAGCCCTTTTGTCTGACACCTCTGTCTGAAGCAGGGAGAGAGTAGGAGGACGGAGACCAAAATGGGGAATCCAAGGATGGCACAATTTAAAACAAACACTGTGAGGCTACCACGCCCCGCCGTGCTGGGTTATGGATCAGAGGGTCTGAGAACTGCAGCTGGCATGGTGAGATTATTTTCCACGTGAGCTCCCGTGGAAGGAACTGAGCACTGTTCCTGGGGTTCCAGTGCCCTGTGCTGTGATGAGTCAGGGGAGCTCTCCCTCCTGCTCCAAGCTCCTGAGCTGCCCTCACTGAGGACCACTTTACCAGTGTTCTCCTGCAGTGTTTTCCTGGATCCTTTCGGCTTTTCCGGGCACTGACAGGGATAGGAATGGGAGAGAGAAGAGAGAAGAAACAAAATCCACAACAGAGCCTTCGTCAAATTCCATAATTACAGAGGCTTTGGGGATTTCCAAAAGATTATTGTTGGGGGAGTAACGGCTGATTCCGAGAGCCCAAGCCGAAGCTAATTCTACAGAGGTGTTCACAGCAATGTCGTTGGTCTGGTTGGTTCGAGAAAAGGCAAATAAAAAAGGCAACAGTTAATGATCTCGGCTACTAACAACATGGTAGCGTCGCTTTCCCACACCCTGAAGCTGAGGGACATTTTCTTCTTGGGGTAGCCAATTAGTAGCATTAATGGGACAGGAATCAGATTAATCATGGCACGAGCCACCCGCTAATGCATTCCACCCATTATTCTCAGCATTCACTCATCAAGCAGTCTCCAAGAGCCTCCAAGGAAATAATAAAACGGGTCGATCTGAATGCCTCTCATCTCCCTTCTTCATCTCATCTACCTCTGACCTGGTAGTTAAGGAGCCACAAAATGGACAGGCCAGGGGCTATAGAGGAATCTGAGGAGAAGGATCAGGATAATGGGCAAACTGGAGATGTGATTAATTACAGAATGCACTTTTACTTTCCCCGGGTGAATTAGCTATAAACCATAAGCCTTCTCCCTGCTGCCATGGCCTTCACCTATTTTATCCTCAAAAAGAGATAAGCAGAGAAAATTGCAGCTTTGCAAGTGACATTTGCCCCTTCCTTGGCACTAAGGATTGGCAGGTTGCAATAACACACTCCAGACAGGGCTCCTCAGGCTGTACCGTGCATGTGAGCGGCCAGGAGAACCGACAGAAATGCAGGTTCCGAGGCAGTGAGTTGGGGACGGGGCCAGTTGCCACATGTCTGTGGTCTTTTAGCTGCAGGACAAACCAGACTGAAAGTCCTGCAGCTTCCAGCCCATCCGTGCACACACCATGTCTGGAAAATATGTATGGAACGGAGAAATGGGCAGTCACTGGAAAGAGAGCCACTGGCGACTTGACTTCTCTGTGAGGAATCCTGTAGCCCAGCCCAAGACAATGAAGAGGTTCCTGATGAGAACGTGTGGCTCTATCTGCCTGGTCACTGCCGAGCTGACAATGAGGATGCCCATCCAGCACCCAGGGTGTGACGACACCACACTCGCGAAACACCCCAGAACTCCTTCTACATCCCTGGCAAAGGGCAGGGCTCACGTTCCAAAATGACTCTGGATCCAAGGGGGCTTCTGGTTCACCCCGATGCTGACTTGTTCCCTGGGTTCTCACAGCCTGAGTTACCTTCCGGAAGAGCTGGGTGCCCTAACTCACGCACATGGGGGCTGCCGGGGGCCTTCCCAGCCCTTTCATTCTTGTGGTTTCATGACCCAGAGACATCGGGGGTTCCCCATGCTCACTCACATGAAATAGCTACCATTCTGGGGTTTTGATTTTTTGGGGGTTTTTTTGTTTGTTTTTTGTTTTTTGTTTTGAGACGGAGTCTCGCACTGTCGCCCGGGCTGGAGTGTAAGGGCGCGATCTCGGCTCACTGCAACCTCCGCCTCCTGGCTTCAAGCGATTCTCCTGCCCCAGCCTCCCAAGTAGCTGGTACTACAGATGCCCACCACCACGCCCAGCTACTTTTTGTAATTTTAGTAGAGACGGGGTTTCACCATATTGCTCAAGCTGGTCTCGAACTCCTGACCTCAGGTGATCCGCCCACCTCGGCCTCCCAAAGTGCTGGGATTACAGGCATGAGCCACTGAGCCCGGCCTATACTTGGGTTTTAGATGGATTATTTTGTAGGAGAAAGGTGAAATTATTCTTAGTATTTTATCTACTATAGACAAACTATTATTTTTATGTCTTTTGCAGACCTAATGACTATAGTAAACTCTTTTAATAAGCTTCCTATTATGGAACATATATTTAACGAACAAATAGATTATTTAAATAAGTGCCAAATAGATATCTAAGCAAGATCATTCCATATGCAATAAATAAATACATAAATGAGACCCAGTATTAAAAATACGTTTAGCCATTTAAAGCTTTTAACTAGTATTTAAAATGACCCAGAATTCAAGTCCCTGTCTCTGATTTGGCTATTTTTATATATTTACATCTTTAGGCAAAATAACATTTTCTCCTGCATCGAAAATCACATGCAATGGACGATATTAATCAGGTTAATCCCACAGCACCGCAGGCCGAAGCGGAAACTCTATCACGCCTTTGAGACAGGCGCTCAACGCAGTGGATTACCATGTGTGTTTGTACGGTGCGTCCCCAGTGACAGCACCATCTCTTCGGCCTGAGGCTCTGTGACTCTCGGCCACACTTGTCACCTTTGAGGGAAGTGGGCTTCAGCCCTGACGGGTGGTGTTCGAGACCCCACGCTCCAGGGGCCCCATCCAGGCTGGCTGTGGCTGTGGGCGCCTTTCCTGGGGCGCCACGGTCCGTGTTGCCCTGAGCCGTCCGGGGTGACCGGCGACAGCCACTGCTCGGGAGTCCTGCCGTGGACTCGCTGCCCGTGGTCCCAACCAGCAGACCAGGGTGGAATGAGAGGACGGCGATCTCAGCCAGGGGCTGTGTTAGAGACCACAGAACCCTTCATTCTCCCTCAGGACCTTCCTGAAGCCCTGCTGCCTCTGTGACAAGACAGCCAATCGTCCTTCTTGGCTCACTCCCTCGGGGAATTCCTCTTTCAAGCCGAACCTGACTGTCTCCACCTGTGGAGGGGACACGGCCCGCACCCCCTGTCTCAGGTGTCCGGGGCTGCTGATTCCGGATCCTAAGACTAACGGCGAAAACAGCATCTGCTTCTCTGGCACCCCGAGCCATAAAACCACCCAAATATCTTAAGTAACAGCATTTTAGAAACTAATGAAATAAAGTGAGACTTGAGAAAAAAAAAAAAAAAGCTTATATGAGCTCTGAGAGAACTTGCTCTATCACTATTAGCACAGTGCCACCTAATGGAAACGTGACATAAATGTACAGCCTTGAAAATTTAGAAGATTACAAAACACCCTATCAAGTTATACAGAAGGCACTTTTCCTCCACGTGTGTACCCTTTTTCAAGAAAATAATGATCTGTATGTTTTAAATGATTATAATTTTAGTTGGACAAAAATATGCACAGGCCAGACATTCACAGAATTCTTCTAAGTCACCATGAAAAGACACTCAGAATTTTTATTTTTGTTTTGCTCTTTTGTAAAACACATAAAGATAGAACTTGACATTTTTCTTCATATTTTAAAAATACTGGGCTGGAAGCGGTGGCTCACACCTATAATCCCAGCACTTTCAGAGGCCAGGGTGGGTAGATCACCTGAGGTCAGGAGTTCGAGACCAGCCTGGCCAACATGGTGAAACCCTGTCTCTACTAAAAATACAAAAATTAGCCCGGCATGGTGGTGGGTACCTGCAATCCCAACTACTCAGGAGGCTGATGCCAGAGAATCGCTTGAACCCAGGAGGCAGGGGTCGCAGTGAACCGAGATCATGTCACTGCACTCCAGCCTGGGCGACAGACCAAAACTGTTTCTCAAAAAAAATAAAAAATAAAAATAAATACTATCAATGGGGCACTCTAGTATCTTAAAAACTTTGTTTTAAGAAATATCAAAATTAGGCTGGGCACGGTGGCTCAGGCCTGTAATCCCAGCACTTTGGGAGGCCAAGGAGGGTGGATCACAAGGTCAGGAGACTGAGACCATCCTGGCTAACACAGTGACACCCCATCTCTACCAAAAATACAAAAAATTCGCCAGGTGTGGTGGCAGGCACCTGTAGTCCCAGCTACTCGGGAAGCTGAGGCAGGAGAATGGCGTGAACCCGGGGAGCACAGCTTGCAGTGAACCGAGATCGCGCCACTGCACTCCAGCCTGGGCGACAAAGCAAGACACTGTCTCAAAAAAAAAAAAAAAAAAAAAAAAAAAATCACAATTAATTTAGCATAAAATGGCATAGTTTTAAACTGAGTTTTTATTAGAAGTAGATTTTCAAAGATGTTGCAAAAGATTTAGAATGAATTTAAGGAGATCTGTCTTTGCCCACGTTATATAAATGACGATTCTAGGTGAATGTTGTAAAGCTCAAGGTCATCTGTCACGAAATCTTTACCAGGTTTGACACAATGTCTGTCTTTAATCCATTTTAAATCTTCGCATGGTCTAGGTGACTCAGAATAAAATATACAACATTTTATTGCATATGGTGTTATTTGCAACTTTATGTCATTTCCTTTGCATTTCAGCAGAGATTTCCTGATTGCTTTTGATGTTTAAGTACCTGTGTGAACATAATTATGTGTTAAAATATCTCTGTACGATATGATCACTCTTTAAGAACAAGAACTCCTTTAATACACCTCAGGTTTTCCCAGGTATGAAAGATTCTATTAATCACTGGAAGAAGAGTCTCTGGCCAAGTGCACAGCCCCTCTCAGCTCAGCTTCATAAACAAGGCACATTCATGACAAACGTTCTACCTAAAGTGTCTCTATTTAGCCTTTCATGACAAATGTTCCATTCAAAGAATATTTTTCTACTTAAATATTAAATATGTAAATTAGAATATTAAATATTCTATTTAAAGAAATGTTCTATTTAAATGCTCTATTTAAATAGCACGTTCATGGCACATGTTCTGTTTAAAGTGTCTTTCTATTTAGCCTTTCTATTACTATAGTTAAAGAAAAAATATAAAAACATGAAATTCTACTTTGGTATCTAAACCTCTTAATCAACTTACTCAACGCACATCCACATAGCATCACCATGGGCCACCCTGTGCAGATGGGACGAACCCCAAAACATTGAACAATAGAAACACTGAAATTGCAACAGAAAAAAGGAATGATTACTTCAATTGTATCGTTGTGAAAAAAACTTCTGTAACAGCAAACGTAAAAGTTTCCTAGGCCAAGATAATCTGCCGGAAACTAAGCAGATGGTACCGAGCTGAATTACCTTGTAGTTACTTCTTCTGAGGCAGGTTGGAGCTCATCACAGTTAACTGAAAGCTCCCCACATAAAGTCAAAACATAAAAATGAGATGCACATTGTCGGTCAGTTGTAGCGGCCTTGCAGCCTCTGCCAACCTTTCATTAAGATGCTTTGAGGTTAAGAACTTCCTATTTCATGAACAATGGCATCCCGTGGCTGTTACATGACGCAGATAAAATGTGCAGAAAGATCATGAGGACAATATACACCATTAATTTGTGTGATGAGAACAGGAATAAGAAGTTCCTATAATACTAGAATGTTTCTGTAAAACACACGGTTTATGTTCTGAAAATTCTGCCTTTAATCTCAGTTTAGTATGGTCTTCTAGGAAATAGGGATCCTCATAAGAATTTTGCAGAATCCCATGAAGTTGAAAAATTAAATAAAAAATACACATTAATCATAGGAAAAGTTTCACATCTAGGAAAAATGTAAAAGGTAGTCCCAAGATGTTTTTTATTAATATAGCAAAAATTTAAAATATGCTGTAAGCTCAAGATCTAAATGCAGGAGGAGCACTATATTGAATAAACTGATAAGAAAGAGATTCTAATGTTCATTCCATTTGTTTATGTATTTATTTGTTTGTTTATTTTTGAGATGGAGTCTCCCTCTGTCACCCAGGCTGGAGTGCAGTGGTGCAATCTTGGCTCACTGCAACCTTTGCATCCTAGGCTCAAGCAATTCTCCTGCCTCAGCCTCCCAAGTAGCTGGGATTATAGGCACGTGCCACCACACCCAGCTAATTTTTGTATTTTTTGTAGGGACAGGGTTTTGCCACGTTGGCCAGTCTGGTCTCAAACTCCTGGCCTCAAGCCATCTGTCCACCTTGGCCTCTGAAAGTGCTGGGATTACAGGTGTGAGCCACCGTGCCTAGCCTCTAATGTTCATTTTAGAGAAATAAAATGTAACACCACAAAATTCAAAATCAAGTCTTAAGAGAGATGTTAAACTTTGGGGGATGGCAAGAGAAGGACATTTCCCGTTGACTCCTTTAGACCCTGGGCTGCAGACCTTGCCAAGAACAATCGGTCAGTTTCAACCTTGCTAGGCTGGTGCAGTTGTTTTTAAAGAGTCACAGAGGCCGTATCTCAACTCACGTTCAGCTGAAACATCTACCGTAGACAAAGCTGTTCAAAGGAGCCACTTGACCTTTTTCACAAAACAGGTCTGATTTTCCAAGTGAGACCTCGGAGGAGAAGGTGGTAACTGGCAGCCATGCGGTCCCACAGAAAGTACCTATAGAAGGGAGGCTGTCAACCATGAAGACTGGCCATCCATCGAGGGGCCCGGTGTCACTAAATATTACGGTAACACAGATAACAGGCTTGTGGAAAATCTCCAGAAACAAATGTTTTGGTTTCTCAGAAATAGTTTTAATAAAAATGCCCCAATTCTATAATTTAGCATGTCATTCATTGCTTTAAACAACAGACAGTTCAATTCTGTGTTTCCTCTAAAATAAAACACATGGAAACACATGGGGTGAAATTTGTGCTGTACTTGCGGGCACAGCAGGCCGACTTCTCCATGTGTTCAACACCACAGGGAATGTCTTCCTTTCCACTTTTATCTTTCTTGTCAGCACTAATTTATCTCTGCTGCCAGATTTCTCCCAAAATATGACTCGATTCCACTTCTAATCTCCCAAACCCCAACATTTAATCCCATTACTCTTTGAGTAAAATGTATTCTTTTCAACTGAATACTCAGTTACATTTTCATGAGATATTTTCTTGTGTTTTTAACAAGTGTTGCTAACAATTGTGTTGAAAAAAAAATCAGTGCCATATATACTTCAAAGTGAATTCTAATGGTTGCTTAGTTTTATGTGTTCAAATTTTTTAGATTCCCCAGAATTAGTGTTTGGTTTTAAAACAGAGTCCAGTGATAGGTCAGAAAAGAGAGACTTTCATGCAAAAATACAACAGACGTAGGAAATCTAACAATATATCTAAATTCTGACTCAATTCAGGCAATGCAGTTACATCAAGTGGTGACATAATCAGAGCTAGAGACGCAATGAGGAGTTCAGAGAAATGCCGAGCTCTCCAATCTGCTATCACGAGTAATCACTGAGAAAACAGAATGCTAGATTGAAAGATGCTGCAGCTCTGTGACCCTTTCAAAATTATCCAAAGACAGTAAATTAAAGAAGAAATTGCCTCCAGAATGATGGTAGCTCTCAAACAAAGAGTCAGGTGTGTTGGCAAAAGCCTGTGGAAACCAGGGATTCCACACTTTTCTCAGCAAACTCATGGTTGTCACCACCTCCTTGGCATCAGCCTCAGGACTTGGCTACAAAGAATGTCCAGGCAGACCTGGGAGAGTCCAAACCAGGGTTTATTTGTTTATTGTGACAAAATACACGAACACAGAATATACCGTTTTAATCACTGTAAGTGCACAATTCAGTGGCACTAAAGACATTGCTGTGCAACCATCACCAACATCCATCTACAGAACCTTTTCATTTTGCAAAACCAAACTCTTACCATTAAACAGTAACTCCCCGTTCTCCCCACCTCCTGCCACACGTCACTCCCATTCTGCTTCCTGTCTCTATAAATCTGATGACTTTAGGGACCTAATATAAGTGGGATCATACAGTAGTTGTCCATTTGTGACTGGCTTATTTGACTTAACACAATGTCTTCAAGGTTCTGCCATGTTGTAACATGGGTCAGAATTTCCTTTTTTTTTTTTATGAAGCTGAATAACATTCCCTTATGCTAGGGGTGGTGACTCATGCCTGTAATTTCAGTACTTTGGGAAGCTGAAGTGAGAGAGTCCCTTGAACTCAGGAGTTTAAGACCATCCTGGGCAACATAGTAAGATGCCAACTCTACAAAAAGCAAAAAAATTAGCTGGGCATGGTGGTACACACCTCATGTCCCAGATATTCAGGTTGAGCTGGGAGGGTTGGTTGAGCCCAGGAAGTCAAGGCTTCAGTGAGCCATGATGACACCCTTCACTCCAGCAACTGGGCAACAGGGTGAGACCCTGTGTTTAAAAAAAATTCATTGTATGCGTAGACTGTATTTCACTCATGCATTTACCCAACAGTGGACACTGGATTGCTTCCATGTTTTAGTTATTGTGAATAATGCTACTATGAACAAGCCTAAGTTTTTAAGATATTTGATACTTGGTCTGCATCTGTATACCACGTGATTATTGTAAGAATCTGGAAGCATGAAATCACATACACACACATTTATCCCAGAAATGCTTCCAATCAAACCCTTGAATCCTTGGGATTCTGAGAGGGAACAGGTAAAAGAAGAAAATATCTAATGTACATTGAAAGCTGGGTGTGATTGTCCGACAGGTTCTTCCTGCCCACCACACAGACAAATTCACTGAGACCCTGGTATTACAGTCAAGAAAGAGTAATTAATGCTAGGCAAGCCACTCAAGAGACGGGATTTATTACTGACATCAGCCTCCTTGAGGGCTCAGAGGCTAGGGTGTTTATGGATAATTTGGTGGCAAGGGGCTAGGAACTGGGTGCTGCTGACTGTTTAGGGATGCAGTCGTGAGGGGGTGGAGAGAGGGTCTCGTGGGCTGAGTCGGCCTCTGGGTGGGGGCCACAGGACTGGTTGAGTCGTGAGTCATGGATGTGGATGGGGTCCATTGGTTGCCAGAATGAAAAAGTCTGAAAAACATCTCCAAAGACAAATCTTAGGTCCTGCAACAGTGATGTTATCTATAGGAGCAACCGGAGAAGTCACAAATCTTGTGAGCTCTGGCCACATGACTCCTGAGCAGTAAGGGATTCTAGAAACTATGCCCACGTTTAGCAGAGCCCAGGCCCCTCCCATAATCCTGATCTTGTGGCCTTCCATTAGTTTCCGTCCCTGACCAAGGAGGGATCTGTTTTAGGGAGGGACTATGGCCATCCTTGTTTGCAAGTGAAATGGTAAACTACATTCCTCCCATAATTAGCTTGGCCTATGTCCGCAAATGAGCAAGGCCAGCCAGCCTGTGAGGCGGAAGCCAGGTGGAGTGGGACACACTAGGCTTCTCTTCACTGCCATCATCTTTGCAAAGGTGGTTTCATGAGTCGCAGTGAACACACTAAAAGCTATGGGGAGAATTAACTGCTTATGGTACACCTTCTCCACAATCTCACTGCAGTAGCACCAAGCTTTGTGTACCAAGACAGGAGGGTGGGTTTTTCACAGGCTGATCGGATGAATCCTGCGGCAGCGAGGGTCCAAAAAGGACATGCATCTCTCGTCTCAAGAAGTTTGCAATCTGGATGAGACAGGAATGGTGCAAATATTTCTGGATGAGGTGTAAATCGTGCCAGATATGATGGTGGGATGTGCAGTCTTGGGAGGACATCTGACTCAGAGAAGAAGGACTTCCTGGAGGAGGTGATGTTTTTGAGCTGGGTTCCAAAGGATGAGAAAGAGTTACCCAGAGAAAGAGTAAAGCAAATATTTCACATGGAAATGGAAAGTCCAGAGCTCTAACCATAAAACAGAGTGAAGTAGATTAGAGAACCTGCAAGTTAAATATGGCTAAGGAGAGAGAGCAAGGTGCGGACGGTGATGATGTTGAAGGAGACAGCAGGAAAACACAGGAGGTCCGCAGGGGTAGGGAGCCATATAGAGGAGATGGGCCTCCACGCTGGTGGCAGTGGGACCACTGGCAAGGACTGAATGAGATTTAAATTTAAAAATGTCCTTCTGTCTGCACTGTAGAGAATCCCAAAAGCTTGCAGGCCGGTAAGGAGGGCAGAGCTTAGGAGACCAGGGATGGAATCAAGGTCAGGGATAATGGAGGCCAGGCTGGCTGTACAGAGAAAAATGCACATTTGGAGCATTCTTGAGAATCCAAGTCCTCGCTGATGAGTTCATGTGGGAAAATGAAGGGGAGGGGGGCTTCAGGGGTCCTTTGGCTTGTGAATAGAGAAACTAGGCCCTTGGTGATGTCGTCTCTTAGACAGAGAGTACCAGGCAGAGACGAACACAAGATCAGAAAGGTGATAAAGTCTGCAGCTATCAGCCTTTCCATGGTGTACCCTGAAAGGACAGGAATATCCGCTTTGGGGATCGTAGGCAAAAATAGAACTGGGAGAGGGATTATTGGGATTAAATGTCCTCAGATTTATGGGACACGGATTAGTTGTCCACCAATAAAACAGGGGCCAGCGTTTAAGAGTAATGGTTCAGGTCTGGACCCCAGATTCTCCCCTTCCTGACCCACGTGGCTTGGTCCTTAGCGCTTCGCTCCTGGGCAGAGCTTATTTCCACGATCGGGGCTAAGCTAAAGACATTGTTCTCATCAGATTTAACTCCTGTAGGAGTTCTCACAGTCTCCCACATCAAGAAAAATAATGTGCGTCTATGGTGTCTCCCGACATGAGGTGATTTCTCATTTCAATTTTTAAAGTCATTCTTTCTGAAATGTTCTCATCAAATAGCTGTAGTTAAATATTAGACATTTTCTACTTTATTAAGTTATTTATTGTTCAATGCCATTTTCAATTATTCCAAGTTTTGTTTTTTAAGGGCTTCTCATTAAATTGAGGGACAGCTCCTGTAATTTGTCTATCTCCAGTTTAATAATCAAACCGAAAAGGTACAGGACTTTTTTTTTTTTTCCAGAGAGGTTTGAGGTTTGAGGATACTCATCATGAAATATGCATCATAGAAGAGCTTTCAAAGCAGTGGCCAATCTGTATGCAAAATCCCATGCTAAAACCCGTAACTGTCTAAGTCAGATACAAAGTAATTCAGGAAAAAAAAATAGGACGTTGCAAACCACAAAGATCTCAGGTGGCCTTATGGGGCTAATAAATCAGTTCTAAAAACGCACTCTGGCTGGACTCCTGCTTGGAGCTCTGGGTTGAAGACTCCAAGCATTCATTTTACCAACTATGAAAAAATTCAGTCCAGTTTTAAGTTAGAGAAGAGAAGAAAAAGAACGCATTGCTTTCAGATGCTTTTGGCTCAGCTATAATTCAAAACCAGCCTCGATACTGACACTTACCCTTCTGCTAGTAGAGCTGAGAGCTCAGTCTTCAAATCATCATTTTTTTGATACAAAAACCATAAAAATGGTCATTACTTATTGCAAATACCTACACCAATTCATGTTCCTATGGATGATTTTTGCCCGGTTTTAAAACCAAACTATACAACAAATTGTGTGTTATTAAGGTGAGCGCTTACTAACTCTCTTAGCTTGAAAATGGAAATGTCTCCTTGATCCAATTAAAGCTTCCACTAAATTTTGGAAACGCCAATCATAAGATTTGGGTCACCTCTGTAGCAGACACCCTCAAACTCGAGAAGATTTTAGGAACTACCTGTGTCTGGCTGGGCACAGTGGCTCATGCCTGTAATCCCAGCACTGTGGGAGGCCGAGGTGGGAGGATTGCTTGAGCCCAGGAGTTCAAGACCAGCCTGGGCAACATGGAGAACCCTCATCTCTATAAAATGAAAATAAAAATAAAAAGAACTACCTATGCAGAGGCTGCCCATCAAACCAATTGCACTGAGATTTCTCTGTGAGGGTCTCAGCATCTGTCCACATGTTTCTGAACCTCCTAGGGGTTCTTATTGTATTGAGAGTTGAGGATCACTGCTCTAGCAAGTGATATTTCTTTTCGTTAAAATTGAATACAGAGCCAATAATTTACTGAGAAATTGAAAACCAATGAATAAATAATTAAAATGACAATGATATAGGAAAGCTTTATGCTTTTTCACTTATCTAAATTCATGAAACTGTTTGGACATTGTATCTTTTGTTTTTTTTCTTTTTTGATTTTTGAGATGGACTTGTGCTCTTGTTGCTCAGGCTGGAGTGCAATGGTGAAATTTTGGCTCACTGCAACCTCCACCTTCTGGATTCAAGCAATTCTCCTGCCTCAGCCTCCCTAGTAGCTGGGATTACAGGCACCCACCAACACGCCCGAATAATTTTTGTATTTTTACTAGAGACAGGGTTTCACTATGTTGGCCAGGCTGGTCTCAAACTCCTGACCTCAGGTGATCCACCCACCTCGGCCTCCCAAAGTGGCCACCATGCCCGGCCTTTTTTTCTTTTTTTAATTAAGCCTGATCAGAAACTTTGACACCCCCCTCTTGGCTTCTACGCCAGTGACTGCAGTCTGTGGCCACAAGGAGATGAACTGTCACTTCCCCTCCTCCCCAACCGCCTCCTCAAGTGCACTCAAGCAGAGCTACTCCCGTTTGCCCAAATAATTTTTGATTCCCTCTACCTTATTAATACAATGTTCCTGATTCTCTGAATTGCAGATGGGCAGACAAAATGTACCCAGGAAAAGTGACACCCTCCTATAAGAAAACATGTGGTGGGTTATCTCTGAGCCCCTGCTGTTAACGTTCTACACCAAATGCCCTTTCTAATGCTGGGAGTGTCCCTCAGGGCGGCCGCACCCCTCACCTCACTTCTGAGGCAGGGTTCTGAACACCTGCTGTTAACTTTCTACACCAAATGCCCTTTCTGACCTCAGGGTAGCCGCACCCCTCACCTCACTTCTGAGGCAGTGTCAGCACTCAACACCTTCTGCTGATTGTGTCATTTTGAATAAGAAGAGAAACAAAAACAACAAACGTGTTTCTTCTTTGTGAACCCCGAAAAGAGCATGCAGGCTCTGAGGTGGGTCATTGATAAGACAGCAGGTCATACCTGAAATCAAACAACCCTTTAAAGACACAAAGAACTCCAGAAACTGCACTTCCAATCTTGATTAAAAAAAAGCCAAATTCTGTAAAATATTTGAAGAAGTTTATTCTGAGCCTAATCTAAGTGACCACAGCCTGTGACACAGCCTCAGGAGGTCCTGAGAACTGCTGTCCAAGGTGGCTGAGTTACCACTTGATTTTATACATTTGAGGGAGACAGAAGTTACAGACAAACGAATAAATCAATAAATGGAAGGTATACATTGGTTTGGTCCAGAAAGGAAAAATGTCTTGAAGCTGACAGGGGTGGGAGGGGTTGGTTACAGGTCACATGTGGATTCAAAGACTGAAAGAGTTAAGCTTTGCCTAAAAAGTTGCAATGGGTAGAATGAAATGCTTTAAGATTAAGGGTGTTGTGGAAGCCAAGGTTCTTGGTGTGTAGATGAAGCCTCCAGGTAGCAGCTTCAGAGAGAATAAATGGTAAATGTCTCTTATAGGACCCTAAAGGGTGTCAGACTCAGTCAAGTCTCTCCTGGATCAGAAAATGACCTAGAAAGGGATGGAGATTCTCTATAGAAGCCAAGTTTCCTCCACAAGAAATAGCTTTGTGGGGCTGTTTCAAAATATGCCAAATAAATATATTTTGGGGATAAAATACTCCGATTTCTTCAGGGCTTGCTATCTATTATGTGATGCTATACCAGAGTCAGGCTGGAACTGAGTATCTTATTGCTACCAAGAATCTGTTTTGTCAGTCTTGGGTTCTCTGTTGTTTCATGTAAATGCTGGTCATTTGCACCTGAATTGCAATGGGAGAGGGTATAAGGAGGTGTGTCTGACCCCCCTTTCCCGGCACGGCCTGAAATCATTTTTCAGGTTTCTTTCAGATCCCCTTGGCCAAGAGCAGGGCTCCATTCAGCCAACTGGGGCTTTAGAATTTTATTTCTGGCTTACACCAAATACCCAAACTTTGCATGAAACTTTTGAAAAGATCCCAAGTCTTTGCATTAAAATTCTAAAAAATGGTATCAAAGAAGAATGGCGATGCTCCCAACACCTGCATAAAGCAAGCGGAGAAATCTGACACATAGATCAAGCATTTGATAAAAGGCCAAGATTTTTAATACATCATTACATATAAGGCAGTGTGAGAAGCGGGCAGAAGCTCGCTCGTCACCAGGCCTGGAAGAGTGTCATGGCGGACAAGGCTGGGGCAGTCACGGGGGAAAACAGTCCACAAGGAGGCGCCACAGGAGCAGCCGCTGAACCAGCAAAGCAAATCCCGTTGGGATCTACTCAGTTGTGATGTAAGTGCAGTTACAGGAGCGCTCATTAGCATAATACTGAGCAATAGAGCGGTGGACATGAGAAGTGAGACCCCAACCACAGGGAGAAATCAAAACCACTTCTGCCTCCACTGTGGGTGCTGCTGAAAACACGGAGGTTACAACACGCTGATCCTCTTGATTGCCGAACTGGATAAGATGTTTTTCGTTTTCCCTAAGGGATTTTTGCAGCTACTTGAAGACAACAGAAGCCTGTTGCTGTTGTTTTCTTTTAAATTGGGCATAGCTATTTGACACAGAGGACGCCATCACTGACAGTGGCTGGACGGGGCCCATGCACTGACGAAGGCGAGACCGCCTTTTTCCCCTGTGCAGACTTCTGCTGATGACTCCCAGAGACAGATGCTTGGTTAAGAGGCAAACTGCCTTTCAGATTTTAATGTTCAGGAAGGAGAGATAAACCCGTTGGAGTTTATAAATAAAGACCAGAATGGCTTTCTCATTTGCTGTGATAAACTTTTGAGATTTCTGCAACAGATGAAATCATGAGGTATTTGTCTTCACACGCAATGTTGTAGCAAATAACACTTTTTTTCTCCGTAGTGGTCTGGCTGATACTTTTCAATCTTAGAATTATGTCAGGAAGAAAGTTACAAGTAGGTGCTAATGATCTTCAACACCCCCTCCCTTTAATTCTTGCTAATTCCGTCATAACAAAGAAAATAAGTTCAGCAGGAGAAGACCAACATCAGAGCTGCCCACAGGAGAGACACCAGATGAACGTGAAATGCAGCCCTGCACCCATTCACCTGGAGACGTCCAGGTTGGGCACGCAATGCGTGTGAGCCCAAGGGCTTCAAAAATCAATTAACCATGTGGTTTTCTTGTGCTAGGAGGCCACTCCACCTCCTCCACATTCTGGGCTTTACCTCCAACTTAAATCCACACTGCATAGAGTCTTCCTAGTTGTACAAAATAACTATTGCTTGCACAAGGCTGTGCAAAGTTCTCAATGCTTTGTTCTATTTCCATAAATTACAATTAACATTTTATCTGTTTAGTAGTTTTATTTTTCTTCCCCCACCCCCTGCTCCCACTGTTTGGGGAAACTTTAGGAGAAAAAGAATGCAAAATGAACAATTACAAAAGACAGCTAACTCATATCAAGGAGAATGACTGTCTTTGTGGAAATTAAGTGCCTGTTTCTAAGTACCATGCATATTCATAGTGCTTATTTATGTCCTGATAATGGAAGTGTCATCTGCTGTGAATGCCCAAATTCATCCTCGTTTTCCAAACGAGTCCACGGTTGATGACTAAGGAACCCTGTGGTACATTCATCGTTGCTGCAGTGACACTTAACACCCCGGCCCTTTAGAGCTTTTGAACCACTTTCATTGAAATTGCAAACAAACTCAATTATCTTGTGATTTTAATTAGTACAAAAATAACCTATTTTGTTAACAAGAAAGAAACTGATTTTACAACAAAATTGGTCAGGTATATTTGAAAAACTAGCACAATGAGGTAACTGCAGAGAGAAATACTACCCTGCATGGCACCAGGCCCAAGAGGAGGCTTAATAAATAATATTTCATGCTGATGCTGATAAGGGTAACACTTCATAAGGCAAAGGAAACAATCTTGGGCCACTGCTATCATTAGATTTTCTGATGGATGCCTACTCTCTTCCTGTTTTTCAAGAAACTTAGAATTGAGCTGAGGCATTTTGGATACAAATGACAATAACACAGCTCAAAGGCTGTGCCTGTTGTGTTGCATTCATTTTTGCAGAACATGGTGAAAAGGAGATCGTAAATCTGGATTTCATCACTGAACTCATGTTTAGAATCCCATGCAACTCCTGAGAATTCTGCTACAAAACACTTCTGCCAGAGATATTTGCTGAGGAGAGAATCATGCCCACATGGAATTCCTTGCAACTGGCCTCATGAGACAGTTCTTGTCCATATTGAAAATGAAGTGGCCAGCACAAGGCACAGCCTCTTACTTGGAATATGTTCTATGCAACAAATTCGTCTTTAGAGTGGATATTAATATTGCATTAAACACTATTACAGCCATTGTAATTTTTGTAGCAATAGAGTGAATATAAAATGACAGTTACTCCATTAACTACGAAGTGCTTTTTTATGAAGGTCGGCTGGTGAGTGTGTGTGACTGTGTGTGCATGTGTAGGTGCATGTACATGTGTGCATGTTTACTCATTTAAATCCTCCCCCCGTTGTGTTAGAGGTCATTGATTACCATGCACTTCCCCCCCTCCCCCCACCACTCTGTCCATCTGAAAACACCAGCAGTCACAAGAGGGCTTTCATACAAAGAGAGTTGGGGAGGTGGACATTTGCCAACAGAGGTCTTCTACATCTAGGAGAGTGCTGGAGGTCCATTTGCACAACCAACTGATATGCTGGGTGGTGTCGTAAAAAAGAGAATGACCGGAACTTCAAATGAATGCGAACCTTCGATCGTGATAAATACCATATACAATGATGCTTGCTTGGAATGTGTCACAGAAATGATGAAGCAAAATACCACTCACCTAGCGATTTTAGAAATGCTAATTGATGTCATAATCTTTGGCTTTGAACAGTTGTTTATAAACTGAATTTCTGGCTTTTCTAAATACCTAGAATTCTACACACACACCCCACCTTTGAGGTTTGTTTAAATACAGATGGCTGCTGTAGACAGAGAAACCAGCTCAGAAGAGTGTGGTTGTGCTATGATCTCTGAAAATTACTGCACTGTCTGTTAACAGTGCATAATCAGGTTCACCATTATAAAAAGGGGACTTAGTTCAGTCTTACTTTATGCAGGGAATTATACTGGGGCTTTAAATTATTAATATATTAAGGTATATACAAAGATAATATATACAAGAGATGTTGAATTACCAACCGAAGACCACATTGGGGCAAGGTACAATGGGTATAAATCAGAAAAGAGCAGGGACTGTACCTCTTTCTTCCACATTCCTCCTACGTCTGTTTTATGTCCTATTATACAGCTGGAAAAAGCTGATGAATTAAACTGGACTTGCAGCCCCAGAGCGTGACGTCACATCCAGGAGGCCATCAGTAGCAGGCCTTTGTTGAGCTGCTGAAAAGGAATTCTCCTGTAACTGGAAGCAAGTAGGAGAAATTTCCCGTTCCTTCCCACGCTACAGCATCACATATGGGAAAAGCTAACATCAAGAATGGCCTGGGATGTGCAGAATCTTCCAGTTCTTCATCCTCAGTGCCTGACTGTCGACAGTCCCACAGATTCACAGCCATGGGTGCAGGGGAAGCTTACTCTTTTTTGAACATAGGTTAGAAAAGCAGGAGCACATTTCTAAACAACTGGCTCCTTTCCAAAATGCATTAAGGCCAGAAGAATGCAAAGTATGAAGTCAAGAAAAACTCTAGCCCAACTGAGATCATCTGTGACATTCTTTAGAAGAGTTAGAGGGACATCCATGTTAAATGGAACAAAAACATTAAGTAAGAGATCCATCAACCCCACTTCTGGGTGTTAAAGATTTGAAATCAATGGGTCCAAGAGATATCTGCACTCCTAAGTTCATTGCAGCATGATTCACAATAGCCAAGTTATGAAATCAGTCTAAGTGTCCATTAAGGGACAAATGGATAAGGAAACTGTAGTTTATACACACAATGGAGTATTATCCAGCCCCTAAAAAGAAAAGAAATTCTGTTATTTGTGACAACATGGATGGAATTGTAGAACATTATGCTGAGTGAAATAAGCCAAACGCAGAAAGACAAGCACAGCATATCCTCACTTACTTGTGGAATTAAAACAATTGAACTCGGAGCAGCAGAGAGGGGAATGGTGGCTGCAGAGGCTGACGCCTGGGAAAACACAGACATGACAGTCAAAGACACAAAGCTTCAGTGAGATCAGAGGAAAAGTCTGATATTTTTTAGATCCATAGCACAGCATGCTGAATACATTCTAAATTGTCTATAAAGCGCATAACACCACTTTTTACCCATAAGTACATACAACTATAATTCGTCAATATACAACACATATTTGTTTTTAAATATTAAACACTAAGAGCTCTTTCCAACCTTTTCCTTGTAATCACCAAAAGTCAGGCTGAATTGCTTCATGGTTGTAAGGCACTCTCACATTTACTATTGCATTGGGAAATTAAAGAGCACAGAAGGGGCTCCTTCATTTAATTTCTCAACAGATTTGTCGTAGTAGGGAGCAACGTCTATAAAGATGGTACACTATCAGAAATGTCTTCAGAACGTCCTGAACAAACGTGACCTTCAGAAGTCATTGATGAAAGTATGCTGCCCTAAATCCTTAATCCAGAAGCTGGGTGGGAGTGGAGCATCTCCTTGGGATCAGGGGTGTCCGGGTGGGAGAAGAGCACCTCCTTGGGATTTTCTCTGCCTCATTTCTCAAGGGGGCACAAATGGAAGTTTCACAATTGGAGCCACTGTTAAATAAAGAAATGGAGGAGAAGGAAGTGGAGGAGGAGAGGGAAATGGGGAAGAAGAATTGACTGAAGACAGAATAGTTGGAATACCCTTGAGAAAGCAATATTTATTTCCACAGGAGTTATTTTAGTCAAAACTATGTTTGAACCAATTGCTCATTGAGTAGGTATCAGACGTTGTGTCAAACACTTTCCTGGGCCAGGCGCAGTGACTCACACCTGTAATCTCAGCACTTTGGGAGGCCCAGGCGGGTGGATCACTTAAGGCCAGGAGTTGAGGATCCACTTAGGCAACATAGTAAGACCCCATCTCTACAAAACATATGAAAATTAGCAGGACTTGGAGGTGTGCACCTGTGGTCCCTGTTTGTTGGGAGGCTGAGGTGAGAGGATTCCTTGAGCCTAGGAGTTCGAGGCTGCAGTGAGCAATGATTGTGCCACTACATTCCAGCCTGAGTGACAGAATGAGACCCTGTCTCCAAAAAATAAAAAACACTTTCCTATATCTTGTCTCACTAAATCCAACATACCAAACAATTCTCCAGAGGACACCAGCTGGGTGTCCTGTAATTCAACTTCACTCTGACCCTGTCTACCTAGAGAGAGGATCAGATCCCACGGGTTAAAGGACCCTGTCCCATAAGACGGTCCCCACGTCAGATACCAGCCACCACGCTTCTGACTGAATGGCCGCAAATCGGGCTCCCAGCACCCCCTTCTTGAGGTCAATTCATTTGCTAGAGCAGCTCACAGAACTCAGCAAAACACTATACTTACATTTGATGGTTTGTTAATAAGGTTATAATAAAGGACACAGAAGAACAGGCAGATGAAGCGATGGAGAGAGCGGGGTCTTGAAGGTCCCAAGCACAGGAGCATCTGGCCCCATGGAGTTGGGGTGCTCCACCCTCCTGCCATGCAGCTGTGCTCAGCAGCTTCTTAAGTGTTTTTATTTGGTTTTCTCTGTTTCTTTATTTTTTGAGACAGGGACTTTCTGTGTCACCCAGGATGTAGTGTAGTGACACGATCATAACTCACTGCAGTGCCAACCTCTTGGGCTCGAGTGACCCTCCCACTTTAGCTTCTGGAACTATAGGTGTGCAATAGGTGGCTTTTTTTTTTTAAAGTTTTTGTAGAACTGGGGTCTCACTATGTTGCCCCGGCTGGTCTTGAACTCCTAGACTCAAGCGATCCTCTTGCCTCAACCTCCCAAAGTGCTGGTATTAAAGGCATGAGCCACCACATCCAGCTAATTTTTGTTTGTTTGTTTGTTTGTAGAGATGGGGTCTCTCCATATTGCCCAGGCTTGAAAACTCCAAACTTCTAATCACGGCTTGGTCTTTCTGGTGACCAGGCCCATCTAGGAGCCACCAAGAGTTGCTTCATGAGAACAAAAGACGTTCCTCTCACTCAGAAAATTCCGAGGGTTGTAGAGCTCTGTGCCAGGAACTGGGGGGCAGAGATCAAGTATAGATTTCTTATTGTATCACAGCAGCCCTCTGGGGTCCCTTCTATAAGGGCACTAATCCCACGACCTAATCACCCCCAAGTCCCTCTCCTAGTACCATCACTTTGGTGATTAAGATTCAACATGGAATCTGGGGGTGACACAAACCCTCAGACCATAGCAAGTTGTCGCCATCTTATTAATGTATTTTAAATGTTAACATTTTGTCACGCTCCAAACATTTTGCTCTGTTGGCTCCCTGATGGGAAAGCCCATGCTTGGGGACCCTCCCCCAGCTCTTCCTGTGCCCATGTCCCGCTGGGGACCCTGTCACATCCACACTGCCAAGACTCTGGGGGGCCGAGTCTTCCAAGAGCTGGGCAGAACAAAAGCACATTGGACTCAAGAATGGGGAGTCAGTCCCTGGGCCCGGCACTCACAGCGCCCTCTGTCCTCGTCTCCTTTACTGCTCAGGTCATCCAGCTGTCCCCAGAGCGCATGCCCTCTTCGAGGACAAGACCCCCACTATAGACCCTAGGCCAAACTGAACAAGTGCTTTTCATATGGATACAGATTTATGTTACTTACTCTAAAATTGTTTAGAGCTCATGATTTGTTATAGTTTTTTTTTTTTTTTTTGTCTTTTTTGAGGTGGAGTCTTGCTCTGTTGCCCAGGCTGGAGTGCAGATGCCTGATCTCGGCTCACTGCAACCTCCACCTCCTGGGTTCAAGCAATTCTCCTGCCTCAGTCTCCCAAGTAGCTGGGACTACAGGCACCGGCCACCATGACTGGTTAATTTTTGTATTTTTTTTTAGTAGAGACAGGGTCTTACTATGTTGCCCAGGTGGATCCTGAACTCCTGGCCTCAAGTAATCCACCTGCCTGGGCCTCCCAAAGTGCTGAGATTATAGGCGTGAGCCACCATGCCCGGCCTTAAGTATTTTTTACAAGTACAATGACAATAATGAAATTTTACCTGGGATTTCACCTGAGAATTCTCCAAAAGTTTACTGCCTCTTTTCCCTTATTTCTTAGAGTGGAGATGACACCCTCACGTTATGTTATACAGCGGTGAGTAAGATGTGCTTCATTGTTAGGATGGAGTGGTATTCAGTACATATCATTTATTTTCTTATTTTTGTTTTTTGAGACAGGGTCTCGCTCTGTTGCCCAGGCTGGAGTGTAGTGGCACCATCACACCTCACTGAAGCCTCAACCTCGTGGGCTCAAGCTATCCTTCCTCCTCAGCCTCCTGAGTAGCTGAGACTACGGGCGAGTGCCACCACGCCCAGCTAATTTTTGTATTTTTTGTAAAGGTGAAGTGTGTTTTTTTTTTTTTTTTTTTTGACAGAGTGTTGCTTGTCACCAAGGCTGGAGTGCAGGGGTGCAATCTTGGCTCACCACAACCTTCGCCTCCTGGGTTCAAACGATTATCATGCCTCAGCTTCCCGAGTAGCTGGGATTACAGGTGTGTGCCACCACACGCAGCTGGTTTTTGTACTTTTAGTAGAGATGGGGTTTAACCATGTTGGTCAGGCTGGTCAAAACTCCTGATCTCAGGTGATCCATCCGCCTCGGCCTCCCACAGTGCTGGGGTTACACCCATGAGCCAACACGCCCGGCCAGACAGGCCATTTCCATGATGCCCAGGCTGGCCTTGAACCCCTGGGTTCGAGCAAACTGCCAGCCTCAGTCTCCCAATGTCCTAGGATTACAGGCGTGAACCACTGCTCCCAGCCAGTATACGTAATTTAAATGTTTTACAATTAATTATTTAAATTAAATGATTTAAACAAAATTATTCGAATGATGTAAACACCCTAGAAATAAATCCGGGTATTAAGAAGGAAGAATCACGTTCCAAGGGAAAAGGAGCTAATATTAATCCAAAACATTTGGTGCACTATACATAGTTATTTAGTATATTTACTAGATGTAGTGTGTATAAATAGTCACCAGATAGGTAGGTAAAGACAGAAAGGGAGATTGAATTAACATTACTTTTAGAAGTCAACCGGAGCTACTCAGGAAAGGCCCAGCACTAACATAAAGGGATGAATCGGCCAGGCTGGCCAGTAGGGGATAGCGAAGACTGTGGCAAAACCAAGTGTATGCCTAGCCAACATCATGTTCAGGTTACTTCTCAAACCAGCCAGCACCTAAACCACACGCCTCTGTGGGCTGACAATACATATTTGGGCCAGATGAGGCCTGCAGACGGTCAGCCCCTAAAGAGATGTCTGGTGAGGAAGCTATTTTGAGCTGAGACTGGACAGCTGAGAAGTGTTAGGGACTCATTAACACTTCCCAACCTAAACAACAGTTTAATTCAAGCTGGACAGAGCTGAGACATGGGCAGGCCTGAAGCAGAGTGAATGAGAGATGGAGAAAAGGCTGTTTATAACAATTAAGGTAGAACCCACAGAAGCATTTATAAGCTTTGGAAATAAGGGTTTTAAAACTATTGCCCTGGTAGGTACTTTTTACATCATGTAAGTAAACCCTAAAATGGCCAACATATCTAGGTTTAAAGAGCAATATTAAAAAAGCTTATTTTCTCCATTTTCCCTGCAAGAGATAATCCTAAACATCCATTGTATCAAGCTAGTCAGTCTCTACCTTGAACGTGGTTGCAACTGTAGGTGGCACAGATAACGACGTTTGGAAGAATTAAGTGATTTTGTATTAAAAAGCCCTTATTTCTGAATATATATGGGATATTTTGGAAAGAGGTATACACATGGATTTCTTTTTAATTGGAGATTAGATGTTTAATCATACTCTCAAAATGATCCATGTAGACCAAAATGTGAAGTTGTGCTGGTCTATAGCGGTGTTTTCCAGCTCTGGATCTCCCTGCAACAGCAGCCTCATGACCCGCGAGTTAATCAGAAACAGAACGAGCGGATCCACCCGCCCAGCGAATCAGCCTCTGTGGGGCGAGGCCGGGGGCTGAGGACAGGCTCTCCAGGTGAGTGACCCAACGCGGCTAAAATATATGACCTGCGGTCCTGGCTGCACATCCTCAGAGACTTCTCAGTGAAGTAATTTGGTACAGATTTTAGGAAAAGATATTTATGTTGTCTTTACTAACCAGAACCAGTTTAAATACAGTCTTTTAGAAGGAGAGGAAACAGAATCCATCCTATTTTTCCAGAGGTAACTTTTGTGTGTGTGTGACTCACATCTGTTTTCTGTTTCCCATTCGGAAAGTGTCTCCAGGGTAGTGGCCTGCACCCTATGAGCATGTCCACTAACCAAATGAACGAGAGGTATTCAATCACTTAGGTTAGTTAAAGTCTGTGTGATTCCCCAAGGTTTAGCTCACGGGTGAAAGGGCACATGCTTTCAATGAGATCTAAAGTTTTTGGCAAGTTGATCGTAAGCCCGAGAGACCCCATGGTTCAAACGCAAGCACATGTGTAGGGCACACACATACACATAGCTGTGGAAGCTTCGTGGATGCACTTTCTCCATCTGCATTTTCCGGAATTTCCCTGCATCACATAGTGAAGGGGAAACCAGATGTGCAGAAAAGGTTCTCCTCGGGAGGCGAAGGCAAACAGAGCTGTCCTGTTTGCTCCCCACTGAAGCCACTTACACATAACTCTGTAGTCCATAGTCAACAAGATGACTCCAAGGGGAAGGAGGGAGGAGGAAAGGAAAAAGTCAAGGCAGAGGAGATTAGCTTGGCAACACACAGCCGAGCATCCATCCATATTCTGTATCATATTATCCCGCCTGCTACACAAGTACCTCACAGCAGATAGCACTGACTGCCTGACTACACACGCCAGGGGCATGTTGCTGGATAGCTGTGCTTTTTCTCCATGTCTGCTTACATTTAATCTTCAAATCACTTATACACAGATTTATATACACAAATGCACATATACACATATACATAAACACACCTGTGCAGGTATACACACAAGGACGTATACATGATAAAGTCTAGTTGAACTACATTAATCATGGGTACATGCATGTACATACATGCACACATAAGTACATGCTAGAATCCACTTATGCTGATTACATTAATCATGGGTGTATTAGTCCGTTTCCACACTGCTATAAAAAATGCCCGAGACTCGGTAATTTATAAAGGAAGATGGTTTATTTGACTCATAGTTCCACATGGCTGGGGAGGCCTCAGGAAACTTACAATCATGGCAGAAGGTGAAAGGGAAGCAAGGCACCTTACTCACAGGGTGGCAGGAGAGAGAAATGCAAGCAGGGGAAATGCTAGACGCTCATGAAATCACCAGATCTCATGAGACTCACTCATCATCACAAGAACAGCATGGCGGAAACCACCTCCACGATCCAATCACCTCCCTCCCTCGGCATGTGGGGATTGCAATTCAAGATGAAATTTGAGTGGGCCACAGAGCTAAACCATATCAATGGGTATATGTGAGTACATAGACACACACACACACACACACACATGCACAGACATGCTAGAGTCCAGCTACACTGATTACATTAATACATTAATCACGGGTGTATGCGTGTGTGTGTATATATACATATATATATATATGTATATATACACACACTATGACATGCTAGAGTCCAGTTACACTGATTACATTGACCATGGGTGTACGCGTGTACATATATACATACACAAGGACATGCTAGAGTCTAATTACACTGATTATATTAACCATGGTGTATGCCTGTACATATATATACACACACAAGGACAAACTAGAATCTAGTTACACTGATTATATTAACCATGGTGTATTCCTGTACATAGATACAAACACAAGGACATGCTAGAATCTAGTTACACTGATTATATTAAGCATGGTGTATTCCTGTACATAGATACACACACAAGGACATGCTAGGGTCCAGTGACACTGATCACATTAATCAAGCTTCAACGCACCCTCTAAAGTCAGTATTACCCACACCAAATGTTAAATGTCATATTTCAACAATATAACAAAATTCTCAGACAAAATGTATCCAAACCTCAAAACCATGCTCTTTCCACCCAAAGTACTACCTCCTCTGTGGATACCCTTGATATACTTTATATTCTTTTTTTTTTTTTTCCATTTCAGGGTTAATTATACTTGTTAGGCACATTTTTACTTTTTGTTACACATAAAAATGTTTGTAAATAGATAAAAATTTAAATTTCAGAAAGCTACTCCTGCCTGGACGAGGCTATCTGAAGCACACATGGATCGTTGGCGGGTTCCAAAGGGCAGTATTTGGGGCAAATGGAATAAACTCTCTAAGCTAGTTCAGCCTGAGCTGGTGGTGTGGAGTAAGACTTTGGGAAATGTGAGGGACGTCCCCTCCAGGGAGCAGGATAGACAGATGTAGGGAGCAGAGGGAGGACATCACAGCAGATCCAGAGGCTGATGTTGTCTTGTAATGAAATAAAACTGGAGACGGACTAGGGGCTTCAAATCAACGAAGAGGAGCCTGAGATGAAGACTCATGGTATGAAATTTGGGAGAAAACAGCAAAAGGCCAGTTGAGGACGCATTCCACAACCACGTGCCCAGTGGCATGGAAGAGCAGATGTCTGAGGTCATGGCATTCTCCCTCTGCACCACCCCAAAGGCCTGCTGCCACAACTGATGCATTCTCTCTCCACCCCCGCAGACATCACCAGTACATTCCTGACAAAAAGCAATATATTTTTACTCTGCAGATGACAAATGTCTCCACTGCCATTTTCTCGCTGTTTTCACGCGTACAGAGACCCACAAGCCCGCCAAATGAGGACGGCTGGAAAGATTTTCCTCTGCAGATTAGAAATTAAGTCTTGGGTTTCTTTTGTAATAGGCAGGCACAGCCACATTACCATTGTATTTGGCTTTTGCGGGAGGTTAAAGTTATTGACAATGAACTGTTTAAACATGTGTGCAAGCTGCTTTATGGAGCGCCTTTAACGAGAAAGGATGGAGAGGGAGCCTGTGCGAAAGCCGCCCTTACAGATTAGGAGAATCAGAAAACCTACGTCACCCCGTGGCATTCACTGCAAGTGAGGCCCAGCGCGATGGTAGGGAGAGAGTTTTCCATTTTAAAGTTAGTTAAGGAAGAAGAATCATGACTTTTTCGGCAAATCTGAATTTTTAGAGAGGTAAGCCTCCTCACTGGAAGGACCCAGGATGGATGATGTTTCTAAGAAGGGTTTCCCTGGGGCCTTCTCACTTCACGCCAGCCTCCCCATTCAAGCCAGGGCCTGCCTGAGCAATGCAGGACCTCAGAAGCAGAGAAGCCCCTCCATGCCACAAACCCCATGCCCTCATTAGAGAAACGGACAAACCCCATGCCCTCGTTAGAGACATGGGCAGCATCCCTTGCGCACGCTAGTCAAAGCTCCAAAATACTTTAAACATGGGGACCAAGACCAACAGACAACAAGGAGATGCTATCACCCAATGGGCTCCTTAAAGGATCCTCCTCCACTTCCCATGGAAATACTAAGACACCTGTCCTCCCACTGTCATCCGTGAAGTGCCATGTTTGTTTTAGGGGTGAAGAAACTGAAGCCAGGAAAGGTCCTGCCACCTTACTGAGTGGTTGCTTACGGAGAGAATCTCAGATCTTCCGATGGGTCCAGGGGCTGCTGTGTCCTGAATGCTTCAGCCCTTGATACCTAGTGTACGGGAAAGGTCGGACCAAATAGAGAGCACCCTGCCCCGCCCATAACAGAATATATAAAACATCTCCAAGTTTAGGAAAGCTGCCTGGAAGACGAGCCTCACGCATCAAATGACAGCCGGCAGCTCTGTCACATCCCAGACCCAATACAATGCCCAGCTTGTGTCAGCAGCTTGCAGAAGTGTGTGGATGGGACTCCAAATGGTTCGTACCAAGGAGAGAAAAGCATCTGAGGTTTCCAAAAAATATTTCCTTATCTTCAAATATGTTTGCTTTTGTTTTTTTTTTTTTGTTTTTTTTTTGAGACAGTGTCTCACTCTGTCGCCCAGGCTGGAGTGCAGTGACGCAATCTCGGCTCACTGCAAGCTCCACCTCCCAGGTTCACCCCATTCTCCTGCCTCAGCCTCCCAAGTAGCTGGGACTACAGGCGCCCGCCCCCACGCCCAGCTAATTTCTTGTATTTTTAGTAGAGACAGGGTTTCACAGTGTTAGCCAGGATGGTCTCGATCTCCTGACCTCGTGATCTGCCTACCTCGGCCTCCCAAAGTGCTGGGATTACAGGCGTGAGCCACAGTGCCCGGCCCAAACATGGTTTTTAAGAAAATTGGTTTAATGCAATTATCAGTGTGATGTCTGGGAATCTGAGATTGCCATGGACACACACAGACACATGCTCATATGCACACTCATACACACAGATATGTGAAAACACACACCACACTCACACACACTCATGTACGTTGCTGGAATGGGCATCTGCTTTATTTGCATTGAGGAACTCTCTTACACTGAAAAAGGCTGAAGAAAAGAAATTACAACAAAACATATATATTCCTAGATTTTACTGTAGCTTTGTACATAGTAGAGTTGTTACCACTGGAAATGTCCCAGCTACATAGCATTTGCACTTTACATTGGACACACAGATCTTTCTCTGCAAAAGAATGATGACTTAATTAACAAGGGTGATAAATTTACCAAAGTTTGTATTTGTGTCACCTCAAAATCTAGGTCTTGATGGATCCCTTTGAAGTTGTCTGCTCAATTAATAAGCAAAACTAGGCACACAAGATTCAGAATGCCATTGTGAAGCCATGTGCCCTACAAAAGTTCAAGCTCATTTGCAGCTTAGAATAGAGAAAGAAAATTGAAGGCGTATCTCTGCAAATTGGCAACACCCCTTCTAGAATTTAGGATATGTCCTTTAATACGAAGAAACTGGCAGTTGCGACGCTCCCCATCAACATGAAATTCAGTGAAACACAGGCTGTCTCAGGGCAGCAAGGCGACACCACCGAGGCATCCCAACCCTGTTAACCATTTGTGGAAACTGCTAGGCTGTTACCATCCACATGGCGAAGCGACCCTGCCGAGAGCATCCCTGACTCAAAGGCTGGGGGAGGCCTGGCCCAGAACACCTGCTGCTGATGCTTTAACCCGTCTGTTCGGTTGTGTTGTTCAGGGATGAAGACCCACAGGTTTTTTAATTATTGAATTCTGCATCTGACGGCGTTGATTCATAATGAAAAACAGCCAGCACGCCTTCAGTGCCTCCACCAAGCTCTCTGCTGCGTGCTGGAGGCGCTTTACCTGGTAAATCCTCAACATACCTCATGAGAGAGGTCACTTTACTCCCCCAGTCCTACAGAAAGCCCTCTGCTGCCTTCTGGAGGCGCTTTGCCTGATAAATTTTTGCAATAACTTATGAATGAGGTCACATTACTTTTCCACCCATAGAGGAAGCACTTAGCTGTATTCCAGAGATGCTGGTAAATCCTCCCAGTACCCCATGAGTTAGATCGCATTACTCCCCCAGACCTACAGCAAGCCCTCTGCTGCATTCTGGAGGCGCTTTGCCTGGTAGATCCTCCCAACACCCCACGAGGTCGCATTACTCCCCCAGACCTACAGCAAGCCCTCTGCTGCCTTCTGGAGGCGCTTTGCCTGGTAGATCCTCCCAACACCCCACGAGGTCACATTACTCCCCCAGACCTACAGAAAGCCCTCTGCTGCCTTCTGGAGGCGCTTTACCTGGTAGATCCTCCCAACACCCCACGAGGTCGCATTACTCCCCCAGACCTACAGCAAGCCCTCTGCTGCCTTCTGGAGGCGCTTTGCCTGGTAGATCCTCCCAACACCCCACGAGGTCACACTGCTCCCCCAGACCTACAGCAAGCCCTCTGCTGCCTTCTGGAGGCGCTTTGCCTGGTAAATTTTTGCAATAACTTATGAATGAGGTCACATTACTTTTCCACCCATAGAGGAAGCACTTAGCTGCATTCCGGAGATGCTGGTAAATCCTCCCAATACCCCATGAGTTAAATCGCATTACTCCCCCAGACCTACAGCAAGCCCTCTGCTGCCTTCTGGAGGCGCTTTACCTGGTAGATCCTCGTCACACCTTGTGAATGGGGTCACATTTCTCCCCCAGTCTTACAGCAAGTGCTCTGTCGCATTTTGGAGGCTCTTTGCCTGGTAAATCCTCGCGAGAGCTCGTGAGTGAGGTCACGTGACTCCCCTAGTCCTACAGCAGGCTAAATTGAGGCTTAAAGTCTCTTCCCCAAAGCAAAGAAATTAGGATTTAAATCAAAATTGAAGTTCCCAGAAGACATCTTCAAGAACCACGCAATCAGAGAAGGGTCCAAGAACCATGAAATAAACCCAGACACCTCTGAGATGATTGGTCGGGGATAGGTCACGGTCTCAAGGCATCAACTTTTGAAGAAGTTTTGCCAAGAGGAGAAAGGGGGGAAAATATCTCTTTAAAAAAAAAGTCACTTAAAAAAATTTTTAAGACGAGGATACCTGAAAACAATAAGAGCAGAGGGAGCTATTCATGATGAGAACATCTGAGGCTAATTATTCACTCAGGTCTACACCTGCAGGTGCCATCTAGTTTAATGCTATTTAAAGTGTCTCTTCTTTTAGTCAAGATATGATGCAACTCAATGGATGCAGAAGGTTGTACCAGGCAAGATCACTCTTCGTTTGAAGAAGTGGTGGCTGAGGTTGGAGTTCGTCTTTCCCCTGCAATTAGAATTCTTCAAACACGTTACATAAAAAAGCAAAAATTTTTTTTTTTTTTAAGGCAGAGTCTTGCTCTGTCACTCAGGCTGGAGTGCAGTGGTGCAAGCTCAGCTCACTGCAACCTCCGCCTCCCAGGTTCCAGCGATTTCCTGCCTCAGCCTCCCGAGTAGCTGGGATTACAGGCACCCACCACCACACCCTGCTAATTTTTTGTATTTTTAGTAGAGACGGGGTTTCACTGTCTTGGCCAGGCTGGTCTCAAACTCCTAACTTCAAGTGATCCACCAGTCTTGGCCTCCCAAAGTGCTGGGATTACAGGCGTGAGCCACCACGCCTGGCCCGCAAAATTCTTTCAAAAGTTGTTTTGGAACAAACGACCTCAAAATTGAAGCAGAAACACGTGTTGTTTTTCTTACTAACTTAGACAAGATAAAGGAGCAGTGGATGGAAGCAGGAGCTCTGAGGCTGAAGAATAAAGGACAAGGTGTGGTGTGAACTAACTTGGGGGAGTCCTGTATAGTTCTGGAGTTTATTGATGAATCCTCCTATCCCGATTAAGAAAATACAACCGATAGACACTCTGATCCTGATGGCTACCACCAACTGTGGTAAAGCTACATCTTCAGCATCGACTGCCATCAGAACAAAACCCTGACGTGGTCTCAATGCCGAAGGCTACACATGCACGCGAGCTCAGAGGCCACCACTCTACCTCAGAATCCACTGTGAGGCAAAACCAAAGGCGAGTTTCACTGGAATTTCTTGAGTTCATGTTTCAAGAAGTGGCCACCCCTCTATTTTCTGAAAAATGTGAGACACTTTTCTTTGTAAAATTGCATGTAAGTATGTTTCTGTGATGGCTATGATGACAATTTAAGGCAAGTAATGATATGCAAAATTAAGTGTATTTTATATTTAAGAATATTGCATCTGATTCTTAAAGTGGCTAGCACTATGGAAATATTAAGAAGAGAGCTTGGCTGAGGGCTCAATATTAAATATCAGGGTTATCTGCAGGAGACAGGCAAAGGGAGAGAAGCTATTCCAAATGTCCTCTTACCCAGAAGACTTCAAATGTCCTCCTACACAAAAGACTCCAAATGGCCTCTTACCCAGAAGACTCCAAATGTCCTCCTACCCAGAAGACTCCAAATGTCCTCTTACCCAGAAGATTCCAAATGTCTTCCTACCTGGAAGACTCCAAGTATCCTCCTACTGAGACCGTTTTATTCTTTCTCAATTATCTCTGACCACTGCAAACTCTTCAAGGAGCTGATCAATACAAATGCCTTCAGAAGCTTCAGGGTGGAGTACACCACGACTTCACCACACATTTAAAAGGAAGCCATTAGGATAAGAATTAATCTACTTGAACTTTTTTATTCAGCCTAATTCTCAGAAATTTATATTCACCATGAGATTTGTAAAATACTTATAAGCAGCATGCAGAATGTGTACAATTACACCCTATGTGTGGCTCTGATCAAGGGCGAGCGTGCAGGAGAGTGGCCATAGCAAAGTCTTAGAAAATCACAATCTCCACGTTTGCTCCTTATCCCCACCCCTAGGTACACTTCTTCTTTGAATCCTCTTTTCCTAAGGAAAGATGTTAAATTCCACAATTAAGTCATTCCCATTAAGCTGTAGAATCATTAAGTAGAGTTCAAGTTAATCTTTTGTCTCTATGTTGAGGCATAGAACAGGGAACGTTTCATTCTTTGGGAACAATAATAATTATACGTTAAACATTTTTAAATAGGATATATTGTATTGACTCACAATGCATGATCAGATTTTTAAAAATTATTTCTCTCTGAGAGAAAAGAACTTTAAGCCTCCCAAGAGTTAATCAATTCATACACGTAAACTGCAGCGTGCTAATTCTCCATGGCGATCCCTCTGTCTTCCTGTCTCCCCCTCACTCTTTCTCACTCTGTCTCCCTCCCTCCACACCTCACCCCTAGACTCTTGCTACCCAAGGCAGAGCATGCAGCAGCAGCAGTAGCATCACCTAGGAGCAGGTGAGTTGGAAATACAGATTCTCAAGCCCCACCCAAACTTGCTGAATCCGAGCACGCATTTGGCAAGGCCCGCAGAGGATTTTCGTGGGCATTACTATTTAAGAAGCAGTGTTGTAGACTACATATTTTTCACCCTTTTGCTAGGTCCCGAGCTACCCACAATCTGCAAAATCAAAGGGGAGACGGCGGCGGACGTGCAGAGCCTCCGAGAGCCGGGTGAGGGCGCTGTCCCCGCGTCTGAGGCTTCCTGGAGCTGAAGCCAGTGGTTTCCACCCCCGAGGTGCCACCGTTTCCGGCCCAGGAACGCTGAGACCTTCGCGCTCCCCTCGCGTCACAGCCAAGTGTAACTGTAAGAAGCAGTGAGTCCGGAAACGAACAGCCAGGCCTTGGAAGCCTCTCGCATGTGTGGGAACGTCCGCCTTTGCTACAGGCGTGATTTTTCATGTGACTCAGTACAAGGGAGGGGACACGCGACATCCCTTAATCCTTCACTAAACCCAAAGTTAGGGTTCTTGCCTGTAGATTTCCACAGAATATAGCACCAAGAACGTTCTCTATGTCTGGATGGAGGACAATGTCATCAGCGGGCCACTGGGACCACCTCAGCCCCAGGCAAGGCCCAAGCCTGCCTGCTCCAGCCGCCCGTGGTCCTCCGCAGCCAGGACCTGCTTTCTGGGCTGGCTTCACCCCCCACCACTTCCACAGCCCAGCGGTGCCCTCCAGGCTCCACCGTCACATCGCATGTGTGTTCCCTGCGCTGCTGAGGGACAGCTCACTGGGTCTTCCTGTTTCAAATTCTTGGGGACTCTGTACTTGAGGCTGGGGGTGCCAGCAGCTGAGGAGGGGAGGGCTTTCCGAAAGCCCGTCTGCCTGGAGGCTGTCTGCGTGTCACTTCTGTGTCCGTGTGCATCCTCACAAGGACATTCATTTTTAAGTTTTCATGTTAGCTTCGTGCTGCGAAACTTATTATTTTGAAGAGAAAATATCTTAGATCCCTTATGAACTTTCGAGAAAACAGTCCTTATTCATAAATTTGCAAAAGTGTTCTGTGTGGATCTTTATATCACCTATCTATCATCTATCAGTCATCTATCTCTGCCTATCATTCATTTATCATCAACCTATCATCTATCTTCTGTCTGTTATCTATCTATGGATTATATATATATATATATATATATATATGTTTTGAGTTGAGTCTCACTCTGTTGCCCAGGCTGGAGAGTAATGGCGCGATCTCGGCTCACTGCAACCTCTACCTCCCGGGTTCAAGTGATTCTCCTGACTCAGCCTCCTGGGTAGCTGGGATTACAGGCATGCCATCATGCCCAGCTAATTTTTGTATTTTTAGTAGAGTCGGGGTTTCACCATGTTGCTCAGGCTGGTCTCAAACTCCTGACCTTGTGATCCGCCTGCCTCGGCCTCCCAAAGTGTTAGGATTACAGGCATGAGCCACCACGCCCAGCCTATCATCTGTTCTTATCTATCCTCTATCCATCTATCTTCCTATCTAATCAATATAGCTATTATTTATTCATCTATCATCTATGTATGTTCACCTCTCTGTCTCTCAACCAATCTATTTCTACATCTAGATCTACACATAGAGAGAGGAATCAGAAAAGTGTAAGCTTTAGAAATAGTATCTCCCAGCTGGGCGCCATGGCTCACACCTGTAATCCTAGCACTTTGGGAAGCTGAGGTGGGCAGATTACCTGAGGTCAGGAGTTCAAGACCAGCCTGGCCAACATAGTGAAACCCTGTCTCTACTAAAAATATATAAGTCAGCAGAACATGGTGGAGTGTGCCTGTCATCCCAGCTACCCGTGAGGCTGAGGCAGGAAAATCACTGGAACCTGGGAGGCAGAGGCTGCAATGCAGTGAGCCGAGATCATGCCCCTGTTCTCCAGCCTGGGTGATAGAGCAAGACTCCGTCTCAAAAAAATAAATAAATAAATAAAAATAAAGAAATAGTATCTCCCGTCTTTTGGTGTCTAAATGAAGGCTGCTTTTAGAAAGGGGTTGCAGTGTTTGTTCTGCTTGGTCCGCTTAGGGTTTTTTAACCCGGTCTTCTGCATTTCCAGTGGGACAGGAATGTTATAATGGGCTTGGTCCGCTTAGGGTTTTTTAACCCGGTCTTCTGCATTTCCAGTGGGACAGGAATGTTATAATGCTGAAAACCACCGGAGTTCAGTTTGTTTTACAGAGGAAAATAGAATGGGGAGGTTTCCCCAAAGTGTCCTTCTTTTCAAGATGATTGCTTGCCTATCATTTTATTCATATAATCTAAAAAGTTTTTAATCATGCCATTTCCTTCAGTGGGAAAATTAAGTTCCATAGATGTTTCTAGGATGTGGGCATAGAGTGATCCGAACGAGGAACTTTGTAAAGTTGGCATTTAATCTTCTGGTTATTTAATGGGACAGAGCCCCTGGCCCATGTGAGAGGAAAACACAGAGGGGGCAGGTGCCACATGATACCTCCCTGGCATGGCACATGAGCCGTCCAAATACCCCTGATAACAGGTGGGTCAGCCGTCAGCTAGCAGCCCCAGTGGAGCTTCTCAGACTTCCAGACATCGATGGGAATGGCTCAGCCACTGCCTCCAATTCACATCTGTTTCTTTTGCTAAAATAAAAAATCCTGCTTTACTTGTGCTTTAATCCTCCCTCTGAAGTTCTGTGTCATCCATGAAGCCTTCTCTGTTACTCTGGTCAGAATAAATCATGTCTCCTCTGCAAATCCCCCCAATTTCTCATCCCTGTCAGGCACACAACTTTCTGTCTGGCACCATTGCTAGCTGTTTCTGTGCTCCTCTCCTCTTCAACATGGCAAGTGTCTCGAATGCCGTCTGTGTCTAATTTATCTTTGTCTTCACAAGAGGCGCAGAAATGCTGCACATCCCAAGAAATGGTGCTGACTGGAGCCGAGTTGGGTTGTGCCTAATTGAATCCAATGGATATGCCGGGCAGAGGCTGCAGGGTCTATAGGGTCTCTGGGCGTTTCGAGGAGTCCTGTAGAAGAGCTTCTAGGACCAGAGAGAACCCCAGGGCTAACGCTCTCCCAGCTGAGTTTTCTGAGGATTGGAAAGGTTATGTGAGCACAGAAGGAAGCCCTGGTCCTCGCCTTCATGGAAGACCTCCCAAGCCTGGGCAGAGCCTTGTGGACACAGTCAGAGCAGCCCTGTGAACTACTCGTGCATCTTGCAAACGAGGCTCCCTGGGAGAGGAGCCCTGCGCTGCAGGTTGCTGCCTTTGGCACTGTCTTGCACTCCAGAGCCTGGGCTCCTCCCTGCAGGTGGGGACAGAGGCCATGTCCCCTGCAGGGTTCACTGCAGCCTCTGGGTGTCTACTCCTGTGGAGGTCTGCCTTCGCCCCATCTGGGCTGTCAGGATATGGAAGGCCACATGGAGGCCTCTCCATCACAGCACACCTGGACTTCCACGCAGGTTTGTCTCCCTGCTCTGGGCTCCTGGGTGCCGCTTTCCCGCAGAAGCCTGAACCTAACTGAAGGGCCATTGCAGTCATCCTCCTGCTCATTTCTAAGACATCTCAGGCCTCTACATTCCCTTCTGCCTCTTCTTTGTGCTCAGACATTTCCATAGAATAGCCATGTTGCCTGACTTCCATTTTCCAGGCAAGATATGCCCTATAATGCAGCAGCCAGTACAGGGTATGTTTTTTATTTAAAAGGAAATAATTCTTCTCGGGAGTAACTGCTCAACAGAGTAATGGAAGACAGATTTGTCATCTCACACAGCACAACATGCAGTGATACATGGCACAGGCCTAGCTCCCGGCCCTCGCTAATCCCATGTTGGTGCTCTTTGAATTCCTTTGTGTTCTGTACTTGCCTTAAGGAGGTTTTTAAACAATTTCTTTCTGAAGGCCAGGTACGGTGGCTCTCGCCTGTAATTCCAGTACTTTGGGAGGCTGAGGAGGGAGGACTGGTTGAGCCCAGGAGTTTGAGATCAGCCTGGGCAACTAAGAAAGACCCTGTCCTTACAAAAAATTTATGGGCATGGTGGTGCACACCTGTAGTCTCAGCTACTCGGGAGGCTGAGGCGGGAGGATTGCTTGAGCCTGAGAGGTCAAGGCTGCAGTTAGCTATGATAGCACCGCTGCACTCCAGAGCAAGACCCTGTCTCAAGAAGAAAAAAGAATTCTCTCTGGCTGAAATTTTCTTTCTCTCTATACACCCCTTTTTAGACAAAATGTTTTCAATTTATATATGCAATCTTCCAACTAGCCCTTGAATAACACATTATTCATAGCAAAGACACAGAGTACCTCGCTGGGAAACATGAATCATAAGATCAAAGTCACCAAATTCAGTACAGAGACTTGCTGGTCAGCAGGACAGGCCCACCAAATGGCAAATGCAAACACAGGATGGGAGAGAAGGGCACTGGCCCTCGCAACGCTGTGCGAGCAGAGCGTGGATGTGTCTGGTGGACTTAAAGATACGTGTACAGGCAAGAGAAAACCTCGTGGAAGAAATAGGTTCATCTTGAAGGTTAAAGCAGCTTCAGCTTCTCTGTCACTTCCTGGGCAGGAGGCCAGAGGATTTCTCCTAGGATAACAGTGGACTGTGGGTGGAGGCCTCTTTTCTCCTCCTGTGGGAGAGGAGTCAAGCCTCAGGTCAGCAGAAGGGAGATGTTTCTCCTGCGGGTTAGCTGCGCGCTCAAGCACCTAGTGTCCTGAGTTTCTTCAGGGGTTCCTGCTGCCAGCCTAACGTTCCTAAATAGAGCACTCTAGGTTTCTGGCATCAAGGCTATGTGATCAGGTGTGAGGCAGGTACAAGGTGCAGCTCATCAGTCTGGAACAGCTCCCCATTCTGGAACAGCTCCTCATCCTGGAATGGCTTCTCATTCTGAAATGATTCCCCATTCTGGAATGGCTTCCCACTCTGGAACAGCTCCCCATTCTGGAACAGCTTCCCACTCTGGAACAGCTCCTCATTCTGGAACAGCTTCTCATTCTGGAAAAGTTCCCCATGCTTGAACGGCTTCTCATTCTGGAACAGCTCCTCATTCTGTAACAGCTTCTCATTCTGGAATGGCTCCCCATTCTGGAAGGGCTCCCCATTCTGGAACAGCTCCCCATTCTGGAATGGTTCCTCATTCTGAAACAGCTCCTCATCCTGGAACAGCTCCTCATTCTGAAATGGCTACACACTCTGGAACATCTCCTCATTCTGGAATGGCTCCCCATTCTGGAACAGCTCATTCTGTCTGAAATGGCTCCTCATTTTGAAACAGCTCCTCATCTGGAACGTCCAGTTGCTTTGCATTTTCTTCTGACCTCCACTCCATACCCTCAGAGGCCATTGATCACAGTAAAAGCTGCACATCCTAGGTGGCTAAACCATGGAAAGATCACAAAGGTCTATTAGCGCCCTGTAGCAAAATGGGCCACACTACTGTCTGCAGTCAGAGTAGAATTCCTAAAACCCCACCAAATACTTCACCTTGAAAATGCATGCAGGGGACTGAAAGTGCAGTGGCTGAGCCCGCACACCTGCCTGGAGGAGCTGAGGAAGAAAATCAAATTGAGACTTAAAGGATGCTAAGATCTAGCATAGCCAATTTCAGGAGAGAATGCTAAGATCTATGGCAGCTGATTCCATGAGAGCATGCTAAGATCTAGGGTAGCCAATTCCATGACTGCACCTTTTGGACAAGAGGACATCTGATTTATTATGCCAAGAAAGGGCAATCAAGATGAGAGAGGTTTTGTAAGTCCAAAGCCAAAGAAAAAAAAAAAACTTAAGGGCTTTATTTTTGGAGATTTCTCCATTGCATTAAATTAAGCTCTCTATAGCCTGATAGAAAACTTACAATCAAATCCTCATAATAACAAAGGTGTCGATGCAGCTGGTTTGGAGATAGGTGTGGCTGTACAAGGAACAGGGCAGCAAGGAGAAAAGCCAAGGACATCTTGACTGACAGAGGGTCCAGGCGCACTCACCCGCACGCTCTCTGGGCCTCACACTTCCTCGGACTCTGGTCCACACCGCAATGAAAGGTAGGTAGTGCCAGGTCGTGGGAAAGGTGCTTGCTAACATCAGGCCGGTATTCTTGGGACAGTTCCAGGACTCAGGACAGAGCACCAGTAGTGCCTTCTCGGCTCTTCTGTTCCTCAGTCTTCTCGTCTGAGAAATGGGTGTAACAAGCCCTCTCTGCTCTTCCCTTGTAGGGTGTTTTGACTTGGGTTTAGACCAAATAAGGCAATTCCAGAGAAAGGGCTTTGAAATATCCGAAACTTTAAATCAATGTAATGTTTAAGCTGAGAAATTTTTGAATTGTATTCTTGAAGTCTCAGATGCAAAAGAGAAGCAAGAAGAATCCTAAAGTCCTTGAATTTTTCTTTTATTTGCAGGTTCTTGTATCGTGTGGTATAAAGCCCGAAATTCAGGTTGTGTTCACTGGGGCTTCTGGGCTAACAATTTGGACTAAATGAGAATCTATAGGAACTCTTGTCAGAAGATTCAATTTTCTTTTACTAAAATAAAGATCTATAATACTTGTTGCTTTTTAAAAAAAAAAAGAGCACTAACACCTCTGAGCTTTGCCTCCTTGTGCGAGAGTAATGTATTAATAATTGAGGAAAGATGGCAAGAAGGTAAAAAGAGTACAGATAGAATTCCCGGTCCTAGCCCTGAAGGAGTTCACTGATTCTAATCTTTCCTGAAGTTACAACACTGTCCTAGACAGGCACACAAACACACAGAGCAAAGAAACGAATTTCCTTGTTGAAAACATGCCGACGCTTTCTGTATTTACACTCATGTTCACTCCAACGTCCAGCTCCAGGCTGGAGACCACACGAAGGAGGCAGAAGCGGGAGGCAGAAGGCAGGTGAGCTTGTCTTGAGCACAGCCGTACTTAATCCAAACATAACCACCGTGTTCCAGTTTTAATTACAACATTTCACAGATTCTAAGATGCCTTTTCTTTTTTTCACTTTTCATGTGTCTGAGGTTGGAACGCATTTTATCATGGATGGCCTTGCACAGTCACTATTGACCCAGCAAGATCCCAGGTGTCTCTCCCAGTCACTCCAGGAAGATGGTGGTACTATTTGTACAGCCCGGACGCTTCTGGCCCCACAACATGCAAGGGCCCTGGGAGAAAGAAGGAATGCTGTCTGAGGATCTTTTCTTGACACCTTCTGGTAAAATCAAGAATTCCAGAGAACATCAGCACTAAGCGTGCAGAGCCAGTGTCGGGGTTGGAACTGACTACCGGCGTGCAGGCTTGTACAAACGCTGCATTTTCAATACTCTTGATGGCAGGAAATAATGACAGGCGGAAAATTATGAATATTCGTGAGTCCGAGATTTAAAAATGTGTAAGAAAAGGCAGATTCTGTGAAGTTTTAGGAATTCCTTTATCAATGTATTATAAGATATATATATATATACACACACATACACTCATATGGAACATATGTATGCAGATACATGCCAACAGAGTTACATTAGAATCTACATTTGTGTATGTCTTAAAGAGTTTTTTAAAATGTACAAATCAAGCATGGTCATAACTGTTTCAGCAGCATTTTTCAGTCGTGCGTACAGCTGTGGTGTATCTCCCCATCAACGGCTTTTAGATTTAATGGAATAAAATACTGGATTTAATAGAGTGAAGTCTGATGTCTGTGTCCTTCTAAAATTCCTATGTAGAAATTCCTACCTGAAAAGGGATGGTATGAGGGGGTGTTAAGGGGTGGGGCCTTTGGGAAGTGATTAGGCCACGGGGGTGGAGCCCTCTCAGATGGGTTTAGTACCCCCGTAAATGAGGCCTAAGGGGGCTCATTCACCCCTTCCGCCATGGGAGGATGCAGCAAACAGGCTCCATCTGAGTCAGGAAACCCTCAGCAGACACAGAGCCTACAGCACCCGGATCTCCAGCTTCCAGCCTCAGAACTGTGGGAAAGGCGCGTCTACTGTTTCACAGGCCCCAGTGGTGGAATTTTTGTTACAAAATTCTGGATGGACTAAGACTTATGGCTTCAGGGTTAACTCATTCTCACATCAAGAAAGTGGTACAGTTATGACAATCTTCATCAATCATAGCCTAAACTACCCCTGAAGAAATTTAGGGAGGTTTCAGATTGTGTTTTCATCTCAATTAAAATGAGTTTTATCTATCTTCAGGTTTCAGAAATTAAATTTGCATTGTGGACAAATTCAAGAAAGGCATATTTTAAATGTCTTAAAGTCAAAGTAGATTTTTTTGATCTACCTTTACCATACATCCCACAAATACAGTCATGCACCCCATAACAATGCTTGAGTCAACAACAAACCACATATTCTACAGTAGCCCCATATACTACGGTGACCCATACACACACAAACTCAAGCATGGTACATATATGCCGATGCATGCCAAAGGATGTAGATTAAAATCTACATGGAGACAGAAAAGCAGATGAGTTTGTCTTGAGCACAGTCATACTTAATCCAAACGTAACAATATTCCAATTTTACTTAAGAAATTTCACAGATTCTAAGATGCCTAACAACACATTGCTCTGTCATTAAGTGAGGCATGACTGCACGTACTAGCAGGCGAGGAAGACAGTAAATGTTCAATTAATGTTTGATGATTGACCAAATCAGGTGGGATGGTGGGGGGTGGGGGGTGGAGGATGGGGAACGATTTGTCAGACATTTTGGTGAATCCAAGGTTTCACTCAAGTCAAAATAAAAATATTCATAGAGCCCAATGCAAACAAGAAAACACACAGACAACAAAAAACACAGAACGACAATGACAAAATGGCCAAGCAGGAGAGCCGCACGTGTTCCTGACCTGGCTGCAGCTGTCCCTGAGGCCCAGGCCGTCCCGGACCTCACACCGAACCCGAGGTTATGGCCCCCAACCTTCCTCAGCCTCTCCTACCCTGACCACACAGTCGCTCGAGAGCCTTTCTTGATAGGAAAAAGAAATGAAAAGCTTAGCTCATTTTAACAGAATCAAAATGACCCAGACCTTCACATGTTTGTATCACAAGAGCTAAATCACATATTATTTGATGATCTTCCTTTATGTCCAGCTTGGGTTAAGTGAAGCATTAATTAGAGATGAAAATTGTTATTTTTTTAAACATAAATTTACACTAAGTAGGTGAGTCATTTGGTGTCTGAAAAAATAAAACCTAAATAACTCCAACTTCAGACACACCAGATAATACTCTTAAACTTCCTTAACTGACTTTTAAAGTCAGTTTTTTCCCATTGGTGCTTCCTACAGCACCAGAGAAATCAGCATCTCTGTAGGATCAATGTGTTTGTGTCTGCAGGAGCTCAGATAAAGCCCTGGTTTTAGCTGAATGATTAGTTGTGATACCTTTTAAATGCTCTTTTGGGTATAGAAATGCTGACTTAGAATTTATGATAACACAGAAATCAGCTTATAGAAATATATGAGAACTATCATATCCAGGAATTAAATGAATCCACTCATAAATAAAAACATATTGATATCCACCTGTTAAAGGAGAGGAACTTGATATCTTTCTCACCGACAGATAGCAAGACAGGCACATGGAATTTTTATGCTTGCATACACTATGCTTAGGGAAAACAGGAAACAAACTTCTCTTAAAACGGTTTTATTATTTGTAATTAAGAAGCTTGCAAAATTCTCTCTCCCATTTATTTAAATATCTGAATTATTCTTGAAGATCGTATGTTACATATTTTCATTTCTTCTTCTGCTTGTTTTTGCATATGTGGCATAAATTGTGAGTAAAACTCTTGAATGGTGTTTCATATCAAACACGAATCCTCGTGTCAAGCTCTGAGCAAAGTCGTGAGAGGAGAAAGTATCTCCCAGCAGGATTATTCATTCCTTCTGTTGACGTCATCTACCCATCCACGCCAACTCTGGCCGCCCAAGGCCACCAAGCTAATAGCACTCAATGGTGTTCCGCATGTATCCTCCCTATGGACTTACCAACTCCTAACCACCCAACCAGAGTGGGCCTGTCTCCTGCTTCCCACCCTGCTCTCTGCTCATTGAAAGCTGGCTCTTCTATGCTACTGGCTGGTTTTTACTAAGGCATGCATATGTTTCTCCTCCCATAATACAGATGTGTATATTCACATGGGCCTTTGGAATATGTCCATCTCATGTGCAGCCTAGAAGCTCCTCCACATGGCTCTGTCCACCCAAAATGTATTAGGAGTGACTGATAATTTCAATCAGTTCTCACTTCATCTAGTAACAGCCTTTTCTGAAATTCAATTTCCTCTCAAAAAGAGGCAATGACGCTTCTAAGATCAAGCAACCTTTCGCCTAGGCAAATGACAAACCTATGCAAGTGACAAATTTCTTCCACCATTGAAAATCGATCCATTGGAAATATTCATCATTCCAATCAATAGGGAGCTTGCGTAGGGAAACATGTGTGACTGGGCCGAGGCGGGCAGATCATGAGGTCAAGAGATCAAGACCATCCTGGCCAATATGGTGAAACCTCATCTGTAACAAAAATACAAAAATTAGCTGGGCGTGATGGTGCTCGCCTGTAGTCCCAGCTACTCAGGAGGCTGAGGCACAAGAATTGTTGAACCCAGGAGGTGGAGGTTGTGGTGAGCCGAGATCATGCCACCGCACTCCAGCCTGGGCAACAGAGCAAGACTTCATCTCAAAAAAAAAAACAAATTGTGCTAGTGTAACCATCCTTAACCAAAAGCAAACGATTATTCAGAGACAAATGTGGGTATTTGGGCTCTAGTGGATTTGGGGTTAAAATTTGGAAGTTTGAAAAAGCTAAAGGTTTCTCAGAGCCTCTTTTTAAAAGTAAGCTGCATAAGCTGCCATTCTTTATGAGGCCTCGTTTCATTCCCCTTAAACATGGCCTTGAAATTCCGTATGTGGGAGAATACATGAATATTGAATCAAAGGTGCATGGCTGGCATATTTTATGAAGATTCCCTACAATCTAACTATAAAGCACCACCAGGAAAAAAAAAGATTACTTTTATTCTGGTTGACACAAAATTATGCATTAGAGCTTCCAGTCAAAACAGACATTGTTAGGAAATGTGATAATTTTACTCCAACATTTCCCCTTGCTTTCAGAATTTTTACAAAGATATGGCTCCAGCAGGCACAATGTGGGTACTCTTTTCTAATATGATCAACTGAGCAATTCGTAAATTAAAATAAGAAAAGATGAAATCGCATTTAAACTGCACCACCACCTGGGCTTAATAAAGTTGATATTCCACCTGTTTGAACGCTCAGGAGCACACAATATTTCCATAAACCCCAGCGATCACAGCATGCTTCTTAGTCACCATGGTATCCAAATCACTTAATAGAGGAATAGCTCTGAACGGCTCTACGACACCGATTGATCCCTCACAAGGCAAATACGTAGGAGGCGAGTGTGCGCTGGACACCGCGCAGGTGACAAGAACGCGGCTGTAAGGAGGGCTACGGCCCCTATTATGGCCTAGCTTACAGGCGGGCTGGAAAGGTGGACGTTTCACTGGTAATTAACCAGAATCCCATAGAGGAGCTTGTGGTGGGAAGCCTCTCCTGGTTCAGACATTAGGAAAGGCCTCTCGGAGCGGCACTGAAGCTGAGGTATGCAGGAGCAAGTCGTGTGGAAACGGAGGAGATGGTGGGGAAAGCCACGACCAGCGGAACCCTTCAAATGCCCAAAACGCAGGGCCCTGAGCTTCCTGTGCTCAGCTATCAAGAGGGGCTACTGAACTTGAACCTCAGATGACGTCGGGGCTGGGGGAATGAAGTTGGAGAGAAAGGTGGGCCCTGAGTTTGAGAGGGTTTCGTAAGCTATGTTAAGGGATCTGGACGTCTTCCCAAGGGCCAATGAAAGATGAGAAATGAATTTAACATAAAGCTATTATGGAATGCATAGCTTCCAATGATCATTCTCACAGTTGTGTGAAGACACAGGACTCTCCAGCTGGTCAAATGGGGTACAGAGTGATGACTGAGATGCTGCCGTCCCTGTCCGAGGGGAGTGACTTTGGGGTGGCAATGGAGATGGCAAGAAGAGACGTGCTTGGAAGCACGTGCAAGAATCAGAGCCTCAACTTAGAGCTGATTGTCCTTAAAAAGCAGCACCCCACATTAGGCACAGTCTAACCAGAGTGATGAGAAACCAGGCTCCCACCCACACGAGGGTGAGGACAGTAAAGGCTCCTGACTCAGTATCACGTGAGAAATGCTGACAGAAGAATAGTCCAGGTGGTACCTGGGGAAAACCTTGTTGATTTGGGAGCAAATATGTGTAAAAGCTATCTACAAATAAAGGCAAAGCTGCCCTATAAAGAGTAATCTTGCTTGGCTTCAAAGAGCAGAACTAGGGTCTCCAGGGAGAAGCGGCGGGGAAGCCAATCTTACCTCAGCCTGAGAGAGCTTTCTAACAATGGAGGCGGTGAATCAGGCTTCCTCCAGGACCAGGACAGTGTTACCTCAGCCTGAGAGAGCTTTCTAACAGTGGAGGCGGCAAATCACGCTCCCTCCAGGACAGGGTGACGCCAGCCTGAGAGAGCTTTCCAGCAATCTAGGCTGCGAATCAGGCTTCCTCCAGGACCAGGACAGGGTGATGTCAGCCTGAGAGAGCTTTCTAACAATGGAGGTGGCGAATCACGCTTCCTCCATGTCCAGGATGGGGTTAGGACAGCCTGAAGGAGTTTTCTAAAAATCGAGGCGGTGAATCAGGCTTCCTCCAGGTCCAGGACAGGGTTACGTCAGCCTGAGGGAGCTTTCTAACAATGGAGGTGGCGCATCAGGCTTCCTCCAGGACAGGGGTTTGCTCCCCAGGTGCAGGGGCTCAGGTGAAGAATATGCATGAAGTGGGGAAGCGCAAACATCAGCGAGTATTTGACTTAAAACTTAAAAATTCAGTTCAGAGGGAGGGCAAAATTAGGCTCTGGGTAGCAGATGCTGGGTGGATTCTAACATAAATCTTTCTAACAGTTTGTGTGCTGGGAACACAAAGAGGAAAAGGCTGTTCAGAAGACACTGGGGTTCCTAGGTTCATGGAATCCAACGTGAGGATTTCTTACTCCTTTGGATACTAAGTGAAATGGGAGCCATGCTTGAGAATTACAAATAGAAAACACACAATGCAGGACACCCTATAAATATTGATTCTTAGGCCAACCAAAACCCCCTGAGGGTGACACTTCCAAAGCAGCCACTGGGCTCACATCAAGTCAGAGCAAAGAAGAGTCACCCCAGCCCAATGCCCCTGCTGGAGCATCCAGGCCCCAACAGCAAGAGAAGGACTGGATGGCTCGCCCAGGCAGGGGTGTCTTCCAGAGCCTGTGGCTGCAGCACCCACAAGTGCACTCACCAGGATTTGCACACAGGGTGCCATTTTGTTGTTTGTAGCATCTCAAGCTTCCCTTCTTGTGTTCCTCCCTTGGGTCAGCAGAACCATCCTTGGACACCAGGGGAGAGGGGCTCTTGCTCTGGGCTCTTGCTTGCAAGCTCCTGTGCTGGTCCTCCTACTGCTCCTACAGGGCAAAGGCAAGCCCCCACCTGGAAGCTGAGCCCCTTCCATGTACACTGTGTGATTGTGTGTGCTATTCACACACACACCAGCCCCTAGCCCTTATCACCCAGGTGGCCCACGTCTGACCCAGGCTCACCTGGGCCTCTCCCATGAACCTGGCTTCATCACAGCAGGCGTTAGGCCTAAGAGCTGGCTGGGCTCAGCAGTCTATAGAAAGGTGTGATGGAGCTTGGGTGCATGGTCTTGGATTGGGTGGCTACACACATAGATGGGGGGGCCCCTGATTGGGGACCTGGTAATGGGCAGGATGGGAAAGGGGAAGGTCCCTGCTGGGGGCCCGCCCTCCCCATGCCCCATGGCATGGAACTCTAAGAAAATAAGGATTCTAAATGCAGACCAATCTAGTTCAGGGGTTGGCAGACTCTGCATAAAGCACCCGATAGTAGATAGGTTCAGTTTGTGGGCCACACAGCCTCTGTCTCAGCTCCTAACTTGGACTTGTGGCATGAAAGCAGCCAGCACGTACGTGGCTGAGCATGGGCTCTGCACAAACAGGACCCAGATGTGAGCTGCTGCCCACCAATACCCGTGGTCTGTATTCCTGCATGTATGTTTGTCAAGCTGAGGGGCTGGAACACATGCAGCAGTTACTGACTTAGCGATAACCTCTAAAATATTTAGACAAAATACATGGGGGCCTCCCTGTGTGCCTCTGCCCCATTTCCCATGGGTCCCAAGGGTGTCCTCGAATCTTAAAGAGCCCAGGCTGGGAGGGCCCAGCAAGTGATCTTCTGCCACGAGGGCAGCATCCCAGATGAACACGGGGACCATAGAAGAGGCGGAAGCCCCGGAGATGTGGCCGGATGAGAGTAAGAGGGGGATGAGCAGGGCTCTGATACTAGAACCTAACTTTGACGTGTGAAGAAAATTCTGTATCTCTCCCTCAGAGACATGAGTGACTTCACCTCTGCCTCCTGCTTTGGACGTGACTGTGCTGGCCTTGGAATGCTCACAGCGGGTCCTCTCCTTCTCTGCCTCTCCACAGCTACCCACACTTGAGGGCCGGGCTTGCTCTGCATTTCCCTGAGGGTCTCACCGACACCACCTCTGCCCGGCTTCTCTGGCTCACTGCAGCTTTGCGGGTTCAAGCTGTCATGCATTGCAGTACCTGATGTGCTATTTCTGGGAGACTCATGGGCGTGTGTCTTTCCACATGATATAAAGCCCTGTGTGCCCCCTACAGTGACCTTCCTGTCTGTCACCACTGCCCACCCCTGCACCAAGCCCAGGGCCGGGCACCTCCCAGGCACTCCATAAAGGCTTCCCGGGTTGGCACTGCATCCTCGTGGAAAGGAATGAACTGTGGAACTTACGTCGGCATTGGGACCGTCTACCCTATGTCCCGCGTCGTCGGGATGAGAAGGGGAAGTCTGGTCGGCAACCAGGAGTTCATTTCTCACCATCCTTTAGGCCAGTGTTAAAATTCTGTTTCTGTTTCAAGGAAAACACGGAAGGTCAGTGTTTAAACAGATCGCTTTGCCGCTCTCGCTGCTACCTGAGCAGAAAAAACCCATCCCTGCCAGCTTACTTTCTCTGCTGCATGAACCCATCTTTTCAATAAGAAAGGCAACGTCTGCCTTCTTCACAACCAAATCCACTCACTGCGTCCACTCAGGGAGAAGGTGGCAAAATATATTCCCTTAATTGTTAGGATTAATTATTACTCTTTAAATTCACTCCAGTAGCTGGGATCTGGCTGTTAGTCCTAAAGCCCACTTAGCAGTTTTGGTGTTTGTTTGTTTGTTTGTTTGTTTGTTTTTAGTTGGATTGAGCTGTTCTAATACTCCTTTTTGGGAGCACTCCAGGCACTCCAAACAGCTCACCCTCACTGATAGATGTCCTCGTGTCAAAAATAATTACCCAGTGCAGATGGAGCCATCAGAAGGAGACTGGGACCCGCCTTCCTGCTGTCCTGGGCCCCAGGGCCCATGGTCCTAAAACAACAGCTGAGACAGCGTGTCTTCACCCGGGCAGACAGCCCTCCTGGAAAAGCTGCAGAGACCCCAGAACTGCTCTCCAGACTCATCCTCAACTTCAGAGCCTGATGATCACAAAGGCGAAGAAAATCAGGGCAGCGCTCTCTCCGCCCTGTGATCTTGAAGACGACACTTCCGTTACAGATGCTTGCACTTGGAAACAGAAGCATGAGTTGCCTTACCAAGTACACACTGGCTTGCTGCGGGTGTAGTTCATCACGGTTTTCACAGGCCTCGCAGACCGGACCTTTTCCTAAAGCACCTGATTCAGCCGATGGCAGATCCCGATTCACGAGGCCAGAGCAGCGTGCCAACCTTCTGCAGGTTCCCCAGGTAGCGGTCAGACACAGCCACTCGGGTAGGGATGGACCCGCCTCACCCTGTGGCAGCCCCTTTCTTTCCATCGTTAATGCAGCCCCACTGCACTCAAGGTTGAGAAAACACTCGACAGACGGTTCCCCATAGCTCCAGTCACAGCCGAATCGAGGCACCTACGTCCTCATTTGCATTCATTGATCCTTCCCTGAGCCCCAGCACCAGCCACTCCCCCTGACACCTGACGCCGGGGTCTGGGGGGTGCGAGAGGCCTGTTCATGGGCACCCATGTATGTGTGCGTGTGTGCGTGCACATATCCAGAAACACACTCAGGATGCTCCAAACAGAAAGAAGAGAAGAATGGCTCCAGCAGGTATAAAGGCAAGTGTGCGCTCTCACCTGAGTTCAGGGCAGCAAACTGGGGAGACGGCAGTGATACTGGGTAAGCGGACAGGGCATCATAAGAGTCTGTGGAAGAAACTCATAGAAAATCAGAAAAATTGACCATTGATAATTGTCAGTCTCCATCAAAATTGAGCAAAAAACAAGTAATTTCCCTCTGGCCATAACCTACTTGGCTAATTTTATCCTCCTTGATATTACATTTACTGTGAGCATATGGATCATCAGAGCCTGGCACCCAGCACCATGCCAGGCGCGGGACCGAGTCCTGCAGAAGTCGCTGACCTGGCATGAAGTTTCGGAGATGAACAGGAGCTTTCTCTGCACCCAAAGGAATGGACACTGCCTTCCATGAAGCATCTGTTTTTCGCACGGTGATGGAGGTGCACCCCGTGATGCAGAAGAGGCCACACCTGCTGAGGTGGTTAATTTCAACCTGTCCACAGGACTGGGCTAAGAGAGGCCCAGGTTGCTGGCACACCTGAATTTCTGTGAGTGTCTGTGAAGGAGTTTCTGGAAGAGGTGAGCATTAGATTCAGTGGACGGAGTAAGGACGATCCCCGTCCCCAGAGTGGGCCGACTCCATCCAATTCATTGAGGACTCAGATGGGACAAAAAGGTACCGAAAGAGTAAACTTGTTCCTCCTCCTGGAGTTGGGGCATCCACCTTCCCCTGGCTCCTCCTCCTGGAGTTGCAACATCCACCTTCCCCTGGTTCCTCCTCCTGGAGTTGGGGCATCCACCTTCCCTTGGCTCCTCCTCCTGGAGTTGGGGCATCCACCTTCCCTTGGCTCCTCCTCCTGGACTTGGGGTATCCACCTTCCTCTGGTTCCTCCTCCTGGAGTTGGGACATCCACCTTCCCCTGGTTCATCCTCCTGGAGTTGGGGCATCCAACTTCCCCTGGTTCCTCCGCCTGGAGTTGGGGCATCCAGCTTCCCTTGGCTCCTCCTCCTGGAGTTGGGGTATCCACCTTCCTCTGGTTCCTCCTCCTGGAGTGGGGACATCCACCTTCCCCTGGTTCCTCCTCCTGGAGTTGGGGCATCCACCTTCCCCTGGCTCCTCCTACTGGAGTTGGGTCATCCACCTTCCCTTGGCTCCTCCTCCTGGAGTTGGGGTATCCACCTTCCTCTGGTTCCTCCTCCTGGAGTTGGGACATCCACCTTCCCTTGGCTCCTCCTCCTGGAGTTGGGACATCCACCTTCCCCTGGTTCCTCTTCCTGGAGTTGGGGCATCCACCTTCCCCTCGTTCCTCCTCCTGGAGTTGGGGCATCCACCTTCCCCTGGCTCCTCCTCCTGGAGTTGGGGCATCCATCTTCCCCTGGCTCCTCCTCCTGGAGTTGGGGCATCCACCTTCCCCTGGCTCCTCCTCCTGGAGGTGGGGCATCCACCTTCCCCTGGCGCCTCCTCCTGGAGTTGGGGCATCCAACTTACCCTGGCTCCTCCTCCTGGAGTTGGGGCATCCAGCTTCCCCTGGCTCCTCCTCCTGGAGTTGGGGCATCCACCTTCCCCTGGCTCCTCCTCCTGGAGTTGGGGCATCCACCTTCCCCTGGCTCCTCCTCCTGGAGTTGGGGCATCCACCTTCCCCTCGCTCCTCCTCCTGGAGTTGGGGCATCCACCTTCCCCTGGTTCCTCCTCCTGGAGTTGGGGCATCCACCTTCCCCTGGCTCCTCCTACTGGAGTTGGGGCATCCACCTTCACCTGGTTCCTCCGCCTGGAGTTGGGGCATCCACCTTCCCCTGGTTCCTCCTCCTGGAGTTGGGGCATCCACCTTCCCCTGGTTCCTCCTCTTGGAGTTGGGGTATCCACCTTCCCCTGGCTCCTCTTCCTGGAGTTGGGGCATCCATCTTCCCCTGGTTCCTCCTCCTGCAGTTGGGGCATCCATCTTCCCCTGGTTCCTCCTCCTGGAGTTGGGGCATCCACCTTCCCCTGGCTCCTCCTCCTGGAGTTGGGGCATCCAGCTTCCCCCGGCTCCTCCTCCTGGAGTTGGGGCATCCACCTTCCCCTGGCTCCTCCTACAGGAGTTGGGGCATCCACCTTCCCCTGGTTCCTCCTCCTGGAGTTGGGGCATCCAGCTTCCCCCGGCTCCTCCTCCTGGAGTTGGCGTATCCACCTTCCCCTGGCTCCTCCTCCTGGAGTTGGGGCATCCACCTTCACCTGGTTCCTCCTCCTGGAGTTGGCGTATCCACCTTCCCCTGGCTCCTCCTCCTGGAGTTGGGGCATCCACCTTCACCTGGTTCCTCCTCCTGGAGTTGGGGCATCCACCTTCCCCTGGCTCCTCCTCCTGGAGTTGGGGCATCCACCTTCCCCTGGCTCCTCCTACTGGAGTTGGGGCATCCACCTTCCCCTGACTCCTCCTCCTGGAGTTGGGACATCCACCTTCCCCTGGCTCCTCCTACTGGAGTTGGGGCATCCACCTTCCCTTGGCTCCTCCTCCTGGAGTTGGGGCATCCACCTTCCCCTGGCTCCTCCTCCTGGAGTTGGGGCATCCACCTTCCCCTGGCTCCTCCTCCTGGAGTTGGGGCATCCACCTTCCCCTGGCTCCTCCTCCTGGAGTTGGGACATCCACCTTCCCCTGGTTCCTCCTCCTGGAGTTGGGGCATCCACCTTCCCCGGTTCCTCCTCCTGGAGTTGGGGCATCCACCTTCCCCTGGCTCCTCCTCCTGGAGTTGGGGCATCCACCTTCCCCTGGCTCCTCCTCCTGGAGTTGGGGCATCCACCTTCCCCTGGCTCCTCCTCCTGGAGTTGGGGCATCCACCTTCCCCTGGTTCCTCCTCCTGGAGTTGGGGCATCCACCTTCCCCTGGTTCCTCCTCCTGGAGTTGGGGCATCCACCTTCCCCTGGTTCCTCCTCCTGGAGTTGGGGCATCCACCTTCCCCTGGCTCCTCCTCCTGGAGTTGGGGCATCCACCTTCCCTTGGCTCCTCCTCCTGGAGTTGGGGCATCCACCTTCCCCTGGCTCCTCCTCCTGGAGTTGGGGCATCCACCTTCCCCTGGCTCCTCCTCCTGGAGTTGGGGCATCCACCTTCCCCTGGTTCCTCCTCCTGGAGTTGGGGCATCCACCTTCCCCTGGCTCCTCCTCCTGGAGTTGGTGTATCCACCTTCCCCTGGCTCCTCCTCCTGGAGTTGGGGCATCCACCTTCCCCTGGCTCCTCCTCCTGGAGTTGGGGCATCCACCTTCCCCTGGCTCCTCCTCCTGGAGTTGGGGCATCCACCTTCCCCTGGTTCCTCCTCCTGGAGTTGGGGCATCCACCTTCCCCTGGTTCCTCCTCTTGGAATTGGGACATCCGCCTTCCCCTGGTTCCTCCTCCTGGAGTTGGGACATCCAACTTCCCCTGGTTCCTCCTCCTGGAGTTGGGGTATCCATCTTCCCCTGGCTCCTCCTCTTGGAGTTGGGGTATCCACCTTCCCCTGATCGTGGACACTGGCCCCTAGGGCTCAGGTCTGCAGTTTGGGGAATTACACCAGCGACATTCCAGGGTCCCCACCATACAGACTGTGGGACTTCTCAGCCACGGTGATCGCATAAGCCAATTCCCATAATAAACCTCTTTCTATGTCTCAGTATTTGTCCTAATGGCTCTATTTCTCTGGAAAACCCTGACTAGTACATCTATCCCTCCTAGCCTAGCTTCCTGGAGGAAATTATAACCCTATTGTGCCCCAAGAGGTGAGCAGGAGTGAGCCAGGAGAGAAGGCCAAATATGGGTAGTCACCCAAGGTGACAGTCACCAGGACTCACCATCCCTTCCTGATGACACTTTATAACACCAGAGGCTACCAGAGGGACACTCATCAACCTAAGGTTGCCATCTCTGTCTATCATAGCCCAGTCCACAGGACTCTGTGTTGCAGTCACACAATTGGCATTTGCACCTTGGCCCACACATACTGGAAGAAGCACTTCACCGTCTGAGAGTGGAACTGGGGAAGAATGATGTGATTCAAACATGCCAGACTTTGAGAATAAACAACCAGACCTTCGACCGCATCCAGAGAACCAGGAGAACCATCTCTCAGGGCTGAGGCCACACTCCAAGGGAGATGCAGTGCAACCCTGGCACCTTCCCCTCAAGAGCCTCCCAGTGCCACTAATGCAGAGGGGAGGTACGTGGGGACACCCTGCAGGGAGGGCCTGGCTCCCTACATGTTCTAAATCCCCACGTCAGGCAATACCTATGAACTGGCAATGCCAGCCCCTCTCAGAAGTCCAGTCTCTCAAACCTGAGCAATGCAGAAGCCACTTTGATGGAAAATATGTTATTCTGAGAATATATTTTTAGGTTCCAGTTTGAGGAACACTGACCTGAGAAACTAAAAATACATCCAGAGGGGGAAAATAGGTGCATTTGCATTGCAAATTACCTCTTGCAAAGTGATTAGCCTTCATGACTGGTGAAAGCAATTTTATTGGACTCTCACTGAAATGAAAACACAAAATTTTGAAAGAAAATCTTTGTTGTTAATTTTTATTTTGCAGAGAGTCTGAGGATTCTCATTTGAGAACTCCTGATCTCAGGGATGTATTTATAAGACTTGAGGAAACAAGAGAAGCCTCAGTGTGGTCCAGCTAAAAACTAGAGTTGAGGCTTGGTTAAACAACAAGGGAATTTGGGGAAGGAAAGCATAGTCTGAGTAGACTTCAGCTTTGTCAATCAAATTCCATAATTTCCACTGACTCACGACCAACTCCTGTGTCAAAGGCTCTGCCGGGAAAAGCAAGTAAAATTAATAGCACGGAGTGGTCTTATTCCTAATGAGACATGCAAACCAGCCTACAAGGAAGTAGAACCCAGTGGTGGGGGATTTGGGGGGCAGGTTGTCCTGGGTTCAGGATGTAACCAGGAGAGCACAGTAGCCCACAACCAACATTCGGCTTAGGAGCGGAACCAGCAGAGAACGGCCCTGAGCAACATTTGGACAGCACGTCTGGGCCCACAGGCCTGTTCTGGGATGACCTAGAACCCAGTGGCAGGTGCCTGAGGCCCCCTGTTTTGTACAGAAGAGGAAGAGAGGGAGAGCTGGTACCCACCCACGGGAGGGTTCTCTTTGCACGCTGGGACTCAGAGGGAGTGTCCTGGCATCAGGGCTCTGTGTACCCGAGAAACCACACCCATGGAATGTGATGTTTTGTTCTTTTTGGGAGACTTTCCCAAGGCCCCACATCACCTTGCTACTGGGGCCTACAGAAATCTGAGTAGTGTGTGAGATTAGAAGTGTAATTTTTATCCCTTACAGTAAATAAAATGAGTCTCTCAGCAGCAAGATGCCCATTGAAACAGCCCTTGTTGCCACCGTCTACGAACATCTACTGCCCACGCTTGGCGAAAATAATGCAACCAGTGCCTCTGCGCTGTCAGAACCTTATTAGTGTCCACAACAGAAAACGTAACGTGCTGTAAAAATAAAAGGAATCCCCATGGAAGCATCCACCGAAAAGTTGGGGCTGACTGGGGTTAGCGTCAGAGGTATTTACCGATGTCTTCGGGTCCTGACTTCTGCTCCGGGGTCCTGAGCCTCAGAAGCTCCCATTCATCCTGCACAGACGCCCTCCCCAGCAGTGAGCTCTCCCACAGGCCGCCTGCTCCCTGTGCAGCGGGGGCTCCCTGTGCAGCGGGGGCTCAGGGCCAGCTCTACCTGGGATCTTGGGTTTGCCATAAATCACACCACCCCACCCTAAGGGAGGTTCTGCCCCACACCCGAGGACAGTGCTCCTTGGCTACTGAGCAGACAGGGACATGGGCAAGAGTGGCTGATCCAGGAAGCACACGGGTGCCCAGACCAGATGAGAGCAAACCGCCACGCTCAGGTGGAGCAGCAAGCACGTCGCCCGGTACCACGTGTGCGTGGTTCTCAATCTTCTCAACTACTCTGTCAGAAATACTGTCTTCCTTTTACAAACGAGGAGGCTGAGTTTTACAGATATTGGATACACCTGCCTGGTTCACTAGACTATTAACAAAACAGTCCGTATTCAAAGCCAAGGCTTCCAACAGGAAACCTCCTCGTTGACAGCACAGTGGTTTTGCCCTCAGTTCCTCAGGCCCCGGACATTCCCTAAGCCTCAGCACTGGGCCTGCGTGTATCATCACCCCTCTCCCAACCCATCACCAAGTGTCTCCCACCCCCATCACCACCCCCTCCCACCCCTATCACCATCTCCCACCCCTCTCCCACCCCCTCCCACCCCTATCACCATCTCCCACCCCTCTCCCACCCCTATCACCACCTGTCTCCCACCCCCATCACCACCCCTCCCACCCCTATCACGACCCCCTCCCCCCCATCACCACCCCTCCCACCCCATCACCACCCCCTCCCCCCCTGTCACCACCCCTCTCCTACCCGGACTGCAGGTGGCGGGTCTCACCGTCGTTATCTTCCCTGTGCGTTAACCCCTTTTGTCTCAGGCTGAATGTTCTTTCATGACTGTGGTCACTATTGGTTTTTAACTTGATGTCTGAGAAACATGACCTTTCATCCATGTCTGTGATATGTCTGAAAACAGGATTAACCACAAAAATGAAAAATTAAGGACCTGAGTTATTTACTTCAGTTTAGAAAGCAAACGGGACAGAGAGCTTGTCGCTTTCACCACCCGGTGGGGGATTCACACATCGAACCTGCCCTGGGAAAAACCAGCCTGGTTCCCATCTTCTCCTCAGAACCAACAGGTGAGCAGGGGAGGCAGAGTCTCTGGCCACGTGCAGAAGCACCTGTGGGATACCCTGTCTGCTGTCTGGGGTGGCCAGGCTAACAAGCACTGGTTTCTGGTCTGCAGGAGATGGATGATAAGGCCTGGGGCTGTCTGGGCAGAATGCCTTTTGTCTCTGAGCTTTGCTCCTTGGTGACCACATGAAGAACTGAAGCAAAGGCTGTCCCTGGGAAGGAGATGGGTGCAGATGGATGTCACGCACTCTGCAGACAGCCCGGTCTTCAGAGAGACCACCCTGCTCTAAGATGACACAGCCCAGGAATGGGGTGCTGTGTCCTCACATGGCCTGTTTATAAATGTCCCTGTTAAGAGTATTAGTCCATTCTCACACTGCAATAAAGAACCACCGGAGACTGAGGAGTTTATGAAAAAAAAAAAAAAAACAAGTTTAATTGACTCATAGTTCCCCACAGCCAGCATGGCTGGGGAGGCCTTAGGAAATGTTCAGCCATGGCGGAAGGTGGAGAGGAAGCAGGTACGTCTTCCCTTCGTGGAGCAGGAGAGAGAGCGAAGGGGGACATGGTACACACTTGCATTTATTTATTAATATTATTATTATTATTGGAGACAGAGTCTCACTCTTTCGCCCAGGCTGGAATGCAGTGATGCCACCTTGGCTCACTGCAACCTCTGCCCCCCGGGTTCAAGTGATTCTCGTGCCTCAGCCCCCTGAGTAGCTCGGGATCACAGGTGCATGCCACCATGCCTCGCTAATTTTTTTTTTTTTTTTTGTATTTTTAGTAGAGACCGAGTTTTGCCATGTTGGCCGAGCTGGTCTTGAACTCCTAGCCTAAACTGATCCACCTGCCTTGGCTTCCCAAAGTGGTGGGATTACAGACATGAGCCACCTTGCCTGGCCAGCTACACACTTTTAAACAACCAGATCTCATGAGAACTCACTCACTATCACGAGAACAGCAAGGGGGAAATCCACCCCATGACCCAATCACCTCCCACCAGGTCCCCCATCAGTGTTGGTGTTTACAGTACAACATGAGACCTGGGTGGGGACACAGAGCCAAATCGTATCAATAAGTAAACTTATTATGGTTTGGACAAAATACTTTAGTAAATAGCATGTAAACAGCTTATAACATTCTCCCACTGTCCTTGGCGTTTAATGTTATTTATTTATTTCTATCAGAGACCAAATGTGAGCCACTTCAATCAAGAAACACATCTACTAAACTAGACTGCAGGACACATGAGTTTCCGTCCTGATTTGCTGCTCACTAACTAGCTGTGAGCCCTCAACCTGTTTCCTATTTATAAAATAACAGGTCAACCAAAGCCTTCCTTAGTCCTAAATCTGACAAGTCCACTGGTTCAGGGGCTTGGTTGCAGGATGGGAGGGGCGAGTGGTAAGGATACTTTGTGGCCTCTCTGCATCCTCTCAGAGGCAGATGCATAAAAATTAATTTAGATAAGAACAATGGTATTCTTTAAATTTTTTTTTTACTTTAAATTCCAGGATACGTGTGCAGAACGTGCAGGTTTGTTCCATAGGTATACATGTGCTGTGGTGGTTTGCTGCACCTAACAACCTGTCATCTAGGTTTTAAGCCCCACATGCATCAGGTATTTGTCCTAATGCTCTGCCTCCCCTTGTCCCCCACCTCCAACAGGCCCTAGTGTGTGGTGTTCCCCTCCCTGTGTCCATGTGTTCTGATTGTTCAACTCCCACTTATGAGAGAGCAGGCAACCTACAGAATGGGAGAAAAATCTTGCAATCTAGCCATCTGACAAAGTCTAATATCCAGAATCTACAAGGAACTTAAACAAATTTACAAGAAAAAAACAACCCCATCAAAAAGTGAGCAAAGGACATGAACAGAGCCTTCTCAAAAGAAGACATTTGTGCAGCCAACAAACATGAAAAAAAGCTCAAGATCAATGATCATTAGAGAAGCGCAAATCCAAACCACAATGAGATACCATCTCACACCACTCAGAATGGCAATGATTCAAATGTCAGAAACATTGGTATTCTAATAGCGTTTCTTTGCACATCATCATTTAAGCGTGTTAGAATTATGATGCATTTATTGTCATTTCCACTGTTTCAGAGGAGAGACAGTTCCTCTGTGGCAATTGTACAAGTCATGAATCCTAACACCAGAGATCTGCTTGAGACTCTGAACGTTTCTGCTGTAGCTGGTTTCTGTTTTCTGTTTCTTTATAGAAGAGTTTGGTTTTTTTATTTTTATGTATTTATTTATTTATTTTTGAGATGGAGTCTTGCTCTGTTGCCAGGCTGGAGTGCAGTGACGCAATCTCGGCTCACTGCAACCTCTGCCTCCTGGATTCAAGAGGTTCTTCTGCCTCAGCCTCCAGAGTAGCTGGGACTACAGGCACCCATCACCATGCCCAGCTAATTTTTGTATTTTTAATAGAGATGGGGTTTCACCATGTTGGCCAGGATGGTCTCGATCTCTTGACCTCGTGATCCACCCGCCTCGGCCTCCCAAAGTGCTGGGATTACAGTTGTGAGCCACTGTGCCGGGCCTCCTTGTAGGACATATTAATTTAGCCACATCACTACACAATCAGTTTAAAGAAACATGGTAAATGCTGGCTACTTGCCGATAGTGTCAATGAGGCCCTTAGAGACTTGATGACCTCAGCAGGCAAGGATCAGTGGGTAGAGGAGGCTCTAAATTGTTCCTTCCTCATCACAAGGCTGCGGAGAAGTTGTTGCTCGCAGAGACGTATCAAACACCAACATTTCTGTCCTCCAGCTTTGAATACTCAAGTAGTGAGGCTCAAAGAGGTACGGGCTTCTGAGAGGAACTTTTGCCCTAGAATTAACACAAAGTGGACATTTACAGAATAATTCAACAAACACTTAACAAACTCCTACTATAAGAAAAGTGCTTGGATAGAGATAAGTAAAAATTGTTCTCTCTACTGAAGAGTTGAAGTCAAGGCTAACGTAATTACTCCATTTCAGCACAATTTCACAATGAGACAAGGAGAACACTAACCATTATGTATAATGGCAATCCAACCACATCTGATGTGCAAAACCCCTGGGATGGTGAGTTCAAATAGACCAGGAGCTGATTATAAAAATGTGAAGGTGCCCACGGAACGTGGGGCTCCCGGCGAGTGACCTGCTGGGACACCAGATGCTTTTGGTGGATATAACAGAAGAGAGTTGATGAGTGAGGTGGCCAGGGTTCAGGTCTCAGTTCCACAAAAGTTAGATGTGCGACCTCCAACCAGCAGCTGACCTTGAACAGCTCCACTTCATCACTGCAAAATGTAGTTTATTCCTACTGGCTGGGCTGACTGGCTTCATGAGCCTGAAATCTGTGCCATCTCATAGGGCCCCCTACTCACTGGGAAAGACCCATACTTGATTTAATGTTCTGCTTTCCCCATCTAGAAATTCTTAATAATTTTTGAACAAGGGGACCCTCATTTCCATTCTTCACTGGACCCCTCAAAATATGCTCCTTTTCTGCCTCTTAGGATTGTGGAGGTTAATACAACAGTGTTTATTAGCACTTAATATAGGGTCTGGCACTTAGCAAAATGCCTAATATATAGTAAACGCTAAATAAGTGAATGTTGTTTACTATTATCGTTACTGCTGTGGTAAGCTCAGGGAGAAAAGTGTAATTAAGTTGGTATCTTTCAAGGAGGCACATGGGATGTCATCCGTGTAATACTCTTTCCTAATGTAATTCTGGGGACTTTGAAAGGTTCCTACGAAAAGCTCTTTATTGGCAGAACCAGGTAACATTCCTAAGACTTACCAGGCTCTGCAGAGAAGGAATTACATGTTGCATTTCAAAAACAACTCTTGAGTGTCGCCGAGTATTGCTGAGCTGTAGCTGGCCAGGGGCTTTCAATTGTGTTGACCTCAATCCCTGGTAGGAAATGCATTTCCTTCGGTGATCTTGTACATCAGAATACTGCTCGGCAGAACAGCACTCACTCCTCCCACACAGAATGCCACCTGGTGTCTTTGAGGCTGGTCGTGACCCACTCAACAGACCTCACCACCCACTAGCGCTTGGCTACTTACAGCTTGAAAAACAACACTTAAGGCAGCTGCTTAAGTCAGAGAGCTCTGCAAGACATTTGGGGACCCCCCAGCCTTGATCCCGGGGAGCCGCTGGCCATGGGGAACTGCCTCGGCCTGCACTGCCGTTGTTGGTGGCAGCTGGCATAGGACAGTCTCACACCCTTCCCAGACGCAGCTGCTGTGCCCCAGAGAGGGGAGGGTGGCAGGCGGTCCCTGCTGCTGTGTATTACAGAAGGAAATGGGACATTGGTCTCTAACGCCCGAGATCGGGTCTTCACTGCAACCCACCAGCCTTCTAGGTTTTCCTGACCTGGGGATCTGGTAGAGCTGCACCTACCACCAGCTGGAGGTTGGACTTGGCCATGTCACTTCCTGTGGCCGAGGAAATATAAACAGAAGTCAGGCAAGTCGGCTCTGGAGAAAAGCCTTCCAGCACCGATGACTCATTGGCATTCCTGGCAGCTCCTGCCAGGTGATGGTGATGTCGAGGGGCCACTGAGGCAGGGGTCCTGAATGTGACCACAGACCACAAATTGGGGCCTGGGGCAGATCCTGACCAGAGGGTTCCAGAACTAAGGCAGAGGGGGCTAAAGGTACAACTTTCTTAAGACTTACTGATTGTGTGGGTTTTTTCCTGAGCCAACCGGCTTACAGCATATGTATAAAAGCAATGATAGAAGTATAATTTGGTGTAGTAATTTTACCCTAATTCACACTCCCCTTCCATGTGTCCTGCCGATGATTTTGGTAACCTTCTGCTTTCACAAATATGAAGTCAACAACATTTTCTTTCATTTTTATTGTCTGACAAAAGGGAAAGAAACATTCATTAAGAACAAGTCACCTGTTTTCACTGAGGAGTTATAGACAATAACAGAATGAAGCCACCGCACCTTTCCCACACGCTGCTAAAGGCTGACCATTCCAAATACTGTCAATGCGATGCTGGCATCCTGTGGGAAAAATACCTTGGAAGCACTGGTTACCCACAACACTTTGAAATACTTAATTGGGTTTAAATTTCATCAGAGAAAAGGTTCTTTCATGAAAACTCAATTAAATAACTACATAAAGGGCGTGGGGGGAAGTGTTCATTACTAATTACGCAGAAAGCAAAAAATACGTATATTAAATATTACATGTCTCCCCTCCTCAAACACCCAAGTACTTCAAAATAAATGGACGACGAATATGTGGGTTTCATTCCTAAGGAACGTCGGGCTACTCAGCAAAGCAAAATACCCTCTTCGCTCTTCACCTCCCCGGACGGCGTTGCGTGTGTTGAAAGTCACAGGCGTAATTCAAGCAGGAGGCTCAGGACAGAAAGCCTGGAAATCCTGCAGACCAGGCCTCGCCCACCGGGCAGGAGCCGCACAGCCTGAAATGCGGACCAAGCCCGCCACCTAGTGGCCACAGCGATTGTCGCGGCTGCGGCGTTTGGGGATGTTGATTTGCGTCCTTTCTCTTTTTGTTCCTCGTCTCCTCTTTTCTTTCCCTGTCTCCAAGATTTTTTTTTTAATCAAATATATGTGAAGAGGTCGGGCGTGGTGGCTCAAGCCTATAATCCCAGCACTTTGGGAGGCCAAGGCAGGTGGCTCACCTGAGGTCACGAGTTCAAGACCAGCTTGGCCAATGCGGCGAAACCCCATCTCTACTAAAAATAAAAAAATTAGCCGGGTGTGGTGGCAGGCACCTGTAATCCCACCTTCTCGGGAGGCTGAGGCAGGAGAATCGCTTGAACCTGGGGGGCAGAGGTTACAGTGAGCCGAGATCACACCACTGCACTCCAGCCTGGGTGATAGAGTGAGACTCCATGTTAAAAAAAAAAAAAAAAAAAAAAAGATATGTGAAGAAAATCATCTGGAATCTTTAAAGGTGCACCTTGCTCTCCTGGGAGAGGGCGCACGGCTGCGGTGCTCCAGTCGGAGTCAAGACAGTCCCTGGGGAGTCCACGCAGGAGGTGCGGCCACGCGGCATTCAGGCTACGGCCTCCTTGAGTGCTTTCTCATCACCATTGTAAAATCACGTTCCTGATTCTTATACCACAACTTATTCTTTTAATGCCCCAATATTAGGATGTAAGAAATTATCTATGGTGGAATAATTTGTTTTCATTTCATATAAAATTGAAAAACGTATTAAAGAGCTTGATGTTGCTGAAAGATGACCCACATCAATGTATCTTCATGTAATTATTTCTATTACATGTTTATTGTGTTTTGAATCCACACAACAAATCACAGACAGCATGAACCCCGCAGCCAACAGGTCTCAATGCAAAGCTTGCAGCCATACTTAGATACATCATCTGACAATGTAAAGAAAGGTGCTCACCTCATTTTTAAAGTCAAGGAGAATTGCAACCTAATGTTTAGTACATTTTTGTGTTAGGACATATATCTGGTCATTCCTTTTTTGTTTTGTCTTATACTACTTATACTACTTATACTCATATTTATGTAACCCAAAGAAATAAAATTCGCCATCCCACCTTATCAAATATGTTGAAAACAAACATATCTTGTTTTCTGGAATTATGAATGTGAGTGAGGAGCAGCTGAGCCACCCTATGGCAGGGCAGCGCGGCTCTCAGGGACAGTCATGCGGGCATGGAGCTCCCTTCCCGGCGCAGGGCTTTGCTGCAGCTGAGTGGGATCCTCCTAGAGACGCACAGCTTCCTGGCGGGCTCTGAGGCGAGCGCCCAAGGAGGGCTTCCTGGTGACCTGCGGCAATGCCCGCTCCTCTCAGGCGAGCTTCCCATTGCAGCTGCCCTGCTCTGGGCTGGTGTTTGTCTTCCTGCACTGATTTCTGTGTAGAAACTTTGAAAATTCCTAGCAAGAACTGATGCGTGTGTGAGTGTGCAAGTATGCGTATGTGTGAGCATGTCTGTGCACTCATGTGAGACTGTGCATGTGCGTGTGTCTGTGCATGTGTGTGTATGTGTGACTATGTCTGTGTGTGCATGTGATTGTGTGTGCTTATGCATGTGTGCATATCTGTGGATGTGTGCATGTATGTTTGCGCACGTGTGCCTGCGTGACAGTGCATGTGTACATGTGAGAATGTGCCTGTGTGTGCGTATGTGAATGTGAGTATTGTGTGCATGCGAGTGTTCCATATGTTTGAATATGTGCATGCGTGCATGTGCACAGATGTTCATGTGAGTGTGTATTGTATGTGCACGTGTGTGCATATGTTCGTGCATGACAGTGCATGCGTGTGTATGTGAATGTGAGTATTGTGTGCATTTCAGTGTTGCATATGTGTGAACATGTGCATGTGTGTATGGGCACAGGTGTTCGTATGTGAGTGTGCATGTGTGTATGTGAGTGTGCACGTGTGGATTCGTGCATGTGTGTGCATTCATGCATGTGTGTGCCTGTGTGAGTGTGTGAATGTGTGTATGTAAGGGTGTACATTGTATGTGAATGTGTATGTTTATACATGTGTGTGTTGATGCATGCTTATGTTACTGTTAATGAGCATGTGTATGTCACAAATAACATGGCTTTCATAACCCTTTAATAAGATATATAGCACTACTATTACGGACATTGTATACATAATTTTATCTATTTTTTATATCCTTCAAAAGATGCATTTAAAGAAAACAGACAAAGGATGATGGAAAAATTAAACGTGGAACCAGCCCATAGAACACAGCATTTTCTCTACAGAGTCATCAGTTCCCTCATGACTATTCGCTCTTTCATATCGTGGAAATAATGGTGCTTATTCTGCTCAGTTCACACTACATTGTAGGATTAAGTTGGACAACATATCCCGAAGCGCTGCATACGCTGTGAGTAACAGGTGAGCACAATGACGGTGATACTCAGCATTAGCTGCAGATGCTTTCTTGGGTCCTCCCTTCCTTGTAGGCAACAGTGGTCCCTGCCTGCCTGTCAATCAAACCCCCATTTCCCACTGGGCATTTAGCAGGATGCGTTTCATCCCCAGAAACCACATCCTGCTCAACTGTGATTCAAGAATACGCCCAAGCTCCTCTCATCCCCCATCACCTCCCAGATTTCCCTCTCCACCGCTCCCTCTTCGTTTGTTCAGGCACAGTTCACTGTCTGCCGCCTGCTGCATGCGGGGCTTAGGCCACACAACCGGGAGCACGATGGCTGTGGATTCTGCACTTTCTGAGTTTACGTTGCAGTAAACACATAAACTCATATAGGCGATCTCATGCTGTCCTTTACTCTCCCTGTGTGCATGGTTTTCACCCAGAGATTGGAAGTTCTTCAAGAAAAGAATCACATTTTGCATTTTTATATCCTTCACGGTATCAGCAGTTGTTTACTCATTCAATAAGTATTGAATATCTAATAACACATTGGACCTTGGGGATAAAATAATAACAAAAGATTGTTTTTTCTCTATTGCAACTAACTGCATAGTAGGAAATTTGATGTCTACACAGTCAATAATACAACAGAGAGGAGAGCTCTAAAATACAGGACGTGTGAGCCCCCCAGGGGAGAGAAGATGGAACGCTAACAGCCAGGGGGAGAGGGAGGAAGGCGCCGGCCCTCTGGGAGGAAGCGGCTCTGGAAGGAAGTGGCCTGCAATCTGAGGCCTCAGGATGAGAGGAGATGAGCCAGGTGAAGAGAAATAAAATTACATTCCAGGCAAAGAGGAATGAAATAGAGAACAGCACATCGTTTTAAAGAAATATTTAAGAAAGACAAGTTGCTTAGAGCGTATGATTTCAGAGTTGAGCAATTGATTCAGTCTTTATAAGACTTTATATGACTTTTATAAGATGCAGTAAGTCATTATTTAGAATAATGGTTGTCAATAATAAAGTTTCAAACTCAATAATTAGTTTTAAAACAATAAATTAATATAATAGCATTGTAATTTTTTGTTTGTTTCTTTGTTTGTTTGTAGAGACAAAGTTTTTAACTCCAAGGCTCAAGTGATCCTCCTACCTCGGACTCCAGAATCGCTGGAATTACAGCTGTAAGACACCATGTCTGGCCTGGCATTGTAATATGAACGCTTTTTTAGGGGGAAAATGTTGTGGTATAAAATCTCGCGGCCAGGCGTTTAAATGATGCCTTCAATGAACCGCCCTCTAGCAACAGCTCAGCAACATAGAGCTGGGAATTAGCAAGGCAAAGACCCCAGTGATATTCGGGGAATAAACACGTCCACACCATAGCTTTTCTCAACCTAATTTTATTCCCGGAGACAGGGTCTCCACACTTGGCTGCAATGACAACCACCAGAAATACCTTCCAGTCCTCATCAAGTCCTAGAACCAGTCATTCAAATTGCCGTGGGGAGTGACATCAACTCCCCACGAAAGTGAAAGCCGCCCAGGTGTTTGGATTCAAAGCACGGAGGAGTTCAGGGAAGCAAACAGACTCCTCGGCCTGGGACCCAGCACCCCCGCCTGAGCTTCCCACGCTTCCAGGCTTAGCCTCCTGTGTCCTCATTTGCAGAGTCGCAACCTAGCACGCCTGCCTGAGCTTCCAGGCTTAGCCTCATGTGTCCTCATTTGCAGACTCTCTTCTGGAGCCATCGGTGTCACCCCCCTCCGAGAGGTGACAGAGGTGACACCGTCCCTCTGCTCCCCTGGTGCGGCTGTTGCAGGACTCTGCACCTCCCACCAGGCAGCTCTCAGCCCTGTCCACTCGAAATGTTTCCTTCCTTACAGGAAAACTCATCTTCACGTGGGCGAGGAAAGGCCCACAGATATTTAAGACTGTCTCTACCAGTGTGTCTGTCGTGCTTTTTGGAAGCCAGGATGAGAAACAAGGGTTCCTGCCCTCAAAGAGCACATACTCAGACATCTCACCTGTTTCCAAAGCCCCAAGTGAGCAAAAGTGAAGCTCACCAGGCCTACAAACTCACTTTTCAAAGAGAATTTCCTGTCCCTTTCCCAGGGTCTTCTGTGGTTCTCCCAACATTCAGGTCTCCTAGCCCTGGCAACAGATTTGACTGATATCGACATCCACTTCTAAGTAGCCTGGTCTGGGTGTTCTCACCACACACCTGAGTGATTAACACAGACAGTAGCATATCACCTAAGGGACTCCCACCTCTCCACATCTGCCTCGGGGCACCCTGCTGGGATCCTCCTGCTCCCCAGCCCTGCCCCACCTCAGTCCCCGCCCTGTGCTTGGTGAGTTCCCCTTCTTGGCTGCCCAGGTTCCTCTTTCCTCAGCATCTCACTGTCCATCTGCCAGAAACCCCGGCTGCCTCTAACTCCAGAATATGGCCAGGTCGGTCAGCTCTCACCAGCTCTCCCTTCACCCACCTCCTGCTTCTGGGTGGCTAAGGAGCCCCTTCGCTGGTCCCGTTCTCCCTTCCTCCCTCTACCCGCCTGATCCTCCTGCAAACAAGAGGCCGAGGAAACATTGGCTGCATGTGACACTCCTCTCTCCTGTCCGTGCCCGGCCTGTGTGCTCTGCATGTGACACTCCTCTCTCCTGTCCGTGCCCGGCCTGGGTGCTCTGCATGTGACACTCCTCTCTCCTGTCCGTGCCCGGCCTGTGTGCTCTGCATGTGACACTCCTCTCTCCTGTCCACGCCCGGCCTGTGTGCTCTGCATGCGACACTCCTCTCTCCTGTCCCTGCCTGGCCTGTGTGCTCTGCATGAGCGCTCCTTCCTTTGCCTGCCTGCTCTCCTCTCTCCACCCACTGCGGTGGCTGTGTGCTTCTCCAGACACACCAGGCCACTCCTGCCCCAGCGGCACCTGCCTCTCCATCCTCCAAACACCCACCAGGCTCCCTCCCTTCTTTCCAGTCCATTCTCCAAAGGCCCTTCTCACCGAGGTCTCTCCTGGGCATGGCCTTAGATCTCTCACCCACCCCAGCCCTCCCAGACCCTCTTCTTCTGCCCTAATTTTGCACATAGCTCTTGCACCCACTGAGCACTGTAACGGCAAGCCCATCTGATGGCTGTCCACCTTCCCTGAGCTGACATGAGCTCTCTGAAGACTCGAGATCTTCTGCCTGCTCGGTTCACTGCTTTATCCCTGGCATGCAGAGCCAACTATTAATCACCACCATCAACACATAGGATGTGGCCTCTGTGAGCGTTTTGCCTCTATTTTTCCAGTTCATCCTCATGATAAATTCCAGACGTGAGTTTTGGAGTTTCCTCCCCATTGTACAGATGAGGAAGGAAGGCTGAGAGATTAGGTGACCTGGCCCAATTCAGGACATGCAGGAGGTCTGCAGACCCAAGATGGCCCCGACCCCTTCACTCTTGGCCTGATCCAGCCCCTTCCGCACAGCATCCTCCTTGAATCTTTTGCTTCAAGCACAATTATTATAAATATGCACCCAGCCTTTTTATTTTATTTAAGTTCTGGGATACATGTGAAGGATGTGCAGGTTTGTTACACAGGTAAACATGTGCCATGGTGGTTTGCTGCACCTGTCAATCCATCACCTAGGTATTAACCCCAGCATGAATTAGCTATTTATCTTGATGCTTTCCCTCCGCATGCTGACCCCCCTACACAGGCCCCAATGTGTGCTGTTCCCCTCCCTGTGTCCATGTGATCTCATTGTTCAGCACCCACTTACAAGTAATAGCGTGCAGTGCTTGGTTTTCTCTTCCTGGAATACACACCCAGCCTTAAAAACCTTGACTTGCCAAAGGAAAATACATTCTTCTGACGATGACGCAGGAGTGGGGTTTCCATCAGGCCATCAGCCTCCACCCTGGACTCCACCACTGTGTGCTCCGCCCAGCATGCCTAATTCCAACAATTCAAACAGAAGAGTGGCTATTGTAATTGTTTGTTATTCTAGAAGACAGAACAGGACCAGTGGATGGACATTAGAGAATGGCAGCTTTAAACTTAGCACAGGGAAGCAAAACAGACCCACACGATTTTCAAGCTTCCAGGATTTTCAATTCCCTCAAAGGCCCCACGTCACAAACTCATTTTCGGATCTGCTTCCTCCTCTAAATGTGCTTTGCTAGATGTCCGTGTTGTAGGTATGGTCAAAGGAAATTACATGTATTTAGTTCTAGGACACCACTTACATTTTAAGATTTTAAGATGTGCCATAGAGTCAGTGACAGGGGGAATGGGCACTTGGTTTTAAAAGTCTTGATTCCAGCTTGATGACCATGCAGAGAAGTCGGATCTTAGGGTCAGGTTGTAGCATCTGACATACACATTGTACGTATTTTTCAACTTTTCCTTATGTCTCTTTAGCATGTAACACACTCTCCACTTGTGAAGGAAATCACACAAACACTCCTTTATCTAAAGAGTCGATGTCTTCACTGCCTGCTTTAGATCTTCTTTTTTTTTTTTTTTTTTTTTTTTTTGAGACGGAGTCTCGCTCTGTCGCCCAGGCCGGACTGCGGACTGCAGTGGCGCAATCTCGGCTCACTGCAAGCTCCGCTTCCCGGGTTCACGCCATTCTCCTGCCTCAGCCTCCCGAGTAGCTGGGACTACAGGCGCCCGCCACCGCGCCCGGCTAATTTTTTGTATTTTTAGTAGAGACGGGGTTTCACCTTGTTAGCCAGGATGGTCTCGATCTCCTGACCTCATGATCCACCCGCCTCGGCCTCCCAAAGTGCTGGGATTACAGGCGTGAGCCACCGCGCCCGGCCCTAGATCTTCTAATGTCCTATTATTTGTTAGTTAAAATACTCACGTATTTCATAAATATCTGAAATACGCCCTGGGAACAGGAGTGTACACACGCATTCATTCTCTGAACTTCCCAGTCTAAGGTGTAAGGTCCGTTGCTAATTAGCACAATAAAAACGGCAGCCACAGAGGCGAGCTAAGTGCCTAGAATCACAACTGCAGCCTGCGTTTCCTGACTTCTTTTATATTTTATCCATGTAGAGTTTAATTGAAGTGGCCTCAGTTATTAGGGAAGAATAATGCCCTAATTATACCATAACCTACACAGTTTAGTCAAATACGGCAGTGCCAGGATCTTGTGTTAATGAAAGTGTTCCACAGCTGGCAGGTTTTCCTGGACTCGGTTTAGGGAGGCTGAGGAGGAAACTGGCTCCAGAGGAAGCTCACAGACTCTGTGATCAGCATTCATGGGAACCTCCTTCCACACGCTGTCTCTCCCCACGCGGGCAGATCACCTTACGCTGGGGAGCAGGTTGTATTTTCTCAAATCCGTGGCTCTAACATGCGAAGAGAAATCAATTTGTCTGCGTATGACATTGCTCAGTAGGTAACTTATGAAATGACCAAAATGATTGAATCTGCTCAGGAGAATAACTAGGACATGATCGTTCTGCTCGGGCCGGTGGCTCTGGCTCTGGTGGCTCTGCGTCCTGCCAGGGATGGGCTGATGTCAAGAAGGGAAGCGGGGCACTGCGGTGCCTTCCACGTAATTCGATTCTCCATTTCCCTTAACTCAATTCCCAGGAATCCAATTCCTTGAAATAAGCTGTCCTTTATGTTCTGAGATAGGCTTTAATCACTTTTACTTTGTTTTGTAATGTTTAATTCCATCAAGATGGATTGAAACCGTCTGTGGAAATAAATGCCTTTTTAAAGCTAGTAGCAGAGGCGGCACTCGCCGTCGACAGGAGACGGTGTCTTTTCCTTCCCTCTCTGCCCTGGCTTAGGCTTTCCTGTCGGGGTTTCATTTCCAGGAGGATGTTTATAGGGTCTGCACTGTCTCTAAGCAGCCTGTCTGCTGATGAGTAAAAACGCTTTCCTACAAACTGACCCTGAGGGATTTGCCTAATTTCTTTTTTTTTTTTTTTTTTTTTTTTTTTTGAGATGGAGTTTTGCTCTTGTCGCCCAGGCTGCAGTGCAGTGGCGTGATCTCGGCTCACTGCAACCTCTGCCTCACAGGTTCAAGCGATTTTCCTGCCTCGGCCTCCTGAGTAGCTGGGATTACAGTCGTGCACCACCACATCCGACTAATTTTGTATTTTCAGTAGAGACGGGGTCTTGAACTCCTAACCTCAGATGATCCGCCCTCCTCGGCCTCCCAAATTGCTGGGATTACAGGCATGAGCCAGCGTGCCTGGCTTGCCTAATTTTTTTCAGAAGTGGTTCAGGCGATAAATGAGGCTCCACGCTGGAAAGTGAGTTCTCTTGTGTGGGGTAAACGGGTCGGCCGGAGGAGGAAGGGATGCCCGGAGGGACGGATTTTTCACAGGCAGGTTCACACAGAACACGGACGGGTCTGAGGGTGCAGGGTGCAGGGCGGGCGTGTGTGTGTTCAAGGAAGGGAAGAAGAGGAAGGGCATTTAGAAAGCCCCGGGCACACCTCACTGCACGTTACCCCAGGACGCAGTGGCTCAATAGCAGCCATTTTATCACCTGTCCGGGTTTCTAGGTAGGAACTCAGGCGGACTCACCTGGTGAGGTCTCTGTTTCCCCTAAAGCAGTGGGTGATGCTCAGCCGCTGCAGGGGCTGGACTGGAGGGTTCGGGACAGCGTCATTCACATGTCTGGTGCCCTGTGGGGAAGGAGGCTGCAAGGTGCACGGGCCCAGATGGGGCCTGCAGGTGCCTGCAGGAGGCCTCGGGCAGTCAGAGTTCCTCAACGGCGCTCAGCACTGAGGGAGTGCAGGTTCCAGCCAACAACACAAAGTGAGGCGGTTTCTAAGCCCCCACGGTCACTTTGACGGCCCTCTGGGTGGGAAGCCCAACCGGTCCAAGGGGACGAGGGACACAGACACCCTTTCGACAGGGCCACATAAGAAACCATCCCCACTGAGCCCACAGAGGCTGGAACGCAGGCGCGGGAGAGTAGGAGCAACGCTGGCAGGTGTGGGTGGTCTCACAGAGGCTCTCACAGAGGTCACACCTGACAAAGCCAGGCTGGGAGGCAAGGACAGAGGAGCGTGTCCAAGGCTGGCCCCAGGGCCTGACACACGTGGCCCACGGTGCTGGAAGACACAGACCTAGGGATCCAGGGAGACACTGGGGAGCCTCCTCAGGCACGGGGGTGAGGCCGGCAGTGGACGCAGCAAGGGGTCGGGGTCTCGCAGTGGCCACAGCTCCGGTGGAGCCACCCAGCCCCACACACGGAGCGCCGGCAGCGTCAGCTCTGGGTCCCTCTAATTAATCCAAGCGTTTCTCAAGCACCAGGTCCTGGGAAGCACGTGGCTGAGGGAGCTTCCCTTGGTGGTTAAAGGGCAGCTCCACACTCTGGGGGTGCAGAGAGACCTCCCTGAATCTCCACTCACTGGCTGCTAAGGAGGGGACAATGACCCAGCAACCCAGTGGCTTTGAGGAGCACGTTACCAAAATATTCATTACGGAATACAAGAAGGGCCAAGTGGGGTGTCGCCAGCTCTGGGAAAAGGAGTTGAAGAACTTGGAGTCTGATGTCCAAAGGCAGGAAGCTTCTGGCACGGGAGAAAGACAAAGGTGGGAAGACTCAGCAAGCCAGCTCCTTCCACCTTCTTCTGCCTGCTTTTTCTAGCCGCGCTGGCGGCGATTGGATGGTGCCCACCCCAACTGGGGATGATCTTTTCTCTCCCAGTCCATTATAAAGGCATTTCAAAGAGCAAATTATAACATTACATCACAAAGACCTTACGAAAGTTTTTTGGGTTTTTTTTGGTTAACTCTTCACTTATTTATCTTTTTTATAGGTTGATTTTTCTCCCTAATACTTAGAAATCAGTATTGCATTTTATGCAGAATCCTCACTTCCTGATATTAGTTTGAACAGAATGCAACTTCTCCCCTTACAAATTAGCATCTGTTTTATACATTAATATGCATACTCCAGTATGTATGGACATGCATTGCCCAACTCAGAAAGAGCATCAGATTTCCGTTGAACTACGGTCTGCGGTTTACTGCCGTGTCATAAACCACCCCAAAACGACTGACCTTAATCACAACTCGAGTCAATGGGGGTGGTTCAGCCAATAAGGCAATAGGGTTGGTTCAGCCAATCAGTCAATGGGGGTGGTTCAGCCAATCAGTCAGCCTGGGCTGGTTCATGCCTCTGTGGTCAGCTGACAGGTGGCGTTGGGACTGAGGGGTTCAGGATGGCCTCACCCACGTGTCAGAGGGTAGCCTGGAGCCTGCCTGGGCAATGCGGTAACTAGGTCACATGACTTAACACCCAACAAGCTAGTCTGGCCTGTGCACGTGATCACGGCAGCCTCATAAAAGAGAGCAAAGCCATACACATGCCCTTCAGGGCCAGTGTTTGGACAGGCACAAAGTCAACTCCACCTCTTTCTGTTGAACAGAGTAAATCTCAGGGCCAGCCTTGACTCGGGGCTGGAGAAACAGACTTGGACTTTTGATGGTAAGAATGCAAATAGCATGGACATGTGGAAGCGGGAAACACAATGAGCCTCGAAGGCCACGAGCAGGCGGCAAGGCGCTCACTGACTCCATTTATACGAAGCTTCAGGACAGGCAAAACTAACCAATGACGAGAAATGCCGAGGGGTGGCTGCCTCAAAGGCAGGGGCCGAGTCATGAGCAAGGGGATGAGGATAACTTTCTGGACTTGTAGAAATGCAATGTCTCTGGATTAGAGTGATGAGGATATAAACATAAATTTGTCAAAATGTATCAGACTGTACAATTCTAATCTATATATTTTACTGTATGAAAATTATACCTTACTGTTTTAGAAGATGCTTGATAGAAAAATAACACTGGCAGCTATCTATGCATTTGTTTGGAATCTACTCCATTTGGCAAAGGCCACACACACACACACCACAGGCATTTTTGAAAAATGCCTTTAATTCTAGATTTGGGTCTGTTTCAGGCATTTCGGATGGTTTTGGGATACCACCCTTAGGGTGCTGGAAGCTCTTCTTTCTGGCTGAGAGGCTGAATCGCACTTTTGCTTTGCTACCTTAGAGGTCTGAAACCAGCCTTGGAGCTGTGCCCTTGATTTGATCTGTGTTCCCCACTTGCTTTCTGGTTTTCTGGTTTGGATTTTTTAGGATATTTTACTGGATGAGGAGACTGAAATGAGTTTTCTCATACAACCCTACAAGCACTGGCCTCTGGGTGTCCCCTCTCGATTCTGCTGCCGACGGCGGCGCTCATGTCCTCCCCTGTCCTGCACCACCAGGAGAACTCGGCCGAAACGCTGACTGCTGGAGCTCGCCTTTGCCAGATGAAGCTCCTCAGCTTCACTCTATCTCCCCTGACAGTTCTGCGGTTGTCGTGGGTCTACCCTGCAGGCATCTACCCTGCCTGGGGTCCACAACAGCTTCTCTGAAGGGTGCCAGTCCCCGCTCGCTGCCATTTCATTTGCCACCCACCACCCTGTCCACGGCCCATCAACAGCAGGTGTTTTAGGTTTTGTGATGACAGTAACCAACTTTAGCAGACCAATTTCTATATCAGCTGTGCATTGCTGTTCCTCAAACCACCCGAGAGTACTTACTTCCGTGCAGACTGGAAGCTGTTCGGCGAGCAATGGGGGCCGGGACTGCCTTCCCACACTTGAATCTCCAGGACCTTCCAGCATACCTGGAATACAGTAATACGCAATAAATATTCTATGAATGTAAGATGAATGAGCCATTCTTGGCTATTGACAAGGAAATAAGCCATGAGCAATGCCTGGGATCTGCATGATTCCATTCAAATCAGCAGGTTCCATATGCCATTCGGACTGAATGAAAATCAGAAGACACAAGTGTTTGCTCTGAAAACCATTTTTTTGTTTTAATGCGCTGAGCTATTAGTCTGTGTTGGGAAGAAAAAGGCAGACTTTTGGTCAAGTGTGACCTAATAACATAAAAAAAATTTTTTCTAACCTCGAAAAGGAAGAAACATCATCGGCATGTTATTTCTGCAAGTCCTGCCTTAAAAAAAACTTCAAATGAATTATTGGAAAGGAGAAAACATAAAATATCTTAAATAAAACAGTTTCCCAGAAAAGTATGCATAAAATTGTGTGTGTATGTATATGTGTGTATAGTATATGTGTGTGTATTTGTGTGTATATATGTGTATGTATATATATGTGTATGCATATGTGTGTATAGTATATGTGTGTGTATGCATGTGTATATGTGTGTATATATGTGTGTATGTATGTGTGTATACTGTGTGTGTATGCATGTATGTGTGTATATATGTATATGTATGTGTGTATAGTGTGTGTATGTGTGTATATATGTATATGTGTGTATAGTATGTGTGTATGTGTGTATGCATGTATGTGTATATATGTGTGTGTATGTGTGTATAGTATATGTGTGTGTATGCATGTGTATGTGTGTGTATATATGTATGTATGTGTGTATAGTATGTGTGTGCATGTGTGTATGTGTGTATATATGTATATGTGTGTATAGTGTGTATGTGTGTGTATGCATGTGTGTATGTATATGTGTGTATAGTGTGTGTGTATATATGTGTGTATGTATATGTGTGTATAGTATGTGTGTATGTGTGTGTATGCACGTGTGTGTATGTATATGTGTGTATAGTGTATGTGTGTGTGTGTGTGTATGCCTGTGTGTGTAGGGGGAAGTCAAGGGAGGAGGATGTGATTTAGGAATGTATCATCTACAATAGGAAATACTAACCAATAATTAAATCAGGAGAATAGATTCTATTTTATGTAAAGTTTATTTCAGCAAATGTTTAGCCAACTCCAGCTGTCAATATAATTATAGATATGGTCACCGAATCCTGGCTATTAAATCTACATTCCAAATTTGTAATTTTCAAAATGTCTTCCATAAGTAGCATGAACTAGAGCTAAAGACATAAAGTTTAGTAAGTTATATCATGGCAACACTCATCAATAAGTCAGAAAGCTTGGAATTAAAGAACTTAAATTTCCATTTAAAATAGTGTTTGAGAAATGCTACATCTCACAAATATTCTGTTTCTAGTTAAACAACTTACCGATGCAAATGCTTTCATCCCTTTTTAATGAATAAATATGTGTTTAAAAATCTGTTCAAATAGCTTATTGTCGTTAAGCTCTACATTTTAATGTGCCTATGCAACGGCTGTGGTGTTAATCAGAATAGTGAGTGAATCTCAGCTGCCAAGATGCTTGCCTGGGGTATCATTTATTTTCATAAGAAATATAACATTTCTGTTCAAACGGGCCATCTGTTCTGAACTCCTCACAAGATTAAAAGATGAGTAGAGTGTTTTGTCATTTCATCTCTGCCCTTCGTAATCCTTTCACCCTCACCAGTAATGCACGAAGAGTCCTAAGTTTAGAGTCCCACATTACCTATGCATTTTGCTTTGATAATTAAACTCAACTTGGGAAAGTTGTACAAAAATATTTGTTAAATGGATACGGGTCTCGGTCTAACTGCTTACGTCACAAGCAGTGAGAAACCTAAAAGAAACCTTCCTCTTCTTGTATTGTGAAGGCTCCGTCTACCACCTGGCCTGGCCTCATGCCTGATGTCCACACACTCCACACTGGGCCCCTCCTTCCTGGGGGCCGCTGTGTCCTGCCTGGGCTGCCGTGACACGGTGTCCCAGGCTGAGCGGCTCAAACCACAGGAATTCCTTTCCTCGCAGTCCCGGAGGCTGGAAGTCCCAGATCCAGTTGTGGACAGGGCTGGTTCCTCCTGAGGCCTCTCTCCTCGGCTTGTGATGCTGTGTTGTCCCTGTGTCCTCACAGCCTCTGTCTCTTCGTGTCTGTGTCCTAAACTCCTCTTCATATAAGGTGGTGGGTCAGATTGAATCAGGGCCACCCATATGACCTCACTTAGCCTTACTCAACTCTTTAAAGGCCCCGTCTCCAAAGACAGTCACACAGTCACATGAGAGGCTTCAACACTGGTTTGAGAGGGACACCGCTCAGCCGTAACGGCCGCTCCCCCCATCGGCGAGGGCAGAAGGAGACATCTGACAGGGCTTGTGTTCTCCTCGAGGAGTTCAGCCTGGTGGGGAGGTCCCTGTGTCTAAATGTGTGAATGGACTGCAAGCACGCTTGCGACCGTAATTATCCAACCTGATGTGAAAGCAAGGCACACAGAAACCTCCTGTAGGGACCTGGAAGTCTTCACGAAGACCTTGGCACTTGAGCTGTGTTTTTAGGATGCCTGCTGAATGCAGGAGGGCAGTTAGGGTCGAGGGAAGCTGGCTCGCTCAGGGACAAAGGGTTAAAGGGTGTGTTGCTATTGGGTGAGTTAAATGGTGTGTTGCTATCCCAGGGTCCCCAGTGAACCAAGACTCCAGCTTACCTTTGACCCTGATGTGTCCCTGAGTTCTGCCTCAACAAAGAGAACAAGGCCAAAGCAACCCTGGGCTGGGTCTGGACGTACGTAAGCCCTAGGAGGGCCGGGCAGCTCCTACCTTAGCCATCTGGGGGAAGCCCATTGCCACTGAAGAATCCCACTGCCCTGGAACTGCCTCCTGGAGAAGGACTCAGCTCCTCGCCCACAGCCAGCGCCAACACAGCAGCCCTGTGGGTGGGATCATATCAGAAGTGGATCCCCCAGCCTCAGCTGGCCCCCCAAAGAGCAGTGAGCAGGGAATGTGGTTAATGCTCTAAACCATGAATTTAGAAGTAGGCGGCAGAAGCCAAGGGAAAGTCACGGTAGAAATGAGGAACACAGGGCAACGCACATGGCTGAAACCAAAGCTCCAGCTTCTCCCTTCAGTTGATGGCAAAGTTAAAACCACAGTATGGCAAAATGGTAGCGATAATAACAATAACGGTATATGAAAGCAGGTAAATTATGCAAACCAATAGCTGATATTAGGAATTCTCAGCCTCTTTGCCATGTGAACACCCTGCTGTTGTTCCCAGTGCTGTGGACGCAGTGAGGTGTCATCTTATGCTGTGATCATAAACTGTGTTCTTACCAAACAGATGGCCTGTATTCAGGCGCTGTGCCTAAAGTTTTCTATTCCCCCATAGCTATAGTGTAAGGAGTTTGCTTAGGAATTGAAAAAAGTGTATTTTAAATGTGGTAAACAAACTCACCCCTCCAAACCCAAAGAATGGACTAGAGACCTGGAGAGGAGCAAAAGTGAGACTTTAAACGACAGCCTTGAAAGATCGGGTGTCTGGTGGGCAGGCACATCCAGCACGGTTACAACAAGCCATTTATCCCCTACTGCGCAGATCCCTCCCCGGTTCCTCATAGGCTGAGTACTACGGGGTCACAATCCTCCCAGACATCGCCTGTTGGTTGTTGGGTAGGGGCTGTAGGGTGCAGGCTCCTCCCCTGGTTTCTCATAGGCTGAGTACTACGGGGTCACAGTCTTCCCAGACATCACCTATTGGTTGCTCGGCAAGGGGTGTAGTGTGCAGGTCCCTCCCCCGGTTCCTCACAGGCTGAGTACTGTGGGGTCACAGTCTTCCCAGACATCACCTATTGGTTGCTGGGCAAGGGGGGTAGTGTGCAGGTCCCTCCCCCGGTTCCTCATAGGCTGAGTACTGTGGGGTCACAATCTTCCTGGATGTCGCCTGTTGGTTGTTGGGTAGGGGCTGCTGGGCACAGGTCCCTCCCTCGCTTCCTCATAGGCTGAGTACTGTAGGGTCACAATCTTCCTGGATGTCACCTATTGGTTGTTGGATAGGGGCTGAAGGGTGCAGGTCCCTCCCCCAGTTCCTCATAGGCTGAGTACTATGGGGTCACAATCCTCCCAGATGTCACCTGTTGGTTGCTGGGCAGGGGCTGTAGGGTTGTCCTGCTGCATTTTGTCACAGCCCACAATTCACTGCAATCCTAGTCAGCTCAGGGGCTCTTCAAGTATTTGACTTAAGACCTAAGTAGCTGGGCAGGCTGATAAGAACAAACAAAACGAGCTATTTTGCAGGCTAGTAAACTTTCATCTTAGACTAAACATCTTTGGTTGGGGTGAGGGCAACTAAGAGCGGGTGAAGGCAGGGAGGCCAACAAGCAGGCATCGGTGATGCAAGCACAGGCCTAGTCTCTCCTGTTTTTTCTGTAGTTTTGCTGACCTAAGCCCACTTAAGGCACTTTGTCTTGGAAATGGACCGCTGTATACATTATCTCCTTCATAAAGAAACTCAGTGATTCCAGAAAGTCACCCAGGCAGGCATGTCTCTAAGGAGCACCTACCACACAGGAGACACGCTGCTCAGGACCCACCCCTCCTAAAGCACATGGATTCCAGAGCGAGGCACACACAGGGTAATTACCAAGGAACTGGATTATTAAAAACAACGGCAAAATCGGAGGTGCATCCTCACATCCTTGGCAGAAGTAAGGGAGTAGAAGCCTCCATAGTTACTCCAGGCTCGCCTGACACACGGTGATACTGAGCCACCGTGCTCCTCACCCTTAGGGCTGGACTGTCAGCGTTTTGCTAACATTCTCGAAGATCCAGCATCCACCTGCGATGGAGTGCGTCTACCTGAGTCACTCCTGGTCCTGATCTACCTAACCCTCCTCCTGATCCACCTGACCCTCCTCCTCATCCACCTCCTCCTGATCCACCTGACCCTCCTCCTGATCCACCTCCTCCTGACCCAACTGACCCTCCTCCTGATCCACCTGACCCTCCTCCTGATCCAACTGACCCTCCTCCTGATCCACCTGACCCTCCTCCTGATCCACCTAACCCTCCTCCGTTGCAGTGAGCCTCTCTTCACCCTGATGTCCACAGCAAGCCACCAAGGCAGCCTCTCACCTCCTGCCCTCCCACCTCCGACCATCTTGCTGCCCTGGGATCCATCACTATCACGGCGGAGCACAGAGGCAGCTGGATCAGGGTGTAAGGCAGGGCAGGGGGCTAAGAGGGGAGTTGTGCATGGAGAGACACACAGGCCACAGTGAGGACATGGTTCCTATTGGTGAGAAGCTCTTGCCGGGTTCTAACCAGAGGAATCACTTGTTCTTCCACTGTTTTACAGGGTGCCCTCCAGCTGCTGCCCTATGCAAATGACCTCAGGTAGTCAGGCGAATCCTCTCAGGCCAAAGACGCAGCAGTACACCACCTCTGTACTCAGTGAATGGTTAATTAATATTCCATAGGCAATACAAATATTGCTAGAGGACTTCCAGAACAACTGAACTACCAGCCGGCAACATTTTCTTAGGTCTATTCACCACCTTAATAAATGCTAGAAAGAGGCCGGGCGCAGTGGTTCATGCCTGTAATCCCAGCACTTTGGGAGTCTGAGGCGGGCAGATCATGAGGTCAAGAGATCAAGACCATCCTGGCCAACATGGTGAAACTCCATCTCTACTAAAAATACAAAAAATTAGCCAGACATGGTGGTGGTCATCTGTAATCCCAGCTACTCTGGAGGCTGAGGCAGGAGACTCGCTTGAAACCGGAAGGCAGAGGTTGCAGTGAGCCGAGATCGCACTACTGCACTCCAGCCTGGGCAACAAGAGTGAAACTCCATCTCAAAAAAAAAAAAAAAAATCTCTACCAAAAATACAAAAATTAGCCAGGCGTGGTGGCAGGCACCTATAATCTCAGCTACTCAGGAGGCTACTGCAGGAGAATCGCTTGAACCTGGGAGGTGGAGGTTGCAGTGAGCTCCAGCCTGTGCAACAGAGTGAAACTCCATCTCAAAAAAAAAAAAAAAGCTAGAAAGAACAAAGGAAATCCAGTCCCACAGCTGCTATAAAAACCTCTATAAATATATTTTGTTTCAGAGATCAAATAAAATTTAAAAATCAGAGATTGCAAACAAACAGAAAACGCAGAGAAATATCAGCTCCATGAAAACATTCCGTAGCAGAAGAGGAGAGAAAATTGCATGGAAGAAAAGCATTAGTTAGAAAATTACTTAATATTGAAAAAAGCAAGTATTGAAAAAAAATTCGGCTGAGCACCTCCAATTACACACCAAATGACCACCCTCCAAGTAGGAAGCCAAGAAGGGTAGAGGCACGTGGATCAGCCACATCGGTGTGACCTTGTGTCCTGGCTGCCTGGAGTCACACAAGCTTCCAAACTTACAAGATATGACCTTGGGCAAGTTATTTAATTCCTCGAGGCCTTGATGTCCTCATCTGTAAAATAGGGCTAGTAATCTTCCTGTCTAGCAAGGTGTTTTGGATATAAAGTGAGTTAATAAACAAAAGCACTAAGAACAGTGTCTGGCACTTCATATCCACTCAGAAAGTATTGGCTGTTATTACTGTTATCCATATGAAATATTCAATATTGTCTGGGACTTTTAAAGTAGCTGAATGGGAGAAGAAAAGTGATCAAGGAAGCCAGAACAAAATCCTAGAATTAAAATTAAGTACTAGAGATTTAAAATATTCAATATATAATTCAGAGAAAACACTTGACAAGTTTTTACAAATTCAAAGGAATAACACAAAGTAATTTTCTTTAATTATAGAAAAAAATATATAAAGAGAAAGTAAAAGGAAGTCTAACCCAGGAATCATTGATCTTCTCTTTAAGGAAACATTTTTTTAAAAGTGAAACAGAAACAAGACAACTGAAACAAAATTCTAAATGGAAAAAAAAAAAACAGAAACAAAAAAAAAAACCTCTTTCCGCTGGGGGCAAAAAAAATTCTGATCTACAGGCTCAATATGCTCCAGGTGAATTATTTTGAGACATGAACTACCACTCACATCTTGACAAAACGACTGGATTTCAAGTTAAAAACTGAAAGCTTTCCTGGATGAGAACAAATAAAAATGCAGAAGTGTAAACTCAGGAATGTATTAATGAGCATCGGTACTGAGGGAACAACTATAAAATAAAGCATTTTATACACACGCACATTTTTATTATAACATTTGGAAATGTTGACTTTAATAGGCATCCTTTTTTCACTTAAGATGACCTCTTATTTGAGTTAGAAACAATATTGGTAGCTCCTAAATCACAGCCAAGGAGCAGAGAAACCACAAACAATGCAGCAATTAATTCAACTATAATGATAAATATGAAATATTTAAATGATTCTATTAAATAGAAAAAACATCAAGGAAAATGATGGCACGTTGTAAGCTTCCAAAATCCCATTCCATAAAGAAAAAGAAGAGGCTGGACACAGTGGCTCACCCCTGTAATCCCAGCACTTTGGGAGGCCAAGGCGGGTGGATCACTTGAGGTCAGGAGTTCAAGATCAGTCTGGCCAACATGGTGAAACCCTGTCTCTACTAAAAATACAAAAATTAGCCGGGCATGGTGGTGGGTGCCAGCTGTAATCCCAGCTACTTGGGAGGTTGAGGCAGGAGAATTGCTTGAACCCAGGAGGTGGAGGTTGCAGTGAGCCAAGACCACGCCATTGCACTCCAGCCTGGGCGACAGGAGTGAAAATCTGTCTCTAAAAATAAAAAAAAAAAAGAAAAAAGAAAAAGAAGAATGGGTTACTGGTATACACATATGCCAAAATGTATCAAATTTTGGATTTTATATATGAGTTTCTTATACAGCACTTATACCCCAATAAAACTTTTTCTTTAAAAAAACACAAGATGGGAGAAAATTTTTGCAATCTACTCATCTGACAAAGGGCTAATATCCAGAATCTACAAAGAACTCAAACAAATTTACAAGAAAAAAAACAAACAACCCCATCAAAAAGTGGGCAAAGGATATGAACAGACACTTCTCAAAAGAAGACATTTATGCAGCCAACAGGAACATGAAAAAATGCTCATCATCACTGGCCATCAGAGAAATGCAAATCAAAACCACAATGAGGTACCATCTCACACCAGTTAGAACGGCGATCATTAAAAAGTCAGGAAACAACAGGTGCTGGAGAGGATGTGGAGAAATAGGAACACTTTTACACTGTTGGTGGGACTGTAAACTACTTCAACCATTGTGGAAGACAGTGTGGCGATTCCTCAGGGATCTAGAATTAGAAATACCATTTGACCCAACCATCCCATTACTGGGTATATACCCAAAAGATTAAAAATCATGCTGCTGTAAAGACACATGCACACGTATGTTTATTGCGGCACTATTCACAATAGCAAAGACTTGGAACCAACCCAAATGTCCAACAATGATAGACCAGATTAAGAAAATGTGGCACATATACACCATGGAATACTATGCAGCCATAAAAAAGGATGAGTTCATGTCCTTTGTAGGGACATGGATGAAGCTGGAAACCATCATTCTCAGCAAACTATCGCAAGGACAAAAAACCAAACACTGTATGTTCTCACCCATAGGTAGGAATTGAACAATGAGAACACATGGACACAGGAAAGGGAACATCACACACTGGGGCCTGTTGTGGGGTGGGGGTAGGGGGAGGGATAGCATTAGGAGATATATCTAATGCTAAATGACGAGTTAATGGGTGCAGCACACCAACATGGCACATGTATACATATGCAACAAACCTGCACATTGTGCACATGTACCCTAAAACTTAAAGTATAATTTAAAAAAAAACAACACAAGAATAGGTTAAGCCATCATCTTTAAATGTATGTTTTCAGGCAAAGTTTATGCCAGAAACGTCAAGTGATGTCTGCAGGATTGAGGCAGCAGAGTGGGTAACAGAACTGCCAAGATGCCGGACCACAGCCAGCAAACAAGTGGCTCCAGGCTGCTGTCTGGTTTTCTGGGTGGCAAGGGCTGGGAGAGAGCCCAGGATCCCACTCAAGGAGAACAGCGGGACTGCAGCCACCCTCACCCACACCCCACCATCCTACAGGACAGTGCACCCCTGCCGAGGGCACCAAGGGGAGATCTTACAGGACTGCAGCCCCCCTCACCCCCACAAACCCCACCGTCCCGCAGGACGTGCCCCTGCAGAGGGTACCAAGGGGAGGTCCTACAGGACTGCAGCCCCCCTCACCCCCACAAACCCCACCATCTCGCAGGACAGTGCACCCCTACAGAGGGCACCAAGGGGAGGTCCCGCAATGAGAGAGCTCCAGGAATCTCTCGGCTCTACCAAATGGGAGACTGATGAATCTGCGGGATGAGAAAAGGAGAAAGTTATGCGCTTAGAGGGTACATGGCAGCCCCCAGTCTGCCTCACTCCGGACCCCATGCTTCAGGCCAATACAGGGACTCCAGATGGCACGGAATCATGCCTCTCAGCAACGCTGGGCTACACACCACAGTGAGTCCTATTCCCAGAAGTCAAAGCCCATTCCCCAGAGGCGAGAGCTGAGGAAGTCCAGAAGACAGCACAAGCCCCGGGTCAGCAGAGGCCACTCCACTCTCCCTCGGACAGTCATGGTAGACTGGACGGTTGGCTGCAGAAGACGGTGCCGCTGGCTGAACAGGGAATGGGCTGTGTTGTCAACAACACTTCCTGCTGTGTTTGGATTCATGCCACCAGAAAGGCTGAACAATTCACATCCCACAAGCAAGAAGCTACACGGTGACCAGGAACAAGATGACCATCCCCTCTGTGGGGGGCTCCCTTGGATGGGTCCTGGGTGCACAGCCCAGGTCAGAACCATAGGCTGGCTGCATGCTGCTGCCTGTGAGTCTGCTGACAAAAACCCTCATCAAATGAGACCCAGTGCTGGGTCTAAGCTGAGGACCTGATCAGAGGACATCCCTGTGAAAATCCGAGTTCTGCTGAGGACATGTAGGACCACGGGGTGGGAGGGTGAAAGTGGCCCTGCAGGCCCCTGATGATTGATCCAAATCTCCAGGCTCAGCTGCCCCAGCCCTGAGCCCTCCCTGTAGCTCGTCACGCAAGCATTCAGTAATCTAGACTGACAGCTCATGACGACTTATTCCCAGGAGGTGGCCTGGGTGGCTGTCAGAGGGACTGACGCCTTGGCCCGGGTTGCTCCCCTGGGTACAGCTCACTCCATGGCAGCCACTGTCTGGACCTGGCTATTGCATGCTGGGGCCTCTGGTCTCCCTGTGCCCCGAGCAGTGAACCGTCTTCCTCTTGCTCTGACCCCTTGAGTCTCATCGTCCACTTCCGGCCCGGGTGAAGCTGCGGCCGCCGACCTGCCTGCTCCTTTCCCTGGGTCCTCTGGGGTCTTGTCACTCCTCCTCTGTGCCCTCCGGCTGTTCCCCAACAAAGCTCATTGCTACTCTTCCATCCTTATGTTTGCAAACAGGAGAAACCGGCTTTAAAAAGACTGTAAAATAACCAATATCATTTCAGGTAAATCCAAGATTGAAAGTTGAAGCAAAAGATAAGATGATGACAAAAACTGTTTCTAGATTTTCTTTACCTGCTGTTGAAGTCAATGCCAGACGCAACACACAGGGGCAGGTAAGGAGCCATCTCTCTTTTTCAGTTCTGAGCTTTGTTGTATTTTTTATATTTTCCTAGAAGTTTGTGGGAAGTTGCATGAAAAACGTTCAGGATCTTCAGCTTTTTCCTGACTTCTGACCATTCCTCCATTTCTATAATAGACTTTCTGAAACGTCCATTGTCTCTTGGCTTCTATATGGCTCCATCTTTATTTCTAAAACAGCTGCGTCTTTTTCTTCAATTTCCTTTCTGAGTTTGGTCACTTCCTATTCTACATCCCCTTATTCTGACATCCCTCCTGGTGCCTGGCTATCTCTTCTCCGTGTCACCTTATTTCTGCTTGTGATCCTTTTTCCATGTTCGCAGTTGCCACGCTGAGCTGCTTTGTCCTGCAGCCCTGCTGGAATGGTGGCTCTTTGTTTCCCTCCAATCTACAGGAGCTCTTTTCTGGGGTGGTCTTTTACTCCCGCTCAGAAGCCCGTTTAGGTTTTGCTTGTGTATTTTGTGCGGATACAGCCAGTTTTTCTTTCCATCACTCATCTACGGAGTGAGCTGAACTGCCCTAGACCACCCATGAGCAGGAGGATGTGGTGGGGACGGCTGAGCGGGGAGAGGATGAGGTGACGTTTCTCTCTGTGCAATGCAAGATCTCGCTCTTGAGTTGTGGCCATGATTAACGGTGTCTTTCCAACAGGGCATTGCTCCCGTGGCTTTCTGTTTCTTTGTCTTCCTCACTCAGCTTTGCCTGGAGCTGTTTTCCTCACTTATTTACCCCCACCGGACCGCGAGCAGTTTCTACACAGGGAGGTAGCATGCTCCAGACCCTTTGGAGGTCAGCAGTCACGGGCATTTTCTGAGTCCAGCTGAGCCTATGAAGCCAGATTCTGTGGCCTGAAGGCCTGCACCACAGCTTCCCCGGCTGGCCCTGAGTGCTCGCCTGAGGTCCCACAGTGAGGTGCTCACTGGGCAGAGCTGTTTCCAAGTATCTGAGAGAGTTGTGTTAATCTGCCCCACAGTAATCGTGGGTGTGTTCACTTCACTTCACAATCTTGTCATTTTTAAAACTTTACATCCTCTAAGGTTATATTTATAGATAGAACCTAGTTAAAGATCATGATCTTTCTGTTAGACTGCTTCCTTTCAATAGAGGGACTACAGAGTTTCATCCTTCTCTCTATCCGTACACTTTCCATTGATTCCCTTTTGTCCTTTCCTGACTTCCATTTGATTGATTGAGGTTGCTTTATTCTCTGGATGTATTAATAAATTCTTTTCTTTTTCTCAATTATTCATGTTTTATAATTTTGCCACAAAGAGGATGCATTCATTTATACACGTCTAGATTTAAACTGAGTTTCTTCATCTCAGGATTCATGTGTTTCTGCAAAGGTCTCACTCATGAGCTTGTAAAATCATCACATCTCTCTTTCCTCCTTCTCCTTTTGGAATTTCCTTCCAGCCTCTGTATTTCCTAACTTCCCTTTAATGTTCCTAGTGGTTTTTTCCTCTATAGCACGCCCTGGACCACAGCCTCAGCTCTCCCCAGACAAGACCCTTGATTCCTGGACCACAGCCTCAGCTCTCCTCAGACCAGACCTTTGATTTTATTCTTTGCCTGCTTCCAATATGTGTAACTGCCTGTGTACATTTTTACCACAGTAACTATTTAATTTCCATAAATTTTATTTCATTCTGTTAAAGTCCCGCCTTTTCTCATGCGGCCCTTGTTCATTACGCTCTGGTCCCTCCAGGGCCATGTTTGTCACATCGGGTTCCTGAGCCGGGTTCTGAGGTGCTGGTGCTCCTGCTCTGATTCAGCGACGTCCGCCCGTCCACGGGATGTGCATTTCTTCTTCCTGACTTCCTGCTGTTGGTTTATTTTATTGTCCTCTCTTCTTCTGTGAGGAGTAGCTTGTGTTTGTTTTACCTTTATTTTTTTCTTTAAATTTTGTTTTCCAATGTACTCTAATGTGTGTAAATGTCCTTTTATAAAGCCCTTGCACTGTGGTGACTTGGAGCAACTTCATACGTGATCAACTTTTCCAGTTCTTCCTGCAACTTTGAAGGCTACTGTACTAGTCAGTGTTCTCCAGAAAAACAGGAGAGATAGATAGACAGCTAGATACATACATACATACATACATAGATGATAGGAAAATTAGATAGAAAAATTAGGTAGGTAGATTAGATAGATAGATGATATATAGATGATAGAAAATTAGGTAGGTAGATTAGATAGATGATATGTAGATGATAGATGATATATAGATGATAGATGATATATAGATGATAGAGAGAGAGAGAGAGATTTATTTTTGGAATTGGCTCCTGCAATTCTGGAAGACAAGAAGTCCTACCATCTGCCATCTGCAAGCTGGAGAACAAGGAAGGCCAGTAGTGTGGTTCAGTCTGAGCCCAAAGCCCTGAAAACAAGGGTACAAGATGGTGTAAATTCCAGTCCAAGGCTTAAGGCCTGTGAACAACGGTGGAGGTCAATGTTGATGGAAGTCCTAGAGCTCAGTGTCCCAAGAACCAGGAGCTCTGATGTCTGAAGGCAGAAGACAAGTGTCTCAGCTCAAGGAGAGAGAGAGAATTCGCCCTCCTCCTCGTTTCTGCTCTACTCATGCTCTCCAATGGATAGGATGATGATGCCCACATTGCGGGGGGACTGGGGGGCACCTGCCTTACTTAGTCCCTGATTTACATGCTGGTCTCTTCCAGAAACACCCTCACAGACCCCCAGAAATAAGGTTTTACCCCCTGTCTGGGCATCCCTTAGCCCAATTCACTTGACACGTAAAACTCATCATCATGGCTACCGTGAATGATCCTGCTTAGAGAAGGTTGCCATGTGTTCATAGAACCATCAGCTGCCTAGAGGAGAGATGTGTGTCCAAAATATATAAAGATCCCTCAAAACTCAACTATAAGAAAACAAGCAACCCAATTTAAAAATAAGCAAGAGATCTGAACAGACACATCACCAAAAAAGACATACAGATGGTAACCAAACATATGAAAAGATACTCCAGGTCGTATATTATCAGTGAAATGCAAATTACACCAATGAGACACCACTACACACCTGCTAGAGTGATCAAAATCCAGACACTGACAACACCACCAAATGCTGGCAAGGATCTGGAGCAACAGGAACTCTCATCATCACCAGTGGGACTTCGGTTATTAATCAAGCATTGATCCATTTACTGGGACAAATGTATTATATTAGTGTAAGGTGGCAAAGACAGGGGCCCTGGGGAGGCAATATATGAGAAACTTCTGCATTATCAGTGTGATTTTACTATCAGTGTAAAACTACTCTAAAATACAATATTTATTAGAAAATGAATTGGGAACTATCCTAGAACTCTCTTTCCAAGTAAGACTTGCAAAATTACCATCAACTCTGCAGCTGAAACAACAGGAGTTTATTGATTCACAGTTCTGGACGCTGGAAGTCCAAGATCAAAGTGCCTGCAGGAACGGCTTCCTCGGAAATGTTGGGGAGGAAGCTGATCCAGGCTGTCTCTGAGCTGCTGCTGGCTCCTTGACTCGCAGCCCCAGAATGCCAGTCTTCACATTTCTTCACCTGTGGATATGTCTGTCTCCAGATTTCCCCTTTGTGTAAGGTCACCAGTCATATTAGATTAGGGCTCACCTTACCCTAGAATGACTTCACCTTAATTAATTCCATCTGCAAAGACCCAATTTCCAAATAAGGTTATGTTCTGAGGTACCCAGGGTTATAACTTCAATGTACAAATTTTGGTGGGGGGTAGAGGAGACACAAGTCAGTCCATACCAAGTGGTATTTTATATTTTATACCTCTCTGTAATTAAGCTTGATGAATTATTGTGGAAATGAGGGACAATGCTGAGTTAAAGATCGTCGAGGCTTATAAGTAGGTCAGCCTCTCTCTCTGTCTCGCTCTCTCTCTGGGTGCTTCTCTCCTCTCTTTTGCCATAAAGAGATGTTCCTGAGGGTATGCGCACACACATATAGCTAGAAGAGCCTGCCATACTCATGAGTGATTTTACAAAGCTGAGCAGGATTTGCGATTTATAAAAGCTATAAAACCAAATTTGCTTCTCTTTGAGATCTGCCTTTGTACTCATTGGCACCCAAGAGTTACAAAGTTTTTCTTGGTCTTTTGGAGCGCTCTGGATGTGTAGAATAAATCCTGTGAGGCACCCTTGTGTAGCTTTCCAGGTTGTGTAGAAGGTGCCTGGTCCACAGGTGCCCCTAGGACATGGAGCACTTGAAGCAGCGAGAGCCAGTGGGCCCTACCCCAGGCAGGGCAGGCAGCACTGCTGTGAACACCCAGCACGCAAGGCTGTTCTTGGAGGCAGGGCAGGCAGCACTGCTGTGAACACCCAGCACGCAAGGCTGTTCTTGGAGGCAGGGCAGGCAGCACTGCTGTGAACACCCAGCAAGCAAGGCTGTTCTTGGAGGCAGGGCAGGCAGCACTGCTGTGAACACCCAGCACGCAAGGCTGTTCTTGGACCCACGATCCTTGCAGGGCGCAGTTGTCTGTGGAAGGTGAACGGAAGGCGAAGGAGCACAGATGTCACAGAAGACGGTGGGCATCAACGTGTGCCATGAAGCGAGAGTCTAGGGTCAGCCCCAGCCTTGCTCTCCGTGGGCTGTGCGCCAAGTGACCCTAGAGCACCTCTCAGCCTCCCTCTATTCTGGGAAATGGAAATCCCCATAGTTAGCTCCCGGCAACCCCACATGTTGGACCTCAGCAGTGTCCAAGAGTGTTAGCCAAAACCAAATTTAGCTTGGGCAGTTCTCACAAGTCTCTCCCAATGAAGGTGGGTCTGTTTTCTCTTCTGTAAATTATTATTGAACTAAATGGATTCTAATGTCCTTTGCAGCTGGGAAGATGCTATGGCTCTGCAAATACTATTTCAGATGTTCTTGGGGTAACGTTACTATTATTCTCATATTGCATGTGGAATAAACTTTGAATACACTTCCAACCCAGCTGTTTTGTTTCAAAAACAATGTCCAGTGTTAAAGGACTTAGTGTGGAAGCTGTGATTGATTGTATCTATAGCATATTTTTATGACAAAACTGAGAGCATAAAAATCAATTTTCCTGTAAGATGTATTTTCTTTACTTTATGCTTGGTATGTGTGATTAATGAAAATTTCCTTAGCAGATTTCTGTCTTCAGGTGACACATTAAAATATTTAAATGCATCAAACTCAATACCCATATGCTCTATTTATGACCAAGTAATAGAATTATTAACACCTGCCTTCATGTGTTATTTGCAATATATTTATTTTAAATTATCCAAAAGAAATTCTGGGGGTTAAGGCATTTCTTATTTGCATTCTATAAGATGAAACTCAATAATTCACTTTCAAATGTTTCATGAAGTCATTAGACCAGAATGGCATGTCTCTTGGGCCTAGTTATAAATATTTTCAGCATCTTCAATTTCAAACCAAAATATCAGGCCTAAGCAGGGACAGAAGTCGTTCTCCAGTCACTTACCTGGGGCATTCAGGTCAGGACAGAGCTGAGGACTTAGGAATCCAGAGAAAGCCTTCCTTGTGGCTGCCTTCCAAGCTAGGGTTGCTTTGCTATCTTGGGGCCACCAGGCTATGAGTTGCCTCTAATATTCATGGAGGATCCTCCTGCAGCTGAACCAAACTCCATCTTTTCTAATTGGTTTACATTAAAATTAAGAGACCTCTCAATGAATAAATGGAACATTAAAGATGATATGACCTAATAGTAATCATAACTCTTTTATTTCAGTTTATATGCTTTTCTCTAGTAGATTTTTGAAAAATCTCCGAAAGTATTATTTTTCTAGAATACAACTCAAGGCCTTAATGGCATAGGCAGAAGATTTTGTGTTATAAAAACCTGGGATTTCACCTGGAAAATTATTTTTTGGTTAAAAAAAAACAGAGATGAAGAACTTTGTTTTCATCTAGGCACTATTTGATAGGATTTTTCCACAGAGGAATTAAAATGAGAAGTTGAATAAAGGCAGCGGCTCCCACTGAAACACCGCCTCCCTCTTTGCTGTGATCCAGGGGGCTCTGCTCCTCGGCCAGTGTGGCCGTCCTACTCGCCCCTCTGTCCTCAGCACCTGCAGGAAGTCCCACAGGTCCTGATTGGCATGCTGGCCTGGTGGGGAATGCTTAGCACATCCCAAGGATAAGTGAGTTTGGTTGGTTCCCGTGGGATCTGGCTGTTGAGGAGTCTGGGACCTCCCCCGGCTGTTGAGGAGTCTGGGGCCTCCCCCGGCTGTTGAGGAGTCTGGGGCCTCCCCCGGCTGTTGAGGAGTCTGGGACCTCCCCCGGCTGTTGAGGAGTCTGGGGCCTCCCCCGGCTGTTGAGGAGTCTGGGACCTCCCCCGGCTGTTGAGGATTCTGGGGCCTCCCCCGGCTGTTGAGGAGTCTGGGGCCTCCCCCGGCTGTTGAGGAGTCTGGGACCTCCCCCGGCTGTTAAAGAGTCTGGGACCTCCCCCGGCTGTTGAGGAGTCTGGGGCCTCCCCCGGCTGTTGAGGAGTCTGGGGCCTCCCCCAGGTGTGTCCCACAAGCCAACGCCAACATTAGCAGAACGTGGAATTATTAAATGACTTTGGAAGCTAAGAGAATCTCCAGGAGGCTTGGAAAATGGATTCGAAGGCTGCCCAGCCAAGAAAAACATGGAACACCACACCACAAAATGGTCCCAGGGACACTGGCCTCCACCAGGCTTCCATCAAACACCAGCTGCTCAAACCACCGGGCCTGCTGCCTTTGGAAAACGACATGCCACCCCTTCTCCAGCCTCCCCAGCCGGAGCGAATTCCATGATGTCCTTGCTTCTCTCTGCCACTGGCACCTGTGCCCAAGCCCAGAATGGGTGCTTCAGATGCACCCAGCTGAGAAGAGGCTTAGAACGAGGGCTTCCGTCCACTCCAGTGAGCAGAGTATTCTCCCACCACCATGCATGAGGCAGAGAATCTCCCAAATGGGAAGCAAGAGTTAGAAGCAGGACAAGAGCAGAAGAAAACTCTTCCTCAAGAAACAGAGACGTGTCCACGTCTCCTAAATACCAAGGATTTGTTCTGAGGACAAAGCAGAAATAAGAAGATAGAAATTTTGGTTGCAGAAGAAATCCTCCAAATTGACAACTAAACAAAGTATGCATATTCCCAGGCAGCCGGAACGCACAGACTCGAAAGCATTTCTCGCGGACGGTGATGGACGGAGGACATGGTGCACTTGAGCCCATGGCACTCATTCCTTCTGTCACTGTGGCACGAGGGGCTGCCACTCAGCTGCAGGGCCTGGGGAAGGCCATCTCCTGGGTCACCAGCCAACCAGACCAGTGGCTGAATACTCACCCCAGACCAGTCAGGACTGTCCAGTTTAGCTCACTCCTTAGGATTTGTGGATTGCAAAGACACTCAGATTCCAGTGGGAACAAGACTGCAAAGGAAATAGATTGCAGCAGACAGAGCCTGAGGACATCTAATGTACAAATGCTCCTTGAGAAACCAGAACTTGGAGCAGGCCTTCTGATATGATTTGGCTGCATCCCCACCCAAATCTCATCTTGAATTCCCAGGTGTTGTGAGAGGAACCCTGTGGGAGGTAATTGAATCATGGGGGCAGGTCTTTCCCGTGCTATTCTCCTGATAGTGAATAAGTCTCATGAGATCTGATGGTTTTATAAAGAGAAGTTCCCCTGCACAAGCTCTCATTCTCTTTGCCTGCTGCCATCATGTAAGACGTGACTTGCTCCTCCTTGCCCTCTACCATGGCTGTGAAGCCTCAACCACCTGGAACTCTAAATGCATTAAACATTAAACCGCTTCCTTTGGTAAATCACCCAATCTCAGGTATATCTTTATCCGCAGCATGAAAAGGGACAAATACACCATCCCTAAAGGAACCAGGTGAACTGTGTGCCCACAGGACTCTCCCCACCTGCTCTATGGCTCTCCATTTTAGCAGCTCCTGTTCTCTGTCTCCACCCCAAGCCTGGAACTTGATATCCTGTCTTCCCATCTGCTCCTGTTCAACTTCAGTTCTGTCCTGGATGCCTTCCTCTCTGTATGAGTCCAGGTTCTCTAGAGGAACAGGACTAATAGGATAGATGTATACATGACGGGGAGTTTATTAAGGAGAACTGACTCACACGATCACGAGGTGAAGTCCCACAATAGACCATCTGCACGCTGAGGAGCAGGGAAGCCAGTCGGAGCCCCAAAACCTCAACAGTAGGGAAGCCAACAGTGCAGCCTTCAGTCTGTGGCCAAAGGCCTGAGAGTCCCTGACAAACCAGCGGTATAAGTCCAAGAGTCCAAAAGCTGAAGAACTTGCAGTCCCATGTTCGAGGGCAGGAAGCATCCAGCACAGGAGAAAGACGGAGGCTGGAAGACACAGCCAGTCTGCTCTTTCCAACTTCTGTCTGCTTTATCCTAGTCACGCTGGCAGCTGATTAGATGGTGCCCGCCCAGACTGAGGGTCGGTCTGCTTCTCCCAGTCCACTGACTCAAATGTTAATCTCCTTAGGCCACACCCTCACAGACACACCTAGGAACAGTACTGCATCCTTCGATCCAAACAAGTTGACATTCAATATTAATCATCACACTCTTCCTCTTCAATAATCCAATTTTCATCTTTTTCTTTAAACCTGTGTTTTGGTTTTTAAACTCTGCTTCAGATGTTGGCTTAGACTCCCAATGAAAAGCTCAGAACACCCAAAATATTATCTTTCCTAAGCAAATTGCTAAATGAGTTTTCTGTGTAAGATTATCTTGAAAGAAAAGAAAGAAACCTTTTGTGGGAGAGGAGTGATTTGAAGAGAGGCATTTAGTTTTAGAATTGGCTAATACCTGTGCTCTTTCAGCAAAGAATAGGAATAACTCAGACAGATATAATTATCTGGAGTTGGAATGCTTCGTTCCTGAGTTTCCTTTACAGCAATCTCAAGAAACATCACACTAACAAATGATGATGTTCAGAGAAAACACCACAAAACTGATCAAAATAAACAAAATAAACCCTTCACATAGAGAGGCTTTTGTTGAAAGTCTTTAAATCTATGTTCATTCTATTGTCAGAACAGAAAAGATGGGATGAAAATTCAAAAAAGATTCTCTTGACCTTTGCCATGTTTACATAAGCATGACAAAATAATTATTTTGGCTTCTGTACATTTTTGATAATTTAAACATAATTTATCTACTTTAGAAGCAAGCTTTTTAAAATTACAGTTTTCCTGGTGCACATGCCTAGGAGTAAAGATATTGTTTTTGTTATTTTTCTTTATAGCTTGAAGAGAGAATTGATTTACATTTTTCACATTGTGAATGAAGTTTAGTATACTTAACCTGTGCCTAAAAGTCTTACTGAGCCAGGCGCGGTAGCTCACGCTTGTACTCCCAGCACTTTGGGAGGCCGAGGCGGGAGGATCACTTGAGGTCAGCAGTTCAAGACCAGCCTGGCCAACATGGTGAAACCCTTTATCTACTAAAAATATGAAAATTAGCCGGGCATGATGGCAGGTGCCTGTAGTCCCAGCTAGTCGGGTGGCTGAGGCAGGGGAATCGCTTGAAACTGGGAGGCAGTTGCAGTGAGCTGAGATTGGACCACTGCACTCTAGCCTAGGCGATGGAGTGAGATTCTGACTCAAAAAAAAAAAGTCTTATTGATGATGTTTTGTTAATTCCATCCATATCCTGAATTAGCTCTTTCTCTCTGACAGGATTTCAACATTTCCCCCACTTGTTGTTTTCCATGATGGGCATTTCCATGGAGAATTCTTATCTTAGGTATTTGTCAATATCATTATTTAGGTTAATTTATAATCTATTAATATAATCTATTAATTTGTAGCTTCAGGATTTTGTGTTGCAGTTAGAAAGACTTTCACACTACAACCCTCTAAATGACTTTTCCTCTGGCTTCTTCTAGCCCTTTAATGTTTTTACTTATTTTACATCAAAACCATTAGCCCATCGGTAACATATCTAGAGCTGGTCTCAAGATGTGACTTCACCTTTTCTGCAGATGGTTATGAAGTTCTCCTGCAAACCTCCACTTGTCATGATGAAACACCAGGGACCGCACCTCAAACCCTGCCGTAATCAACAGGAAACCTGGGTAGAACGGCGATAAATCCGCAGCTTTGCCTTGCTGTTACGCAGAAGCGATGACACAACCTAGATCACCGTTGCAAGGGCTTCTCTGATAAATCACAGTTCATGAAAACATGGAACATGATGTCGCCATTAATACAAGAACTAGAAACCATTTATGGATTAAAGTAGAAATATCCTTAAAATAAAGTGCTATGGTTTTTTGGCTTTGTTTGTTTTTAGATGAAGTCTCTCTGTGTCTGTTGCCCAAGCTGGAGTGCAGTGGCACGATCTTGGCTCACTGCAACCTTCACCTCCTGACTTCAAGTGATTCTCCTGCCTCAGCCTCCAGAGTAGCTGGGATTACAGGCATGTGCCACCATGCCCGGATAATTTTTGTATTTATTAGAGACAGGGTTTCACCACATTGCCCAGGCTGGTCTTGAACTCCTGACCTTGTGATCTGCCTGACTTGGCCTCCCAAAGTGCTGGGATTACAGGCGTGAGCCACCACGCCCAGCCAAGTGCTACGTTTTAAAAGCATGGTGCAGAATAGTGTGTGTATCACTGTAAAATCTTGATTAAAACAGGAAAACATTTATACATGTATATACAGAAAAATAGATAGTAGAGGAGATAGAGTAGATAGATGATAGATGATAGATAAATAGCTAGATAGTTAGATAGATAGATAGATAGATAGATAGATAGATAGATAGATAGTCTTAAATCAGACAGCCTGGGTTCAAACCCCAATTCTTTCTCTTACTAGTTGTGTGGCCTTGAGCATGGTTCATAAACTCCTGTGATTCAATTTCTTATCTTTAAAATGAAGAGTTACAAGCCCCAAGTCCGTTATTTACAGCTCTGAGAACTAAACGTGGCTTTTTTGAGCATTCAGTGACAAAATCATGCCTTTATGGACATAAAACTACCTTCTTCATTTATCTTACTGACTAGGAATTCTCATTCAGTTTCCTGCAAAAATATTAATGTCTTTAATTATGAGTGCTACCCCAGAAGTTGTTGGGGTGTTGTATATGGCCCATTCATCAAAGGAAGTTCTGAATTCTAAAATATATCTGGCCCCTAAGTTCATACAAAGGATGAGGACCTAATGTAGTTATTATGAGAATTAAAAAAGGTTAGACTTTAAATTGCTTTGCACTGTGCATGGCACATCATAAGTGTCCTGCGACGATTTGTTAAATGAATTGTGCACACACACACCTGCATGAATAGATTAAAAATGTCTTTCAAAGGCTACATTTATTCTCTCTGGAAATGAAGAACAGGAAGAGTGTTTACTATTTATTGTATTATATTATTGGTTTTTGAATTGCATGAGAGTATTTACCTTTTAAACAGCAAATTTAAATCACCTTTGCCAAAAACTGGGCTGACGAATATATGAATAGCTGGTACAATTTTGAGAGTAGGAAAAGTTCAAAGCTTTTAACCTTTGGGTTTGATTGTAGGCAGAAGTTAAGAGTAGGCGTAGGACCTGTCAAAGATGAAAGTTGCAGGCGTTGGATTCTGTCTCACCTAGGATGAGCACATGACCCCTAGCATTCTAAGAATCTGTAAGGAGCCCAGTTTTGGCTAACTGACCGGGTACACGGCCCAAATCACGGGAATAGAATGCCTCTCGGAGCCACTCCTGTCTCTGCCACGACCAGGAAACTGGAGAAGGTGCAGTCAGTGTGAAACTGTGGGGTGGCCCCACCGTGCCTGGCTGCAGAGCCACCCCGGGCCCAAGTCTCCTTCTCACAGGGCACGGTGCAGACACCAGCCCTGCAGTGGCGCCTCCCCTGCCACCTAAAGAGCCAACGTGGCCTCTGAGCCTCCTTGTTTCTATGGCACAGAAAGCCAGGCTGCAGCAGGTCTGTGTGACTAGGGGCAAGCCGTGCACCCCGGCCACAGCCCCCTCTCCTTGGAGTGCTCAGCATCATGCACATCCTCTGTTTAACCCCCACAAAACTAAGAAGGGAGAGTCCACCCGCCCCAGCGTAGCACACCTGTCCCTACACAAACAAATCTCCCTCCCTCCTGACCAGCTCCTCAGCCACTGCCGTCTTCTCTGAGCCATTCACTCCCTGTCCAGGTGGTCACAAGGCCACCTGGACAGCACATCACCTGCGGGAGGAATTTAAAAACTCACCCTCAACAGCACATCCAAATGCGCAATAGGAAGTGAGGGATCATGGACCACAGCCCAGGTCCTGGCAGGAAACAGGTGCCCTCGGAAAAGGGGCTCAGGCAGGTGTGAGGATGGGCTCTGGGAAAAGCCACGGCGGGGGGAGGGGTCAAGGGCATCCACTGAGTGGCAGAGCAGAGCCCCGCATTAGGAACCATGACTACCTGGGCAAGAGTGGCAAGGGAGACACAGACCGCACGAAAGGCTCCTGAGCAAAGCCACGCCCGTGCACGGGAAGTGCAGCACCACCAACCTGCAGCCGGAGCCAAAGATCTGGGCATCCACGTCTGATCCTTTGCCCTCCCTCCCTCTCGGGTCCTGCCAGAGCCTTCGGGTGGCAGAACCTGATAAGGACCAGACCACCGAGGGGACCCCTCCGATGCTGCACCAGGAGACCAGCCCTGCAGGGCACAGAGCTCAGCAGGAAGAGGGAAGCCCAGACCTGGCAGGAGAAGAGAGGATTTGGACACAGATGAGTGGCAAGTGCACACACACATCACAGAAGAAAACACGCGTTTGCTACAGTCAGTTTCTGCTGCAAGTTCCCAGCTTAGAGCTGGTTTTTGACTTCTTACTCTTTTACCAGCTATGCCTCCTTTATCGTAATCCAGCGGCTTGGCTGGCAATTGTTACCTGCTAAGTGGGACTAAACCTCTCCTCTTGAGCCCTGGGAGGTGCTGCCTGAATGGAGTTGTTCATTGCTTTCCAATCTGGAGTTGACAATGCTGCCAAGTATTCCAGAAAATCATCTGGGATGACAAATGCTTCTTCCTGCCTGCAGTGTGGTGGAACGATCTCATTTTCAGCACCCCATTAATCAACTGACCCCCAGAACCCCGCAACCAGTGGGATTGTGTAAATTTCCCACACAGCACAGAACACATTGTAGAGCTGAGATCCAATCACACACAGGAAGATAGAAATGGCACATCTGGGAGCCCTTGCTACATTGTTCGACTTTCCAACAACCAGCTTTTGATATTAATACCTACAAAATAGTGGAACTGATAAATTATTAGCATTGAATTACTGTACAATATTATCCTTCTTTTCTTGACAGCAGCAAAGTTGGTCAAAAAGAGAATATTGGGCATGTGATCAGTCAATATGGTTACTGTTAGAATGCTTCCAATTAATAAAACATAATTCTCTACACCCACTGGCTCTGCACTCCTTTGAATAGTTTATTTCAGAACCAACAGAGGGGATGGTGTGAGTGAATATAAAATAATTAGGTTTAGAGTAATGTAACAAATCATTATTTAAATGTTCTGAGATTTGTAGTCTAAAGTAACTAACAGTCAACAGAAAGACAACATCCAAAATTGTATAGACTGGTACTATGCCATTCACAAGGGGGAAATGATAGCCACTGTGTTCATGTAATTTGTTTCATTTTTTTTGAATTGTAGTAAGTCAAGAAATGTACATCATCTAGATATCAGTTTAATGACACAAATTTCAGCTCAGAAGCTAGAATGCAAGTCCGCAAGGACAGTCCTGACTGCATATTTCTGAAGTTAATTTACACTAGGTGCTGATTCTATTTTTCCTTCAATTTTGATTGGCTTGTCTGCAAGTACTTGTGACTTTTTTCCTACTTGATGCTGAACATGATTCTATTTCCCAAGAACCTTTGTGCCGTCAGTCCAGTGTGATGAGTCGCCAACAGGTTTGAATTTGGCGTCCATGGTGAGATAAGCCACGAGTGCAGTGCAAAGCTGTGTCTGTCTTTGCTTGTCCTCTTGTATTTCCCCTTGGCCCGTTTATTTACGTAATTTTAAAAGTTTGTTTCCTGTCTCTTCAATCGTTGTGGAGCAGGAAGAAGACTTCATAAGTAAGACTAGAATAAAATCAGGTCATCCACGTGAATAATTCCCATGATTTTCTATCTGCATTCTTACTCACAAGCTCCACTTTGATGCAACTGTTTGCATCAAGATCTAGAAAAAGGCATACGTTTTCATTTAAATGAAAAATATCTCAAAGAACTAAGAATGACCAAAGATGCTTCCTCATACCTAATTCCAAAATTTACTGTGCTCCATCAGAAGCTATTCTGTGAGTTTATGTGTGGCTGCGAACACAAACTCTTCCCTTTCATCCTCACAATCCCATTTCTTCAAGATACCACTCGTAGCAAATACACATACATACACACACAAACACACATGCACACATATACACGCGAATGCACACACACAACATACACACAGAGAGAGACACAAACACATGCACACACATACATGTACATACGTACACAAACACACATGCACACATATACACATGCACACATGGACAGCATCATGCACATCCTTTGTTTAGCCCCCACAAAACTACAAAGCAACGGCCCACCTGCACACACACAACATGCACACAGACACAAACACATGTGCGCACATATGTACATATGTACACAAATATACATGCACATGTATATACTCATGCACACACAGACACACATGCACACACATAGACATAAACACATGTACATATGTACACATATACATACATACCTGCATATATACACATGCACATGTACACACATGTACATATGTACACACATACACACCTGCACATTGCATAACATGTACACATAAATATAGCATGCACATGGACACACATACATGTACCTATGTACACAATGCACATGCACTCATATAAACACACATGCATACGCACATACACATGCACAGAGACACACCTATAAATATGCACACACATACACACATTCCCATGCATACACACATGCATATACAAATGCACACACTAGCACACACTCATACATATACACACATACACATGCACGCACACACACGCATATCACCTACACAGTGCACACACACACATATAAACACATATGTATGCACACACTCACACACTCCACCCAGGAGGACGCAGAAATTTCTACTCCCCATAGTATTAGAGAATGTAAGAGCCAGGCCTAAGGAACTGGAAATGGAAAATAACCGTGAAGATCTCGTGAAAACATCCTCCAGTCACCAAGGACAGCAGAGCCTTCACAGCTCCCTCATTAAGCGCCTGCCTGATGGCAATTTTTATAGAGGTATATTAAACTGTTTACGATTAAAATGGATCTTTGAAGTAATTAATAGTTTGCCCTGGTAATTTCATCACATTTTGCTGCCGGATGGCAATTATGATTTAATTATGATCTCCTGATGAAGAACATATTAGATAATTCTTCAGATAATTTCCCTTTTATTCCTGATTAGGGAGCAAGGTTAGGAGAGATACAGGGTTATGGCTTTGCTGTAATCTAATTTTCCGACTTTGAAAATAGAAGGTTTTCCGGGCTTTAAAGTTTGCTAAGAGGAGACAGAAATGGCGACAGACGTCACATCTGAACAGTGTCCTCTGTCCTTTAGAACAACGACAGGTCCCGAGGACTCTCGGCACTGCAGGAAACTGGATGGCTGCTCTTTCATTAACGTGGAGACTCAGAAAATGCAACAGATGGGGACGCAACAGATACTTCTCCCTGGATTTCCTTCCCTGAGATATGAGGGGTTCAGAAATACAGAAGAAAAACCTGCAGTAATGAAAACAGCAGGGCAATTCCCACCGCGGCCGGAGGTCTCCGGGTAGGAATGCAGGCGGGCATGGAGGGGAACTGACTCCACGCGCACCTGCCACTCACAGGTGAAGCTCACAGACGGTCATGGGAGGTAGGGGAGCCTTTCCAGTTCCCAGTCAGACTCAGCTCCCTGAATGCAGGGCCCCGCTTTACACCCCGACTGTGACTCAGAATTCCTGGTGCTCTGAGACAAGCTATGAGTAGCTTGTCATTAAATACCTGAGGAGTTGAATGCATGATAATAAATAGGATATTGGAACTGGAGTACCATGTCAGCATCTGGTTTGTTATTTTCCTTTTCTCTTTAAAAAATCATCTCTTTGTGTGTTTGCAGCCCTTTCTTGACCACTTCTTCTTTTCCATTTTTTTTTTTTCTGTTTCCTCAGCTTTTCCCCTATCTGTCTTGAAGGAAAGGTGCTGAGTATCTGATTTTCCACGTCAGTACGACTCTATTCATCACCATGCGAGGCTCTGGCCTGGGGGCACAGTGGACAGAGTATTCACCCCTCCCGGGGCCGGCTGTCCATCACCTCCACTGCATCCCGAATGCAGGCTGTCAGCCCAGCTGTCTGATTTCCCACGGCGGAGAGCAGGCTTGCGTGGAGGCGGATGCGTGAGGGAAGGAAAGTGGCTCCCCAGCCTCCAGCCATCATGCAGTGCTGCTCGGTGTTCTCACAGGCGCGGCCCTTGTACCTCTGCACGTGCCTTTGAAATTCAGATACTTTAACATTCTCACAGAATAGACAGTGCATATTGACAGAAACTCAGCTATTACTGCACCGGAAACCATCCATTCAGCCAAAAGTTACTATGCAGGGTTATAGTTAGGTATACCAGTGATCTGGCTTGGAAAAATTCAAAGGCCAGAACCAAGCCAGATTCCACTCCGGATGAAACTACTTGGTTCATATCACGACAGGCGTCAGGAAGTCGCCTTCCTCTTCTCAAACACCCCGCTGACTTGACTGAACTTCAGATTATGTAAAATGCCTTTGGATTTTCCAGTTAATGCATGTGTAGTGAGACACATAACGGATCCGTGTTCTATTACTACACTAGGGTGTAAGCCTTTCCGGGGTTACTGGCACAGCCACACGACAGAGCTGGAGGCTCTAAAACAGTCCCCTCTGAAGGCGCGGGAACCAGTGCTCTCTGCTGATAAAAGAGCAGAGCCATCTAGATCCAGGAGACGGAAATGGAAAACCCCAGTTGGGTGAGGAAAAGCACCTACCGATTTCCAAGAAATTGGAAGTCACATGAAGAAAAATTGTCCAGTAACAATAGCAAAGTCCTTTTCACAGGGCTTAAGAGTGCAACCTCAGCACTTTGCATATTGATGGCAGAGAGGAGAAAAAAACCCACATGCTGTAAAACACAGGTGTTGGACGGAAACACCACTACAGGAGTCTGAGAAAGGGAGGCAGCCAGAGAAACAAGGCCAGGTGCAGGGGCTCAGACCCGAAATCCCAGCACAAGAAACAGGGCTGGGCGCCGGGGCTTACACCCGAAATCCCAGCACAAGAAACAGGGCCGGGCAAGGGGACTCACACCCAAAATCCCAGCGTGAGAAACAGGGCCAGGCGTGGAGGCTCATAGCTGAAATCCCATCGTGAGAAACAGGGCCAGTGTGGAGGCTCACACCCGAAATCCCAGCACAAGAAGGGCGTAAAGGCAGGTGCCTGTGGTCCCAGCAACTTGGGAGGCTGAGGCAGAGGGATCACTTGAGCCCAGGAAGCCGAGGCTGCATTGAGCCAAGATTGTGCCACTGCACTCCAGTCTGGATGACAGAGTAAGACCCTGTCTCAAAAAAAAAATTAATTTAAAAATAAAACAAAGCAAATCCCAACGAATAAGCTGCTTGTGCAACCCCAGAGCCAGCCAGGGAATTCCTCCTACTTGATACTGTGAGCTGGGACACTGGGGCTTTTCTGCCTTTTGATTTGAACTGAAGTGTTGGCTCTTCCTGGGTCTGGTGCCTGCCAGCCTTCAGACTGAAACTCACACCTTCACCTCCCCGGTCTCCAGCCCAGCCCATTGACTGCAGGTCTCAGGATGTGTCAGCCTCCATAATCAGGTGAGCAAATTCCTTGCAATAAATCTCTTTAGATATATAGATACAGATACAGATACGTATAGATATAGATACAGATAATAGGCATAGATACAGATAGTTATAAATAGATATACAGATAGGTATAGATATAGATACAGATACAGATAGGTATCGATGCAGACAGAGATAGATACAGATACAGACAGGTGTAGATATAGATACAAACAGGTATGGATATAGATAAAGATAGATAGGTATATATAGATAGATAAAGATAGATATAGATATAGATACAGATAGGTATAGCTACAGACACAGATAGAGATAGATACAGACAGAGATAGGTATAGATATAGATAGACAGGTAAGATATAGACACAGATAGGTATAGATATAGATACAGATAGGTATAGATAGAGACACAGATAGCTATAGATACAGATAGGTGTAGATATAGACACAAATGGATATAGATACACAGATAGGTCTAGATACAGACACAGATAGATCTAGATATTGATATATAGATACAGAGAGATATAGATAAAGACACAGATATAGATACAGACAAACATAGGTGTAGATATAGACATACATAGAGATACAGATCCTATTGGTTCTGTTTCTCTGGGGAACTCTGACCAATAAAACAAGTCTTTTAAATTAAACAAAGTCCAACTGTAATCCTGGGATTTTGACCCATACTTGGTGGTAAACTGCACACTCAGATTGTGAGTAGGGCGAGCAAACAGAGGCTGCCCAATTGTCCCCACATACACACATGAGGGCAGCATGGTGGCCCCCACCAGCCTCTGTGGCTGCAGCAGCCTCTGACCTGTCAGACGGGAGCTTCTGCCCTCCACAGAACTTGCTCGTGATACTTAATATGGATTGTCAACCTGATTGGATTGAAGGATGCAAAGTATTGTCCTGGGTGTGTCTGTGAGGGTGTTGCCAAAGGAGATTAACACTGGAGTCAGTGGGCTGGGAGAGGCAGACCCACCCTCAATCTGGGTGGGCACCATCTATTCAGCTGCCAGCACGGCTAGGATAGAAGCAGGCAGAGGAAGGTGGAAGGACTGGACTGGCTGAGTCTTCCAGCCTCCATCTTTCTCCCGGGCTGGATGCTTCCTGCCCTTGAACATCAGACTCCAAGTTCTTCAGCTTTTGGACTCTCGGACTCACACCAGTGGTTTGCCAGGGGCTCTCAGGCCTTTGGCCACAGACCGAAGGCTGCACTGCCGGCTTCCCTATTTCTAAGGTTTTGGGACTCGGACTGGCTTCCAGGCTTCTCAGCTTGCAGACGGCCTATTGTGGGACCTCACCTAGTGATCCTGAGTCAATTCTCCTTAATAAACTCCCCTTCATGTATACACCTATCCCATTAGTCCTGTCCCTCTAGAGAACCCGGACTCATACAATGCTTCAGCGGAACACTGACCAGGAGGCTGGGTGCTTTCTTCTCTCCTGGCCAGGGCAGTACCCGAGGAAGGCTTGGATACAGGGGCCAGGTAAGAGCTTTGGGGGTAGAAAGAGGATCATGGCAGGAGAGAAACAGGAGGCCGACGCCTGGGCTGCCCTGGCCGTGCAAGCCAGACCACATGGGGTGCGGAACAGCGCCCACCGCGGCCGCTTCCCTACTGCCTGCTCTCCGCCATTGGTGTTAATTCACGGATGCCTTTCCACACAAAGGCCCTGTTGTCTTCTGCATATCACACATCTTATTCCTGGAACCCGTCCTCAAGGGTGTAACTCCCCCGGCCATGCAGAGGCTGGCGGGGCTGCCCTGTGTCAGGGCCTCCACGCCATCATCAGCCTCTGGCCCCTCCATCAGGACCACCCCTGTGCCCAGCCATGCTTTCCATTCACCGCGAGGCCTCACTCTGCCATGAGCGGTAAACATCTCCTCTCTCTAGGCTTGATTCTGACGCCTGAATCCACGAAGCCCTGTTCCATGGGGGCTATCAGGATCCTGGAGTCCTTCCGTACAGTTCTCTCCCAGGTTTTTACGTTCAGTGTTAGGGCTTCAGAAATAATATCAGGGGCCAGTGTGAGCCCTCAGCATGAGTCAGATGGTGGAGTGTCATCCTGGGGACTCTAGTCTCATGGCCATAGTTCACGACATGCTGTAAGTTAAGGGAAGAAGGGTTACTGTGTTTTTCCACCAGGATTACCATCAAAAACACTACGTGAAAAGTACATACCAAAACACTGATGCAGTTCCTGCCTCTCATTCAGTAGAAATAACACGGAAGAGGGTCTCGCTCTGGGGTGTCTTTGATGCATATTCATTTCTGATTAAGATCTCAAAAAGGAACAGGAGCGGTTTAACTGCTGACAGTTTCAGGCACACCAGAGCTGCTGCAGATTATCTGCTCCAACCACATCCTTTTATGGACCTGGTCTTTCAGGACCAGAAAGTTGAAGGAAGATTCCTGCAGTCACAAGAGAAATAATTACAAAACCAAGACTCAGATCCATGTCTCTCGACGTTTTGGTCCAATGCGAGAATGAGCACCTTTATAAGACTAAAGCCAGGGTGAAAATTTTCTCTCTCTGGATTCCTGCTCTTGATGAGCAACTGCAGGTGTTTTTTATTTTGATTATTTTTGTTCCTAAGCAAATAATTACCTATTAATCTTTTTTAATCAATTAAGCTATAGTTCTTCATTTCAAGGAATCTCATTAAAAGTAATGGTCTTTTCCTGCAGGAATTTAATCTTGTTTTATTTAAATGTTTATTTTTATAACACCTTCAAAAAGCCTGAAGCAGAAAGGGAATAGTTCTGATGGGACAGGGGTGATTTGTGACTGTGTCATCGCCATTGTCAGTGTTACACTAATATCATTTTTATGAAATGGAATTTTTTTCCATATTTTACAAATTGGTAAGTGTTATTGCCTCTTTTAAGAAATTTCAAGCTATAGAATATGAAGCACTGTCTAGAATCATTTTCCACCTTTATTTCTGGAAGTGCTTCTGGATTATTGGTGCTCCTAAGTGAGTGTGCAGCAGGAAAGGTCTGTGTTTTGACTCCGTGGAGGCATGGGGACTTGGTCCAGGGGTGCCGTCCCCACGTCTGAGATGGCATGTCTTACATAAAGAGGCAGCAAGAGAGGAAGCCAGTGCTGATCATCCTGAGAGGGCTCAGTCAGAGACTCACGCTGTACGGTAACTTTTCAGATCCTTTATTCTTCTCAGCAGCAGGTTATCTTTGTCAAATCAGAATTTACTCAGAAGCACATGGGAAAGCCATGAATCCACATTTGCTCTGGTTGAGTCGGGGCTTGGACGACCGAGACCACGCTCCTCACCATGGTTACCCATCCAGGAAAGACTCAAAGAGGGCTCTTCAGAAACTCTAGGACTCACTGGAGCAGACTGAACATTCCAGATGTAATCAAACCGATTAATTTTGCAGATGAGGACAGTAAAGCTGAGAAAGCCCGGCCCACCCACCTGAACTCCTCAGTATGCTGGCTCATGGCCGTGGCCAGAATCCACATGCTCCTGGCTGCCCTCTACCTCGGGGCCGTTTTCAAGTACACCAAGATTCTGATTCTGATGTCTGAATCCACGTACTGAATCAGATTCAAGTATGTGTCTCCAGATCACAGTTCTTCTGTGGATGAGCTGTCAGCGGGGCTGACCCCTGAGCGCTCTGGCAGCGGGGCCAGGCACAGGTGCAGGGCCCCATCCACCCCCAGCCAGGCCCTTAGCCCCAGGCCCCACGTCCTGTCTCTACAACCGCCTCCCAGCTCTGCTGATGGAAAGCAAGTGGGGGTGGGGTTTTCCCAGCTGGGTCAGCTCTATCAGTAGCTTGCTGAGGACCCCGTCACTCAGAAGTACGACCCTGCAGCCTCCACTGCAGGAAAGCCACCGTGAGAGGCCGGTGTCAGAGGCCTCAGGGCTTTTCCAGGACTTTTCAGCAACAGAAACCTGGGAGTTTTATCCTAATAAAATCAGAGCTGGGAACGATGCATGCCACACAGCTGTTCTAGGAAACTACCAGAACCTATCTTTAGCCCCACTGGCATGGACACAGCCTCTTCACAAGCCGGGTGTGTCTTTGAAGAGACTGGTGCCTGGAAGGGACTTTTGTACAGTAGAATAATTTTTTAATTAAAAATTTATAAAACTTCTACTGTATCTTTTATGTCTCCAATATATTAAAGAAATTGCTAACTGTATCAACCAAATGATTCAGATTCAACACCAGTTAATATGAAATCTAGGAAACAGGTTGTAAAATGTCAATTAAGAAAAGAAAATGAATTAAAGAAAATGCACAAAACAACAAACACCCAAAGATGTTCAGCTCAAATATAAACAGGTTAGTTTCATCATATAATTGCTGGAGTAACTTGTTTTTTAATAAAAATAGGAACTATGTATAATATATCATGTAGCAAATTGTTATTATAATTGAGTCATTTTTAAGTAGCCAAATAATTAATATAGTCCTACTGTTTTAATTGTTCCCTGTATAGAAGATATTTTTCAGAGTGCACAATGAAAAATAGTAACTTGCTCTTAAAACTCAGGTGATTGAATGACGTGTATGAGGTATAACATTTACCAGAGTTGGGTGATGCTTAACTCTCTGAGTGAAATGTACAAGCCTCATTAAAAATTAATGAAAACCTCAGTGATGTTATCATTCATTTCCCCTAAAGGGCTGTCATCCTCTTCTTCCCATCAGAAATTAGTGTATGAAGTCTAAACTCTACATGAAGTCTAAACTCTACGCATTACAGTACAGTGTAACTGGTAATATAACCTAAGAACTGAGAGATTTTTTCAGAAATAGTCTTGTCTAAAATTAAAAATTGAATTATTTTTCTTACCTAGAATTCTCCTTAAACTGGAATCAGTCTTCATAATGTGGAGGAATTGAAAGAACATCAGGCAACTTTTCCTTTAAATATCTAAGGATTTTTAACAGAAAAAATGGTTTCTTAGCAATTCAGTTAACAATAATTATAAGATGGCAGAAACAATGGCCAAACTTCCAGGTAAGAAAGCAAATGCTTTTCAAACACTTTAAAAGTTCTGTTTTACATAAAAGCAATTAATATGTTAATTACAAACAAATCCCATTCATCTATTAATTCAAGTCTTATCCACAGTTGAAGTTCAACCTCCTTCAACTTTCTGTGTGTGATAAAATCTATAAAAGTCCTTCTCTGCACTGCTCTGTATCCCAGATGTATGGTACCTCTTAATCATGATAATAGTAAATTTGAACTTTAATTAGATAAGTGTTTGCTATACATCAGGCACTTCGTTAAATACCTGACTACAACCTTAAGTGGTCTTTTATTCCACAAATAATTACCAAGTTCCTAACTCTGTTCTAAGTGCCAGTAATAAAATAATGAGCACACGTAGTACTGCCTTCATGGGGCTCAAAGGCTAGAAGGTTGGAGGAAAGACAGGCACATGGGTAAATATGGAAAATAAGCATGCTGTTAGGAGGTGGATATGCTTTCATAAACAAGAGACAATTATTGCCCCTGTTTTATAATGAAGGAGCTGGTATTAAGGTAACTTGTTTGAGGAAACAGGGTTAAAAAGCCACAGATGAGGAATTTAATTAGCAGTTTGTCAAACTCTACAGCCAAACTCTTAATCACTGTACCTTGTTACTTGACCATGACTTGTATAGAGTAATATATACATATACACAAATATGCATAATATACACACATAACATATATTTATATAATATACATTATGTGCATATATACATATATATACTGTGTGTGTGTGTGTGTGTGTCTGGGGTTGCTTTCTATTAATTAGGATCAGTTACTCATTAATTCATTCAAAAACGTATATCAAGTGCCTGGCTTGGCTCAGACATTATAAATACAGAAATGAATAAATATGGGCTCTGCCTGGTTGTGGCTTATCTCAATCAGACTTCACAGGTGGAAGGAAGGAAGGAAGGAAAGGAGGGAGGAAACAGGAAGGAAGAAAAGAAGGAAGGAGGGAGGGAGGGGGAAGGGAGGGGGAAGGGAGGAGGAAGGGAGGAAGGGAGGGGGAAGGGAGGGGGAAGGGAGGGGGAAGGGAGGGGGAAGGGAGGAGGAAGGGAGGAAGGGAGGGGGAAGGGAGGGGGAAGGGAGGGGGAAGGGGGGGGAAGGGAGGGGGAAGGGAGGGGGAAGGGAGGGGGAAGGGAGGGGGAAGGGAGGGGGAAGGGAGGGAGGGAGGAGGAAGGGAGGGGGAAGGGGGGGGAAGGGAGGGGGAAGGGAGGGGGAAGGGAGGAGGAAGGGAGGGGGAAGGGAGGGGGAAGGGAGGGGGAAGGGAGGGAGGGAGGAGGAAGGGAGGGGGAAGGGAGGGAGGGAGGAGGAAGGGAGGGGGAAGGGGGGGGAAGGGAGGGGGAAGGGAGGGGGAAGGGAGGAGGAAGGGAGGGGGAAGGGAGGGGGAAGGGAGGGGGAAGGGAGGAAGGGAGGAGGAAGGGAGGAAGGGAGGGGGAAGGGAGGGAGGAGGAAGGGAGGGAGGAGGAAGGGAGGGAGGAGGAAGGGAGGAGGAAGGGAGGGAGGAGGAAGGGAGGAGGAGGAAGGGAGGAGGAAGGGAGGAAGGGAGGGAGGAACGAAGGAAGGAAGGCAGGGAAGGAGGGAGGGAAGGAGGGAGGGAGGGGAAAGGGAGGGGAGGGAGGAAGGGAGGAGGGAGGAAAGGAGGAGGGAAGGAGGGAGGAAGGGAGGAGAGAAGGAGGGAGAGAGGGAGGGAGGAAGGAAAGGAAGGAAGGAAGGAGTGAGGACTACTGCATTTGTTGCTGCCTCTGAAGGAGCCCAGACAGAGCTGATGGCCCCTGCAGCAAGCGAGACCTACTGTTCACCTGGCAAGGTCCTGTTGTTTGACCAATATTGTCTCCTTCAGTCCTCACAAGTTACAATATATCAGCAAATTGGAATGGTTTTCATAAGAATAAGTAAAGGAAACATTAGTCATTTATTAAAGAACACAGCAGACACGTGGCCTACTATTATGAGTTATTTGCATTGTGAAGAAGGATATGAGTATGGCAGCTCCTGTAACTGGCAGAGTCTCCAATCTTTGCTTCAGTCAAAAGCCTGCTGGCCAGGTGTGGTGGCTCATGCCTGTAATCCCAGCACTTTGGGAGGCCAAGGCAGGCAGATCACCTGAGGCCAGGAGTTAGAGACAAGCCTGGCCAACATAGCGAAACCCCATCTCTACTAAAAATACAAAAATTAGCTGGGCATGGTGGCAGGTGCCTGTAGTCCCAGCTACTCAGGAGGCTGAGGCAGGAGAATCGCTTGAACCTGGGAGGTGGAGGTTGCAGTGAGCCGAGATCGCACCACTGCACTCCAGTCTGGGTGACAGAGTAAGACTCCATCTCAAAAAAGAAAAAAAAAGAAAAAAAGAAAAAGGCTGTTGCCATCTTATCTCTAAAGCCACCATGTTGACTATCTTAAAAGCATGCCTCGATTCACATTTGAAGTCTTAACCAAGCCCTGTCCTATGGGGGCCTGCAGTGTTCTCAGGTCTGTCTAAATGAATATTATTTGGGGGTACTTTTTTACTTGTCCTTTCAGCACCATTGCTTGCTAATGATCATTTTTAGAACCTGCATCGTTTACAAACAGACATTAAATTCTCCACCCCAGCCAGGAGCTCTAATCCGCCCCTCCTCCTCCCAGGCTTTCTGCAGCTCCACTTCATCTCCTGAGATGTTTTCTCAGTGCCGCATTTTTAAAGCAAGGAACATCCTTCTTATTTTAATCTCCCTTCCTCCCACTTCTTTACTTGCACTGTTTGGATAAATAACTTCAACTTGGAGAGAATGATAAACATGGATCAAAAACAACAAAAGAAGCAAATGACTTCCTACCTACAATGCGGCATAACAGAACTAATCATCTCCAGACATCCACCTGATTTATAGGTGCAAAAAATGCCCGTCTCAGGATGTGTTTAATTCCAGAACGTGTACTGGGAACACTGAATTTAAAGTAATTAAATAGGTGTCTAGTTTTTTTAATAATGCCATTTGAAATGCAGCCACGCCTGTGGGCCGTGGGGGCGGGGCTGAATGAACAGTGGTGTGATCTGGAGGGAACATGGTGAGTTTTCAAAATCACATCTCGTGTGATTGTGGCCTCAGCTGGGATCAGAGCTCCCATACTGCGGAACGCTGGGGAACAGGCAGCCTGGACCAGAGGGCTAAGCTACCACACCACCGCACAGGATGAGATTCATTAGCTTTCTTTCCTATCTTTCCATAACCTGGGTGTGAACAACTTTTGCACATTAAAACTTTTGACTTAGATGGCACACACACCCCCGACTTCAGAACAGCCAATAGAATTATAGTCCACAGCAAACTGTTGGGCTGTAAAGCTTATATGGGCTGTTCTGAAGCGTAACTGTGAATCAATTAAAACTTTTTTCTTCATAAATTACCCAGTCTCAGGTAGTGTGAGAACAGACGAATACATTACACAACTGTTATAATTGCTTTGTTTCAGGTGAGGAAAATGAGGCTCACAAGAGTAAATAAACTGCCCAGCATAAACTACCGACTAGGGCCAAGCCAAGAGGTGACCATCAGTCTGACTCCAAAACCCACGTGCTAGTGTCTCGAAACAAAGCAACGTGTCAGTCAAATCAGTGCTGTGGAATACAACAGGCACTCATTAAATGCCTATTATGTGAAAACATTCATTTACTCTACAGTTTGGGGGTGAATGAAATGGCTAAAACAAGAACAATACAAGCAGGAGAATCACTTGAACCCAGGAGGTGAAGGCTGCAGTGAGCAGAGATCACACCACTGCACACCAGCCTGGGTGACTGGGAGACAGAGCAAGACTCTGTCAAAAAAAAAAAAAAAGAACAGTACAAGCCAACATTATTAAATGTATTTGCAGATAAAGTAGCAGACCTGGATAAAGAAATAATTTTGTAGAGACAAATAACAGTGACTCTCCATCTGTAAACCTCTAGATTCATATGTCAGGTTGTTATAACTTGCACCAAGTACCACTGAAGGGAGCAAGTCAAAGTCCGTTGCCTCTTATTTTTTTCAGTGAGTCTTTGAAAATGCAAGCTGCACAAAAAGGCCAGACAACTGAGAGGAGTGTAGTCTCAATCTCATCTACACGAGCATTTACACAGAGAGAAGACCAGATCCCTTCCCGATGATCCGGTTTCATTGCCCCCAGTGACCACTGTGCAGAAAGGAAAACTGGCTTCACCCTAGAAATTTTACCATGCAGCAGTCAGGGGTGCCTCAGGCCTTCAGAAGTCCCCTCTGCTCTGTCTCCCTCACTTGAGACCCTAGGGACACCTTGCTAGTTATAAGCCTTTTCTTTCGCCTGGAAACCCATGGGCTTAGCCACATGAGCTAAGTCTCATGTGCAAACACCAAACACCATGAGGAAAGTGCAAGAGCAGTGCTTCTCTGTGAACACAGTGCAGGGCAGCTCTTTATGCAAACTACAGCGTTGAGCTAATTCTTCTGTCGGCCAAAACCTTTCAATGTATCCCATCATATGAAAATGGTAGGTGAACAGTTCCGTTCCAGAAGCTTCCGGGTTAGAAATGGAGCTACACAGCATGGGCCATTGCTTGTGACTCATAGCTTGAGAAAGTGGAGGGCGTGACCCCCACATGGAGAACCAGAGACATGCTATGAACTTCCACCCAGGTGACAGAGACGACGGCCATTCACATGTCCATTGAATCCCCATCCCTGACTCCTCACCTCGTAGCAGCTGAGAAGGCAGCAGCTTTTTCTCCGAGCTTCTACTTGTAGTTTTATTTGACTGTGTCTTCTGAATTACAGTTCAATAGTCCCATGATGTTGAAACTTCCCCATTCCCTTAGCTCTTTATTCCTACACTTTTCTTCTTTATCCATTCTATTTCCTTATATGTGCTCCTCATCACACCCGGGATAGTATACTGAAGAATCCAAAAATCCACCTGACACTTATCTTTGAGTTTCTGGAATAAACACTTTAGTATAAATCATTGTTTCCAAGATGCGCTTCCCTGATCACCACTTTAGCCAAAAGTTAGCTGCCGTTATTTCTCTTCTTTCAAATTAAATATTTTATCAAGATGATACATTAACATATTCTTAAGTCAACTAGAACTATTTGGCTCATACTAATCACAAAAAAGACACTCCTCAGATTCTTAGAAGCAGACACTCTAAACTCTCCACCTGCTATTACAGGTATAAGAACATTGTATTAATGCCTTGCAGGAACAAATGCAGCCACTCTTGATTACTCCTGCTAGTGGGAATATAAATAACTTGGGAAAACGAAATCCAGTGAGCTCAGAAGCTTTCTTCCCCCATTTATTTCAACCTTTCCACCCTGCAAGCATTTGACAAGCACCACTAACAAGCAGCAAAACGGACTGGCTGATTCCATCTTCTCTCCATCCTTTCCAGCGTACGGCTCAGGTGCGGAGGACATGAACCGACTGGCTGATTCCATCTTCTCTCCAACCTTTCCAGCGTACGGCTCAGGTGCGGAGGACATGAACCGACTGGCTGATTCCATCTTCTCCCCATCCTTTCCAGCGTATGGCTCAGGTGCACAGGACATGAACGGACTGGCTGATTCCATCTTCTCTCCATCCTTTCCAGCGTCTGGCTCAGGTGCAGAGGACATGAACGGACTGGCTGATTCCATCTTCTCTCCATCCTTTCCAGCGTCTAGCTCAGGTGCAGAGGACATGAACGGACTGGCTGATTCCATCTTCTCTCCATCCTTTCCAGCGTCTGGCTCAGGTGCAGAGGACATGAACGGACTGGCTGATTCCATCTTCTCTCCATCCTTTCCAGCGTGTGGCTCAGGTGCAGAGGACATGGAGGCATTCTGGGGCATCGCATCCCTCCACGCCTTGTCATCCACCTCAGGATGCCTCCATGTCCTCTGCATCTGAGCCACCACCTGGCGACCCCACCTGCCCCTGGTCACGCCTCCACCTCCATATTTCTTTTTAAGAAACTTACTACGAAAGCCCCTTCCTCTCCCTGTCTCTTTGTCCTCATCCTCTTGACTGACTCATTAAGAGGTCTGCATGAGCACTTAGGCCTCCCTCATGTAAAAAAGTACATTTTAAGTCTTTTTTGAAAAGCTGGTTTTGCCCTCACACTTTCTATCCTTCTCATGACATTTGAATGAGAAGGAAAAAATAACAGTACAGAGGGTCATCACCCTTTATGGAATCAGATTGCGGAATTTACTACTGAAGAGACCCTGGGGAAGTTACTGAACTTCTCAAAGCTGCCTTTTCCTTATCAATGAAATGGGGATTGAAATGTCATGTACTTTCTGGGTTACTGTGGAAACTAAATGAGATCATGTATGTGATAACCTAGTGCAGTCCCAGCAGTCTGCTATGTGACCAATAAAGTGAGGACTTTTGGGTTCTGCATACAGAATTTCAACAATAGGCTGGGCGCAGTGGCTCACACCTGTAATCCCAGCACTTTGAGAGGCTGAGGTGGGCAGATCACCCGAAGTCAGGAGTTCGAGACCAGCCTGATGAACATGGTGAAACCCTGTCTTTACTAAAAATACAAAAATTAGCCGGGTGTGGTGGCACATGCCTGCAATCCCGGCTACTTGAGAGGCTGAGGCAGGAGAATTGCTTGAACCCGGGAGGCAGAGGTTGCAGTGAGCTGAGATGGCACCACTGCACTCCAGCCTGGGCAACAAGAGTGAAACTCCGTCCCAAAAAAGAAAAGAAAAAAAAAACTTCAACAATAACCCCATTTCTGTCTTGGCATTTATTCTCTCCCTCTGTAGTTTTTGATGATCATGACTGTCTTCTTACTTACTGATTTCTCTCTCATAGCACATACCACGCCAAAAACAGAATAAGAAAATCTGAATTTTAAATTTAAATTACATTTAAAAACCCACTACTATTTTTACATTTAAATTTTTAAAGCAGAGATAAATCTTACTTCAACTTGAAACAAGATACATGGAAATGTTAACACAGTGCTGAAATAGACACAAGAAAAGGCCAAGAATGAAAATACAGAGTTTTGAAATCAAGTATATTTAGGGTGCACAGTTTAGAAGGAAAAGATCCTACATTAAAATACTGCAGAAGCGACTAGGCACGGTGGCTCACCACTGTAATCCCAGCACTTTCGGAGGCCAAGGCAGGCGGATCATGAGGTCAGGAGATCGAGACCATCCTGGCTAACACGGTGAAACCCCGTCTCTACTAAAAATACAAAAAAATAGCCGGGCGTGGTGGCGGGCACCTGTAGACCCAGCTACTCGGGAGGCTGAGGCAGGAGAATGGCGTGAACCCGGGAGGCGGAGCTTGCAGAGAGCCGAGATCGCACCACTGCACTCCAGCCTGGGAGACAGAGCAAGACTCCGTCTCAAAAATAATAATAATTATTATGATTATGACTATTATTATCTATATATACACATATATATTTTACAGAAGCACGGGCAGAAGAAACATTTCAACGAGAGGGAGAGGAAAATCCTCGCCACCAGACAAAACAAGGCATTAAAGGGTGAGACTTCCAGACACAGTGGTGCCGAGATATGGCCAGTTTAGTGCGATGTGTTTGCCGTGTAATGAGAGAGATTTTGTGGAAAGAAAAATAATAATAAGCAGGCCGTCTTCATCCCAACGCCACTCCCAAACGCACCTTTTGGTGTCAATCTTTCTAATCGATTTTAAATCCAGCTGGTGCATGTCCATATGATTGCAATGATTGCAGAAGGGGTGTTCCAGTTGGGGGATTATCCGAGCATCCTGCCTCTTCCCTCTTTTCCCTGTTTGTGATTCGCCTGCTCATTAGCACGAGTTTGAAAGGATGGAGAGATGGAATCAGCCAGTCAATTTCACTGCTTGTTAGTGGTGCTTGTCAAATGCTGGCTGGGTGGGAAGGCTGAAATAAATGGGGGAAGAGAGCTTCTGAGCTCAATGGCTTTCATTTTCCCAAGCCACCCCTGCTCCCATTAGCATGGATCATTGAGAGTGGCTGCGTTTGATCCTATGTAATCAGATAATCTGTAGGGAAATGGAAATTTGATTCCTATATGTCTCTATTTTAGATGCTTAGAAAGCACATCTGCAGAAGCACTGCATTGCTTAATTTTGAGCAAACTGCAAGTGGAAATGAGAAGCACTAATGAAGATATTTGTTAGTTCATTATGGGGGAAGACTCACTTATCAGAGAATTGAAAACAGGCAATTTTTCTGGTCTCAGGGAAGAGCGCAGGAGAAAGCAAAATGCATTTAGAATCTAACTAAAGAAACATTAAAAGCATAAATGAAGTATGAGATTCACTTACAGCCTATTCAATAACAGTTAATATGTCAAGGATCCAAATTTCGGCCCCTCACAGGACTCATGCAGAGACCGATGATGTCACACATCAGAGAACGTGGTAAAGTAGATGCTCTGTGTGTGTGAAATTCAGCTCTACACCTGACAAGCTTCCCGGGTTACTTTACACATCCCTGTCATCACACATGGGAGTCACGGGACCTGCGCTGTGTTCTCAGTGCCCAGACAAGTGGCACAGTGCCCTGAACACAGCGATCATTCCCAGGCCTGGGGTCCCTCCTGTAAGGTATCAGTGAGACTTGCTGCCCACTGGACTCTGCTCAGGTGGATGTAATCCCTGTTCCTCGCAGATACCTTCAACCAGAGTAAAATGACTCTGAGTATCCGTCTTGTGGAAGCACCTTCAGGCCCTCACACCACATGCACGATGTGGCCTGCCCACCGGACCCCTGGAACTCAGACCTTGCATTGTTGATGGACAGCCCAGTTCAGAATCAGGGAGTCAGGAAAGGGGTGTTTCCCACCTGTAGAAAAAGGAAAAAAAGAAGGACAGGCAGAAAGACAGATGGGAGCCCAAATACTACTTCAGTCTCTAGGAGCCCCTCCAACATGAGTAGTCTGTGAATGTGTAAAGAGTAAGATGTGAAATAGGGATACATATGCATATGCATAAATCAACTCTGGTAAAGACAGGAAAGGTATTTAAAATAGAACGTAGCAGTGGCATTATCTGGAGTGGGGTCAGTGACATGTGACTGCTGCACAAAACCATCAGCTCCCTCTCAGAGGAAAGGCCCGCATCCACCTCCCCACAGCCCCCGCGCACTCCGTCTAGGTGATCGCGTGTCCCCATCAGCTCCCTCGCAGAGGAAAGGCCTGCGTCCACCTCCCCACAGCTCCTGTGCACTCGGTTTAGGTGATCATGTGTCCTGAGCTAACCTAGAAGTGGTGATCAGCCAAGGCATCTCACGTGGAAGAGCCGTGCTGGCCCTCTGTGGGCTGCTCTGATGACAGAGTCCAGCGCCACTCAGGTTGGCCTTCAGATGTTCTGGAGAGGCCACTGGCATCTTCCCCCAGCCGACAGGCATGAGGGGTTTCACGGACTGGGGAGGGAAACACAGAAACCTAGAGTTTGGAGACCTGGGTCGCAACCCTACCACTTCAACAAACCAGCCCTCATCGCCATCCACAAAGGGTGACGATGAACTGGGTTACACATCGTTGTCATAAGATTCTAAAGTGGTCCTTTAAAAGCAGAGAAAACTAGACACGAATTGCATATATGGTGTTAAGCAATTTGACTCAGACAGAAAAGTGTCCCCACATCATCTCATTTTCACCAACACACTGTGACATGATTCTCCTCTGTGAAGCCACAAAGGCAGAACAGGGAGCGACTGAACTTTTGTGTCTTCCTCGGACTCAGCACGGACCCTGATGGGGTGGATCGGAACACGTTGGTTGCATGAATAAAGGAGACTTGCTGGTCTTGGTGCCCTTCTCAGCAAAACAAGCTCATGTGTGACTTACAGAGTTTTCAAAGAGGCTCCTGGGAAAGAGAAGAAGGCGTTTAGAGGAACATGAAACCAAAATTGGCAGGAGGAAATGTTTGGCCCTGACGTTCCTGTCTCCCTTGCTCTGCGATTGCGCAACTATTTCATTGGCAGGAGACTCGTCCACACCCACACCCACAGTGCTCGAGGCTCATCCTCCTCTTGAGTCCACGCCTCCATGCGATACAAAGGAAAACACAGAGGACACCAATTCCTGGCATCTGACTCCTCGGGTTTCAGTGAGATTTCTACCTGTTTTAGTCTCAGGCATGGGCTACACACAGAGCATCCTTCATCCTCCCCTGCTCCTCTCCAAGGAGGTATCAGGGCACAACTGCCCATGGCTTTGCATGGATGAGGACACCTGCTGCCAGCTCCCGTCCACTCCTGGAGAAGACGGGGTCATTTAGGAGGCAGAAGCAGATGGCCAAGTCCACAGGTTCCCCAGTTCCCCTTCCTGGGCTGGGGTCCACTGTGCACACCTCCAGTCCAGGATAGACAAGCCACACCACTGCCAAAACCAGCTGGAATCCACTGGGTGCCCCAGAGAGCCACAGCCACTTTACCCAGGACAGGGCACCTTGCATGCACCCCTCCAAATGCTCAGAGGCCACCTGGGCAGGTGCAAGGTGGAGGCAGAGAACCGGCAGGACTGAGCGTGGACCCACAGGAACTTGGGCCCTCAAATGAGAAGATGTGAATGGGAAAGCCTGTGACCAACACCTGAGTCAGCATAAAGTAAGAGAGAGTGTGTGTGTGTGTGTGTGTGTGTGTGTGTGTGTGTGTGTGTGTGTGTCATGACCCAGCAAGATGGCAACTCCTCTGGAATGGAGTATGAAGACGACGCAGATGTTCCGAATCTCCCAGGAGGCCGGGAGCACTTTGCCTCCCCAACCCGGAGCCACAGCTTGCAGAGCCGCCCCTGCCGGATGCCGGCACCCCCACTTCTCAGGCTGCAGCTGTGCCCACGTGATGCCCAAAGCCATGGCCGACGCCCGGTGCCATCACTTCCCCACGTGTCCCCCTGATAACCTCGCCGGGTGCCATCAGTTCCCCACGTGTCCCCCTGATAACCTCGCCGGGTGCCGTCACTTCCCCACATGTCCCCCTGATAACCTCACCCGGTGCCATCACTTCCCCACGTGTCCCCCTGATAACCTCGCCGGGTGCCATCACTTCCCCCACGTGTCCCCCTGATAACCTCGCCGGGTGCCATCACTTCCCCACGTGTCCCCCTGATAACCTCGCCGGTGCCATCACTTCCCCACGTGTCCCCCTGATAACCTCGCCGGGTGCCATCACTTCCCCCACGTGTCCCCCTGATAACCTCGCCGGGTGCCATCACTTCCCCACGTGTCCCCCTGATAACCTCTGAATTTCTTCCTCACATGCAAGAATGAATTAAGAAGACAGACTTTTAGAGTGGGCAGGAAACTCAGAGACTGTGTCACCCAATCCCCTCACATTAAAGCTGGAGAGGACACGACCCAGAGACACAAGGCACGTGTCCCCAAACCACACAACGGATCAATGTCACAGTTGATGCTGACATCCAGTCCTCCTGGCTCCACAATTATTTCTGCCACTCCAGGCTGCCTCAATTCAGCTGCACAAGATGTAGGCTATATAAAAATATGTGATAATCTATAGGAAGTGCTCTCTCATAAAAGGAAGGCAGCCAGCCTAGAGAAGGCACCTGCCCAGCTCCCAAACTCACACATAAGAAGGTCCTCGTCACAAGTTGACGCCCACACCAGCAGAGCCAGCAGCAGGCCGACAAGGAAGGCTGTCCTGCAACAAAGCCAAGGATGGCCTCGGCTCACTCACTCACCCGCCAAATGTCTGAGTGTCTTTTACGTGCCTAACATTGTTCTGGTTTGGGGGAATGGATGTGGATTGAAAAAGATTACACCAAATGCCTCCACTATTTAACAATAACAAGAGCAGCCAACGGTTTAGAAAATTCACAGTAGGTTCGTTCAGAAGTTCCAGGTCATGGTCTGTGAAAATAAAGAACAACAGAATTAGGAAACCACAGAGTAGAAAGCAGTGTCAGACTTTATCAAATCCAGCCCCTGTTTTATTTAAAAAGAGAAAACAGAAGCGAGTTCCCCCCGAAGCTGCCTCACTGCCCATCCCAGCTGCAACCCAGGCAGGTGTGGGAAAAACACCATTGTCTCTGTCTCCTCACTCCCAGCTCTTCCCTGGAAAGCAAGTGGATTTTCTAGGAATCTGTGAGTCAGCACATAACTCGCTTTGTTTCTGGAGCAGAGCACATGGAAGCGGGGAAGGAGCATGGACTGCAGCCTCCGCAAGTGTCACGACACGCGCCTTTGCTGCTTACTCTCTGTAAGCATCAAACGCCAAAAAGGCGTTTTTTCCATCCTAGGGAAGGGACCCACTTCCCTTCACGCCATCCAAATCCCAGAGGAAAAGGAAGAGAAATCTACATAAGCCACTTATGTCTCTTTTTCTTCCAGACGTTCATTGTTTCCTAGCCAACCTTGTCACAGACCTTCGGTGGTACCCTTATGAAACTTCCATTACACGTCCTGATGACCTCCTCCCTGCACTATGAGACCTATGATTTCAGGGAACTTTCCAGGAGTTTACTCCTACACAAATAACTTTTTTCTCCTTTTGCTTGTTTCTTTCAATATAACTTTCCTAATTACATCAACCTCTCCAAGACAACCACTCCTCACTGCTCTCAAACTAGAACACCATTTAAAATACCAGATGCTGGCCTCTGCTGTCCAAAAGTCAGTTACACAAAAGCCTCCCAATAACCCGAAAGAAAACTCCCCCACCTCTCCGGGAGTCTGTTTCCCATGTGGCAACACTGGACACTGGATGAAGGCTTGTCCTAACCCCCGGCCTCCACCAAACCATGCCCAACTGGTAGTCTTTGGGGATGTTGGAAAATAGACTGCCTCCAGTGGGGACACCTTCCCTGTTCGGGTGCAGCTCATGATGAAGCCCCCAGACCATTACAGGAGGAAATCTCATCACTGCCGGCACTCACCACGGAGGACTGAGCATGCCCGGGATCCTTTACCCCCACTTCCAGTGAGTCCACGGAACCCAGGGTAACTGGGATGGTGTCTGGTAATAGGCCGTGGTGACAAATGAACAGTTTTTAACTTCTGACTTTTTCAAACTTCATAGGAAAGGAAGAGTAGGAAAGATCAGGTCTTTTTAGGTTGCGTGTTGTCTGTGTGACTTGGTGGGGTCTTAATTACAACATGCAAGTGGGTTGGAATGAAAAACATACAAGGGGATGCTTTTAGTTGCTTAAAATTCTTATCAATAAAATACATTGGAAATGTTTGTATTTCCATAATTGATCAGTTTGTGCATTAATGTCAAATTAAATAAACACCTTTTGCTTTATATTTTTAAAAACTTTAAACAGCAAGCCGGAGCTGATGAGTGATGTTAAAATCCACAAAGTCCTGAGACAGGGCTTCAGAGTCACAGGTTTTTATCCATGAAGCACACTGGGAATGTTTCCATTTCCAGAATTGATGAGCTCACTGATGATTCTCAAATTAAATAAAAGCCTTCGAACTGCTACGTAAAAAGTCTTGAAAACGTGAATGGCAAAAAGGGCGATTCCAAAATCAGCAGCAGCAGCATGAGCTTCAGATGCACGGGACTGTTGAAAGGAATCGCCGAAGCCCTCGTATTCGGACAAAAGGGGGCTTTACAGAGCCTCCTCGTTTATTACGTGGAGTCACAGCCACTCCGTGCAGTTGCATGAGCCGCCCAGGACTCTTAACCACGCCGGGGACGCAGCCCAGAAAACAGGAGCAGGCTGTGTGCGGGGGTCCCCGCCTGAACCCCAGCTCTGCCACGCCCCAGCTCTGGGCCTGAATCCAGCCGAAGTTTCTCCCTGGCACAGCGGTGACGGTGACGTCTACCTCACAAGATTGTTGGGAGGGTTACCTGAAATAAAGCATGCAAATGCCTCCACTATAAGGGTTTGAACCTATGGAAACCCCAAAACAAGATGAAAGGAAAACCAGTAAGATGCACCTATGCCTATGTATACATAGGGTATATGTGCCCATACGAAACTATCACACTGGTAACACCACGAATGTATAAACAGTGAGTCCACTTCTGCAGGAAAATATTAATATCGGCCAGATGTTGTGGCTCACACTGTGGGAGGCTGAGGGGGGCGGATCGTTTGAGCCCGGGAGTTCAAGACCAGCCTGGGCAATATAGCAAGACTCTGTCTCTTCTAAAAATACAAAAAGTTAGCTGGGCATGGTGGTGCCTATAGTTCCATTGCTAGAGCCTGGGAGGCAGAGGTTGCAGTGAGCCGAGGTCACACCACTGCACTCCAGCCTGGGCAACAGAGAGAGACACTGTCAAAAAAAAAAGGAAGGAAGGAAGGAAGGAAGGAAGGAAGGAAGGAAGGAAGGAAGGAAGGAAGGAAGGAAGGAAGAGAGGGGAAAAAAAGAAAGAAAAGAAAATACTAATGTCATAAAGTAGTATGCAAAATTGACACCTAAGGACATTTACTTCAGCATTTTTATGATTAAATGCCAAGAACCACCCAAATGTCCAAAAGTAGAGGAAGCGTCAAGAAACAGACACGTATTATTCATAGGAAGGGACACTGTGATATCTCCTGTGGGAGTGTTGTCTCTGGTTACAACTGATAACGCTCCCAGTCCTCACACACTGAAGCGGACGGCGAGTGGACAGCACGGAAACCACCCCTGCGATTCGGCACAGGCTCACGTGTACACAAGGAGGAAAGGCGTCAAGAATTTCCACTCTTCATATTCACTTACACAGTGTTTGCTGTTGTGGCTGTTTTGGTTTTCTTATTTAACTTTTAAGGTCAGGGGTGCATGTGCAGGTTTGTTTCATAGGTAAACTCGCACCGTGGGAGTTTGTTGTGCAGATTCTTTCAGCCTCAGGTATAAAGCCTAGTAACCATTATTATTCTCATCCCCTCCCTCCTCCCTCCTCCCGCCCACCACCCTCCCTGGGCCCCAGTGTGGGTTGTTCCCCTCTGGAGGGTAGAGGGTGGAAGGAGGGAGAGGATCAGAAAAAAACAATTATTGGGTAGTGGCTCAACACCTGCTATGAAATAATCTGTACAACAAACTCTCATGACATGATTTTAACTATGTAACAAACCTGCACATGCACCCCTGAGCTTAAAAGTTAAAAAAAAAAATTTCTTTTTAGACAGCGTCTTACTCTGTTACCCAGGCTAGAATGCAATGGTGCTATCTGCTCACTGCAACCTCCGCTTCCCCAGTTCAAGCGATTCTCCTGCCTCAGTCTCCCGAGTAGCTGGGATTACAGATGCCCACCACCACGCCCAGCTAATTTTTATATTTGTAGTAGAGACAGGGTTTCACCATATTGGCCAGGCTGTTCTCAAACTCCTGACCTCAGGTGATCTGCCTGCCTTAGCCTCCCAAAGTGCTGGGATTACAGGTGTGAGCCACTGCACCCAGCCAAAAAGTAATCACCTACAGGAAAAAAGTAGTGTAGAAGGACCAAAAATCAAGGTGAGCCATATAAAGGTAATAATAATAATAGTGTTTCTGTTATTCAAAATAGAATGGTGTTGACCTTACACACAATAGAGGGAATGCCACATTACAAATCACAACTTCAGTCATTTTGGACCTGTAAAAGCATGTTGCCTTTATCATCTCTTACTCATTAAAAGCACTTGTGAGAACTTAATTGTACATTTTAAAAGAACTCGGTATAATTGGATTGTTACACAAAGGATAAATGCTCGAAGGGCTAGATACTTGTGACAAGCATCCAGACACATATTATTGCATAGAAGCGTCATTCTCCACGATGTGCTTATTTCATCTTTCACGCCTGCATCAAAACATCTCATGTACCGCATAAGTATATACACCTCCAATGTGCCCACAAAAATTAAAAATAATTTTAAAATAAAGACAGTGCATTCCACTGCAGCAGCACACACACAAACCATTTGTGGCTTCTCTCAATGTTTGCATTTGCTCTGCGATGGGAATGTCTGTGCAGGAAAGACAGAGCCCCTGCCCCTGGGCATGCCCAGCCTCACCAAGGAGGGTCAACTTCGAAGGAACAATATTCTGAAAGAGCTCCTTCCCTCTCAAGGCGGCCAAAAGTACATATTCTCCCTATTTTTATTTTACAGAGTAGAGAAATTCTAAACTGGTATCTTTTTTTTTACTGGAAAGTGTCAGTATTGCTGGGGAAGGGATAAAATCCTCACATACAACATTTCACACATGGAAGTTTGAGATTGTGGAACCACTTGTTAGCATCGTATTGGGTCCTCAAAATGACATTAAAATGTAGATTAAAAAGGATTTACTATCCTCACGTTACACAAAACTGGTAAAATAAAATTATTTAAGTGGGAAAATAGTTACTCCAAATTGCAATATGATACTATTTTTCAATATATTCATTGGGAGATCTTTTTGCATTGATGATTCAAATCTGTTCATTTCTAGCTAAATTCTAAAGAGATCCTAATATTATTACCTGATCTTTTTATTTAAAATGTTTAAACAACTTGCTGCTCCTCTAGCATCTACGGTCTACACTATCACATAGAACAGAGATACTCACAGATTCAGGACATAAGGCATGACAAAATCTGCATTTTTTTAGAGAATTAGGTCATTGCATAGCCAAGTCAGTACCCCAAGTCCCTGCCCTTCATCCTCTGGGGTCCCTTCCCTGCCAGGCGCAGGGTTCCAGTGGCAGGTCCTGACTCAGTGGGACCTTTCTCAGCATCTCTGACAGAAGGACTGTCTGGAATTACAGGGCACGATCAATTGTCTGCCTTGCTAGGAAGTCTCATCTGTTCTTATGAAAGCGGTCCAATTAGTCTTTAGTTGAATCGTAACTGGATTTATAACCTTTTCCATCTATTGCTGTTTGGGAGTGGATATCTTCACCAAGTGATTTTTTTTCCTCTCTATTTAATACTGAGGTTACTTACTGGAT